>NC_000002.12:228701739-229004769 GCF_000001405.40 Homo sapiens | reverse complement strand
TCTGGATCAACTCTCCAGCCTTTTCTGTAATGAAGGACTGCACATACATGCTCACTTGTCATCCACATCACCTGGCTTCAGTCACTGGGGAGCACTGGCTGGAGATTGGAGAGTGGTAGAAGGGGATGTCTCTTCCCTGACTTTTTTCCTGAAGAGTCATCCTGACCCAAAAGTTAAGAAACAATTTCCCCCAGCTCTTTATTTTCATACTACTATTTTGTATATATCAATCTCCCTTACATTAGATTTCATTTTTGTGTAAATTATTAGGTAGTGATCCATTTAATTTTTTTCCATATGGCTAATAGTTGACCCATCATTATTTATTTATTTATTTTTAATTACATTCCTTTTATTCTGAATGTATTTCTGTGCCCTATGTATTGGTTTCTTCAGTTTCCTCTGGGATATCTTTCTCTTCTGATTTTGTTTCTTTTCAGTAAAGATCATCTCCATGTGGCAGGGGGAGTTCCTGTATGGGTTAATCCAACCATGAGCTTTGCAAGTCTGGCAGGGCATCTTGGGTGCTTTGTTCACCTGGATATGCTCAATGGCCAAAGGGTCTACATCGAAACCCCTAGGTTCTGACTTATTTTCTGCATTTTTAAGCATGTGCAGCAAAAACTCAGCATTCTTTTTGGGCCACTGACCATGTGTCTAGCCCCAATGTTTGGCTTGGGCACACTTCCCAACTCCACCATTGTAACACTGGAATGGTACAGACTGTTTCTGACATCTTTCAGATACTTGACGGCTTTTTATATATGCATACCCTTGGTGGCCTGGGCAGTTTCATGGGTGTTTTCAGAGTGAACATGAAGATTTGAACCTTCTGATTTGCATGATTTTGTGGGGTTTTCTTGGTCAAGCGAATAGTGGACCATTTTTACAGATCACTTCAGGCCACTCAGGAAAGAGCCCATCATCCTTTACACAGTTCTCACCTTCTAATTTGAAGTGATACCATATATACATGTAATGTGTGTGTGTATAAATACACAATGTATATATATATGCTATATCAACAAAAAAGCTTTTTTGATTTGTTTTGGTTTTATATTTGTGTGTTATAAACTAAATTGTATCCCACCTTCAAAATTTGTATGTTGAAGCTCTAACTCCCAAAGTTAGGGCCTTTGGGAGATTATTATGTTTATATGAGATAATGAGATTAGGGACCTCATGATGGGATTAGTGCCCTTATAAGAGGAGGCAACAGAGAGCTTGGTCTCTCCCTCTCTCTGCAATGTCAGGACCAAGTAAGAAGGCAGCCACGAGCAGGCCAGGAAGAGATTCCTTATTAGGAACAAAATTGGCCAGCACCATGACCTCAGACTTCCCAAGAAGCCTCCAGAACTATGAGAAATACATTTCTATTGTTTAAACCATTCAGGCTGTGATATTTCGTTATGACAGCTCAAGCTAAGTAGGGCAAATTTTGGTGCAAGAAGAGGGATGCTGTTGTAACAAACACCTAAAAATATGGAACAGGCTTTAGAACTGGGTAAAGGGTAAAGTCTGAGAGAGTTTTGAGGTGCCTGTCAGAAATATAGATGTTAATAGTGATTCTAGTGATGGCTCAGAAAGAAAAGAGGAGAACTGGTGAGAAAGTTTTCATCTTAGAGACTATGTAAGTAATCATGAAAAGTATGGTGATACAAATATGGATGTTAAAAGGCTGTTCTACTGATGTCTGATGGGAATGAGGAAGAGTTTATTGGGCAATGTAGAAAAGGCAATCTTTGTTATGAAATGACAAAGAACTTGGCTAAGTGGCATTTATGTACTGGGGTTTTGTGGAATTAGAACTTACAAGCAATAAAATTGAGTATTTAGCTGAGGGTATTTCCAAGCAGAGTGTTGAAGGAGTGGCTTGGTTCCTCCTGACTGCTTATAGTATAATGCAAAAGGAGAGAAATAAATTAAAGAAGGAATTATTAAGCAAAAATGGTCCAGAACTGGAAGATGTGGAAAATTCTCAGCCTGCCCATATTGCAAAAAATGAGAAAGCTTTTTCTGAAGAGCATACGAAGGGTGTGGCTGAATAACCATTCAAGATGATTAGTGTGGGTATGAACCATGGATCTAATCAGCCATATCAGCGGTGGCTTAGAATAGAGATTGCATTTTACCAGCAGGAACACCACCAGCTGCCACTAAAGATAACAGAAAAGGGGGTGAATGAAAGAAGGCTGTCAGACTTCTTGGATTTGACAAGATGGGATGATAGAGCTATTTGGCTATGAACATGTGCTGTTCTTCAAGAAGACAGAAAAGTAGACCAAAGGAAATTCAGAGACCATCACAGCCACCACCTTGGTTTCAACAGGCTAGAAATCTTCTGTCCAAATTTGTGGAGGCAGGTCTGCCTGGAAGATCCCCGGGGACACAACTCCTTCCCAGAAGAGATTTGAGAGCATGACTATGCCCAGAAGAGCCTTGGATGCAAGACCCCTACCCAGCAGGCCTTGGAGATGTAACCTTACAGCTTGGCAGAGCCTCGGGGGTGGAATTGTTACCCCCACATGTCCAGAAGGCAGGGCATCAAGCCAAAGAAAATTATTTTCAAACATTAAGATATAATGGAGTTTGCCTTGAAAGTTTTGGACCCTGCTTGGGATCAATTACCCATTTTTTTCTTCTCATCTCTCCCTTTTGGAATAGGAATATTTATATTCTATGTCTGCCCATTATCATATTTTGGAAGCATATAACTTGTGCTTGTCTTGTGTCACAGGTTTACAGCTGGAGAGAAATTTCTCCTCAGAGTGAATTGTGTCTCGAGTACAACAGACTGGGTGGCTTCAACAGCAGACATTTACTTTTTCACAGTGCTGGAGGCTGGAAGTTTGAGATCAGGACACCAGCATGGTCAGGTTCTGGTGAAGGCTCTTTTCCTAGCTTGTGGATTATTACCTTCTCACTGTGTCCTGATATGGCTGAGAGAGAAAGCTCTCTGGTGTCTCTTCTTATAAGGGCACTAATCTCATAAGGTTGCTGCCCTCATGATCTCACCTAAGTCCAATTACCTGCCGAAAGCCCCATCTTCAAATGCTGCTACATTAGGTGTTAGGGCTTCAATATATGAGTTGTGGGGGTCACAAACATTCAATATGCAAGACTTTGTTTTTCTTTTGCCATATCTTTGTATATATACTATACTTAATAATTTTTAATTTTATACTGAGTATAATGTGTTTCTTAAAATGTGGTTTCTTAACCACATGTTTCTCTGCATGTTTCTTAAAATGTGATTTCCAGAATCCTGGTGTTTCCTGAGAACATTTTTAGGGGATCTGCAAGGTCAAAACTATTTTGATAATAATGCTGAAAGTTTTTTATCTTTTATTGTTTTTATGTTTGTGCTGATGTTGCAAAAGCAATGGTGAGTAAAATTGCTTATGTCTTAGCATGAATTTAGGAAGTACCACCAAAAAGTACTAGTAGTCATTGAAGCCTTCACAGCCACAAACTCACAGTTTCAGAAACTTCCCAGTTTTAGTTTTCCATAAGACATATATATTACATATATAACGTATATATATAGTACATATGTCTATTTTATATATATGTATATATATAATATATATATGTAATTTTTTTGAGACAGGGCCCTTGCTCTGTCACCTAGGCTGGAGTGCAGTGGCATGATCACAGCTCACTGAAGCCTCAATCTCCTGGTTGCAACCAATCCTCCCACCTCAGCCTCCTAAGTACTTAGGACTACCAGCATGCACCAGAACACCTGGCTAGATGTTCTTAATAAAGCGAAAATTATGGTTAATTTTTATTAAATTTTGTTCTTTGAGTACATAGCTTTACAATCCTCTGCATAATGAAATGGGAATTACACATAAGGCACTTCTGCTGAATATGAAAATATAATGGTCATCTCAAAGAAAATGAACTCCTTTTTAATGGAATATCATTTTTAAACTGAAATAACTGATGGAGAAACTGCATATATTAGTCCATTTTCACACTGCTATAAAGAACTGAGACTGAGTAACTTAAAGGAAAGAGATTTTATTGACTCAGTTCCTCATGGCTCAGGAAGCCTCAGGAAACTTACAATCATGATGGAAGGCGAAGGGAAGCAGGCACCTTCTTCAAAAAGTGGCAGGAAAGAGAGAGAATGAGGGGGGAACTGCTGACCACTTTAAAACCATCAAATATTGTGAGAAATCACTTGCTATCATTAGAACAGCATGGGGGAAACTGCCCCCATGATTCAGTCACCTCCCATTAGGTCCCTCCTTTGACACGTGGAGATTATAATTCAAGAGGAGATTTGGTTAGGCACGCAGAACCAAACAATATCATTCTGCCCCGGCACCTCCCAAATCTCATGTCCTTTTCACATTTCAAAATGCGATTATGCCTTCCCAACATTCCCCCAAAGTTTTAACTTATTCCAGCATTAACTCAAAAGTCCAAGTCCAATGTTTCATCTGAGACAAAGCAAGCCTCTTCTACCTACGAACCTGAAAATGAAAAACAAGCTAGTTACTTGCAAGATACAATGGGAGACAGGCATTGGGTGAATTCTCTGGTTCTAAATGGGAAAAATTGGCCAAAACAAAGGGGCTGTAGGCCCCATGCAAGTCTGAAACCCAGTGGGGCAATCATTAAATCTTAAAGCGCTGAAATGATTTCCTTTGGCTTCATGTCTCACACCCAGGGCACGCTGACATGAGTGTTGGGCTCCCAAGGCCTTAGGCAACTCCACCCCTGTGGCTCTGCAGGGTACAGCCACCAGGGCTGCTTTCACAAACTGGCATTGAATACCTACTGTTTTTCCAAAAGAATAGTGCAAACTGTTAGTGGATCTACCATTATGGGGTCTGGAGAATGGTGGCCCTTTTCTCACAGCTCCACTAGGAAGTACTCCAGTGAGAACTCTGTGTGGGGGCACTAATCCCACATTTCCCCTTTGCATTGCCCTAGTAGAGGTTCTCCATTAGGGCTCCACCCCTGCAGCATACTTCTGCTTGGACCTTCAGGCATTTCCATACATCCTCTGATATCTAGGCAGAGGCTCCCAAATCTAAATTCTTGCCTTCTGTTCACCCACAGGCCCCAAACCACATGGAAGCCACCAAGGCTTATACCATCTGAAGCTATGGCCCAAGCTGTACATTGGCCCCTTTTAGCCATAGCTAGAGCTGGAATGGTGGGGATACAGGGCACCATGTCCTGAGGCTGCACAGAGCAGTGGGGCCCTGGGCCCAGCCCACCAAACCATTTTCTCCTCCTAGGCCTGCAGGCCTGTGATGGGAGGGGCTGCCATGAAGATCCCTGATGTGCCCTGGAGACATTTTCCCCATTGTCTTGGCTATTAACACTTACCTCCTTGATACTTATGGAAATTTCTGCAGCCGTGGCTTAAATTTATCCCCAGAAAATGTTTGTTTTTTTCCCTTACTACATGGTCATGCTACAAATTTTCCAAACCTTTTCACTCTGCTTCCCTTTTAAACATAAGTTCCAATTTCAGACCATCTCTTAGTGAATGTATGTGACTATATGTTTTCAGAAAAAGCCAGGTCACATATTGAATGCTTTGCTGCTTAAAGATTTCTTCTGCCAGATACCCTGTATTAGTCTGTTTTCAGACTGTTGATAAATACATGCCTGAGGCTGGGAAGAAAAAGAGGTTTAATGGATTTAGAGTTCCACAAGGCTGAGGAGGCCTCACAATCATGGTGGAAGGCAAGGAGGAGCAAGTCACTTCTTACATGGATGGCAGCAGTCAAAGAGAGAGAGGTTGTGCAGGGAAGCTCCTGTTTTTAAAACCATCCCTTCTCATGAGACTTATTCACTATCATGAGAACAGCACGGGAAAGACCTGCCCCATGATTCAATTGCCTCCCATCAGGTTCCTTCCATGACATGTGGGAACTGTGGGAGTTACAATTCAAGATGAGATTTGAGTGGGGCACAGCAAAACCATATACCCTAAATCATCTCACTCAAGTTCAATGTTCCACAGATCTTTAAGGAAGGGGGAAGATGCTTCCAGTCTCTTTGCTAAAGCATAGCAAGAATCACCTTTACTCCAGTTCCCAATTAGTTCCTCATCCATCTGAAAACACCTCAGTCTATGCTTCACTATCCATATCACTATCAGCATTTTGATCAAAACCATTCAACAAGTCTCTAGAAAACTCCAAGCTTTCCCACATCTTCCTGCCTTCTTCCAAGCCTTCCAACCTGTTCCAACCTCTGCCCATTACCCTGTTCCAAAGTTGCTTTCACATGTTCAGGCATTTTAATAGCAGTGACCCAAACTCCCAGTACCAGTTCTCTTTATTAGTCCATTTTTCATGCTGTGATAAAAAAATACTTGAGACTGGTTAATTAATGAATAAAAGAGGTTTAATTGACTCACAGTTCTACATGGCTGAGGAGGCCTCAGGAAACTTACAATCATGGAAGAAGGTGAAGGGGAAAGTGCCTACTGTCTTCACAGAGCGGCAGGAGAGAGAGAGAGAGAAAGCAATAGGGGAACTACCAAACACTTTTAAACCATCAGATCTCATGAGAACTCACTCAGTATCATGAGATCAGCATGGAGGAACCCACTCCCATTGATCCAGTCACCTCCCACTAGGTCCCTCCCTCAATATGTGGGGATTATAATTCAAGATGAGATTTGGGTAGGGACACAGAACCAAACCATATCACTAAGGTTATTCATATTTGGGAATTTTGCAGATATTTTCTCAAAAATGAATTAAGTGAGCCTGTCATATCAAGGAAGGTAATTGACAACACTTGTCAATAATAAAATTCAAACTTTCAAGTCAAAATGACAAGTATGGAAAATCGTTACCATTCTGAGCTTGACATCTTCCCAACACTTACTGACTTTTATGATGAGTTAAGTGGTATGTTGACAATATAATTTCTTAATATCACACAATAAAGTGTGTCAACATTTAAAAGATCTACATAACTGGTGAACCAAATGAACAATTCATGATGCTATAAAGTCAAGTAAGATTCATTTAAAGGGTAAGGTAGACCAACGGATTTTTTTTGTACTACAGTAAGAGAAGTTCATTGTTATGGATTTATATTCCACACACCATCCTCTAGGAAAATACTTTTCAAGTTTTGTGATATTAAAGAAGTTTTTCCACAATTATTTGAATAAGCTTATAGTAAAATACTATTCTAACTACATATCTGTGTGAGGCCAAATTTTCTTCATACACTTTGACCCAAGCAATATATCTCAAGAGAAACAGATATGGAATCCAACTTTTTTTCCATTAAGACAGGCATTGAAAGATTTAAAGCATGTAAAACAGTATGACTCTTCTCACTAAATTTTTTGGGGGGTTGAAAAATACAATTATACATTATTAACATTTTTCTATTTATACTAAAAATTAATGAGTCTATTATTAATTTTAAATAAATTGATAAATATGTTTAAATCACTTGTTTTTTATTTCTAATATGGTAAATATCAGTAGATACAGCCCACAGAAACAAAAGTCCTTTGGTATCCTTAATAATGTTCATGCATGACAAGGTCCTGAGGCCAAAAATTTGACATTGGCTGGTGCAGTGGTTAAGAGTGTAGACTCCGGGGCCAGATGGCTTGGATCCAAATTCTGACTACCCCCTTCTAGTTATATGACCTCAAGGAATTTACCTAACTCCACTAGGTTATTTAAACCCTATGTGCTTTCAGTTTCCTCATCTGTCAAATAAAGATAATAGGAGCTTTTAACCTATGGATTATATTGAGGATTAAATATAATACATGTAACATGCATAGCATTTTGCCTAGCAGATAGTATGATCTATATATGTTACTATCAGATTCATGACAGTAAATATCATTATAATTATTCAGATTTGATTTACATTATGTATTCTTGGATAGATATTTTGTGAAATTTATTTAGGGAAGGAGCAAAGTCCATGCCATAAACTACGGGGAATTCTGTTCATAATTTCAGGTTAGGCATGTGAGTTCCTTTAGCCTTTGCTGTTTCCCAGCTGGGATGAGTTGCTGCAGAATTCCTTAGTATGCGGTATTTTTCCTCCATCTGCCCTCCTTGGTGAGTGGCCTTGGGATTATTTGATTTACTTGGTGATTCCTCATTCATACTTACTTTCCCTGCTCCTCAAAACCTTATGCTATAAAGGTTCAAACATCCTCCCACTGCCAGCATGTGCGTCCATTCTTGCCATAGCCGAAAGGAAAGTTTTGGACTTGTTGCTTTCTTTCAACAACTGCGTTCTTCTGGCTCTTCTGCCAAGAGGGTCTTTGGCCAGCCACACCTCTTACTCCTGTTTGGTCTTCCCTGAATCAGCCAGCCTTTCTCTTGATAATGTGTTTCAGAGAGACCAATTTTATTTAGTTTCATCAATGATGGATTTTGGATTTCACACTAACACTCATCATCTCATCCTTCTTGCCACTTTTGGGACATTTTCCAGAGGAAAATTTAAGGCAAACAAACAAACCTTTATTCCACTGCTAAGACTAGGCATCTGTTTTAATATTAGCAATTCTATGTTAACACAGCTCATGGCATATGTTGTTTTCATGTTCTAAATATGTGTTTTGAGCTGATGAAAAGACAACTCTAGGAGAAGAGTGATGTAAAGATTGTCTCTTATTGTGAAATTACGTTTATGGCTTAATATTTTTATTCCACCAAGCTAAGGATAAAGTAGAACCTAAGTTGGTTTCAGCTTATGTCACTGTTCTCTAGTCTAGCCACATATATTCTATGGAAACTAAAAAGCAAAGCAAACATTTTCCTCCCAAAATCTTGTTTTTGGGAACTTCTGCTGAGCCTCATTCCAAGGTTACTATCCGTGTTTGTTCCACACTGGATGTCTCCTTTACTTTCCCAGAAATCACATCACTCATCTGACCTCAGCTATGTCTCTTACAGCAAGATATGTAGAAATGATGGGAAAGAAATGATTTAGAGATATTTACAAGGGGAAAGAAAAGTTGCATGATTTTAAAATAGTATTTATTCAGAATAGCTTCACTAGATTGTCCACCTTTGCTGCTCTCTGGTGTGCCAGCCTTAGCAAACATGGTTTTAATTTCAAATACTACCTGTTGTTAAATTATTTTCCACTAAACCAAAAAATTACGTAATGAATTCCAGATTCAGTGCAGCTTCAAGAAACATAACCTATTTTAGAACCCTAGAGGATAATTAAGTACTAGAAACACTTCAAAGCAAACCCCCAAGAAGAAACACTCAAATTCACATCTCGATCTCTCTTGGCTATTTTTCTAACCATGAGAGAGGCCAGCCTTACTCAACCATAGGAACAGGTTAAAAAATGGATAGTTAACATAATATAATACTTTTTTTTTGCTGTACTTAGAGTGGATTTTTTCTTTTCTTCTACAACTGTAGAGCTGGAACATGATTAATTTAGATCATTCTATGGTGAATGTAAAATGGGTGCCATGCTGAGTTTCAGTCATATTGTTCAATCACTGTGCTCTTTATGTGGCAACAACACCTGGTCCAGGACCACAGCACTGACGGGGATAGGCCAAGTAGGGCTTATGGGCTCCTGTGGACAGCCTTGTTCATGCTTCTTACTCTCAATGTTTGGCAGGAGCTCAGGGGAGGCTGGCAACTGTGGTAAGTCTGGATTTGATTTTTTACATTTGGAATAGATGTAATTAGGCACAGATATAAGACTGATGACAAACTCTATTGCTGTAGGTAATAAAATAAGCAATAGTGCCAACACTTAGGGGAGCCAGAGAAAACTAGTTTGATTGGGAGAGTAAGATGTTGAGAGGAAACTGCTAGATTTCTATAAGGATTCACTCAGAGATAGAACATTCTTTATCCCTATTTGAAAAGTGACCTACCTTTCTTCTCTTAGGGGATGCTGCAGACCTTTGCATTTTTAAAAAGCAGAATTGGAAAATTTGACTTTCGTCTTCAAATTCAAGGTCTGATAGTTGTATTTTTAAGTGCCTGGCCACTGAATATATTGAACTCTTGTGCCACCAGGAAGGTGATTACAGGGGTTTTAAAAAGGCCTCCAAATTCAGTCTTGAGAGAAAGGAGTGTGGCATTTGGTGATGTTAGGTGGAAGAGGAAGCTGAGTTTGGGGAAATTCAATGAGATCTAGATGGCCCACTACATAACCTTTCAATGCCCTTGGCTAGAAAACAAAATAATGGCTCCATCAACTTACATAACTGTGAGTCTTGGGACCCCATAAACTGGGTTTGAATTCCAACTTCATCACTAATTAACTAAGGGTTGGGTATATGAGACCTCTCTGTAACATCCTCATAGTTTTTTTTTTTTTTTTTTTTTTTTTTAATGCAGTTTCCTTTGTTCAAAAAGCAGGGGGAGAAAAGTGCTTGTTCTTTTTTCCTGTAGTCTGAAGCCTTGATCTGTCAAGATGTTTTTGCTACTAAACGTCTTCCTCCCTTGGGTATAGAATACTCCTGAGGCATGAGGGCCTTATCCCATGACGCAGCCTTTGGTGGTGTCTAACATCAACCCTCCCTGCACTCATGCCTAAGCTGTAGCCCAGGTATATGGTGGCAGCAGGCTTTGTGCAGTGTTGAGGGAACTGATGGCCAAGAACCTGTCCTAGAGAGGCAGGAAGGTGAGGAGGAGGTAGTAGGTGGATGAACCAAGTCTCCAGGCCACTGGCACATGTTCTGTTTTTTCAACTGACTTCATTTGCAAAACTAAAACGCAAAGATAAAATGTTTAAGAATTTCAAGATGACAACTGCAGAGCATTAACTCCAAGCATAATGTCCCCTTCTGAGTATGGGGCCCTGTGTAACTGCACTGGCCACATGCCCATGATACTAGCCCTGCTTCAGGTGTGTCCTTGACCTCGTCGGCTCTTCCATTATCTCCTCATGCAGCACAAGCCACTGCTTGTGACTTAGAGCAGAGTTCCAAATCTTTTAATTTCATGGATTATTTGGCAATCTGGTGAATCTTTTTGGCCTCTTCCCAGAATAAGTTTTAGTACATCATTTTGTATAGTACATTTAAACTATGCTCTTCTACATGATTATGGTTTTCTGTACAGATTATCACACAACATAAATGGCCAACTATCAGATAAGTCTACACTTTAGCAACATGCTATATTGGTGACTGAAATGTCTACATTACAGTATACATACAACTACATCTGCATTATAGTATACCCTCTCTATTTAATCTTATGTTGATCAATATTTGGATAAAATTTAGTCAGAGACCATTCCACAGTATAACATTGTTATTCAAGTTAAAGAACAAGAACCTTTACAATGAAAACCTTTTAAAATGAACATGACTCTGAAGATTTGGAACTGCAATTGTCTTAGAGAATACAAAAGAGAACTGAGTTCAAATTGGATAGGTTCCCTTAGTTTGGCTGAAATGATATTGATGGCAGTGGTGGCCCATCTGGAGTGGTTGCTGCCATCACTCTGGCTGCAGCAGGGAAGGATGGCCAAAGCTGTACACTCCATCAACAGAGCAAGTGGGAGCCAGGGACAAGTGGGAGCCCTGCCCCTTCCAAGTTGGTGGGACAGGAGCTCCCTGGGTGCAACTGCAGCCACCCAAGTCGTGGCTGTGGACACAGGCTTCTCACTCCATGTAGCAGGCAGGATCTCCACCCTTCTGGGTGCAGCTATAGCTGCCCAAGTCATGGCTGCAGACCTGGGCTTCCCTGTGCTCTTGGGGGTGCCAGGAGTAGGCAGGAGTCCTGCCCTGCTGGGCACAGCTGCAGCCACCCAAGTGGTGGCTGCAGACCTGGGCCTCCTGCTCCACAGAGCAGTCAGGAGCCCTGCCCTCCCTGGGGAAGCTATACCACCCAAGCCACAGCTACAGACCTGGGCACCTCTGCACTCTGGGGGCCCAGGAAGGACCCACTCCCTGCCTTCACAGGCTTGGTGGTGTCTGTTCCCACTACCTGGCCTCTCCCCATTTCTGGCACCCACTCTGATCTTAGAACAAGGTTTGGGTCGAGCCCAGATGCTGTTGCAGCCTGGCCAGCCATGTGCACACTCAGGGCAGTGCTGACATGCCAGCCCACTGCCACCTCAGCCCCCTCCAGACTTCAGGTGCTGCCAAGTACGGGAGGGAAGTTGAAGGGGTGCTGAGGGCAGCTTGGCTCTGGCCTCCAGGTGCCCCTTGGCATGAAAGCCTGGGCACCATGAACAGCAATGGGAGGGAGGCAGACAGGGCAAAATGGGGTGGGTCCCTGGTGAGGCCCCACTTTCAGGCCAGGGAGGAACTGAAGGCTGGGGACCAGGCTGCCAGTCCGTGGACCAGAGTGGGAACTTGTGGTGACTTTTCTGGGCCTGATCATGGCTGCCCATGGACCAATTGGCATGCACTTCCTCCAATCTGAGGCCCATAAAAGTCCTGGGCTCGGCCAGAGCTGAGCAGATGGGATGATCAGCTACAGAGAGGAGCTACCCACTCCAGGGCCTCCTCTCTGCCGAGAGCTGCAGATGTCAGAAATGACCAGCTGCAGAGAGTAGCTACTCACTCCAGGGCCTCCTCTCTGCAACTCTCTGCAGAGACAATGGGACAGCCTGCCTGCAGAGAGAATCTACCCACTCCAGGGGCCTCCTCTCTGCTGAGGGCTGAACACTTGATGTGACAACTTGCCTACAGAGAGAAGCTACCCACTCCCGGACCTCCTCTGAGCTATTGTGTCACTCAATAAAGCTCCTCTTTGCCTTGCTCACCTTCCACTTGTCTGCATACCTTGTTCTTCCTGGATGCAGGACAAGAACTCAAGACCTGCCAAATGGCTGGGTGAAAGAGTTGTAACACAAACAGGGCTGAAACACGCCCCTTGCTTGCCACATTGCAGGTGAAGAGAAGGGGAGAAGAGCTGTGTCCCTTTGGGGAGTGCAGACCTGGGAGCCCCCCTAAACCAGGGCTGTGACTCCCTCTTCTGGGGCCAGCGGTTCCTGGAGTCTCCAATATTTTGGGTGCGACCACATTCCGCATTGGCATTTGTGGAAGCTGCTTGCGGTGCACCTGGTCCAGCCGCAGTTTTGCAGAGAGCCAGTGCCCATGCCCCCACCTGGAGCTGCCCACCGCACTGCATTAGCCAGCACACTTGACTTTGTGCAGTGGCCAGACCCCACAGTCACTCTTTCACACACCCCTCACCACTCCACACCTGGCTCGCCCTTGTGAGGCATGGGATCCAGGCTGGTAGTGTGAGCCAAGTGCAGCCTTGCCAGGCTGAGTGGGTGGAACCAGCTCAGCGGGCCCAAGCAAAACTCAGGTAAAAGTGCCACCAGCCATAGAGGTTTCCTGCCAGAAAAGTGACACCCCAAGGATCCTGCAACAATGTGATTAAAAATGAAGACAGGTTGGGTGCGGTGGCTCACTCTTATAATCCCAGCACTTTGGGAGGCCAGAAGTTTGAGACCAGCCAAGGCAATATAGCGAAACCTTGTCTCTACAATTTATTTTTTTTTTAATTAGCCAGGCATGGTGGTATGTGCCTTTAGTCCCAGTTACTTGGGAGGCTAAGGTGAGAAGATTGCTTGAGCCCAGATGGTTGAGGTTGTAGTGAGCCAATATTGTGCCACTGTATTTCAGCCTGGGCAACAGAGCAAGACCTTGTCTCTAAAATAAGAGAAGTAGGAGGAGACAGAAGAGGAGAAAATATAAAAGAAATAAAAATAAAAGGGAGTAGGGGCAACACTTCATTTTCTAAAATTCTTAGAACTTTTTTTTTGTTAATATTGTAACATTTATTTTAGGTTCAGGGGCACATGTACATGTATGTTATATAGGTAAACTCGTGACTCAGGGGTTTGGTGTACAGATTATTCTGTCACCTGGATACTAAGGAGATTACTTAACAGTTTTTTTTTTCTGAACCCTTTCCTCCTCCTATCCTCCTCCCTCAAGTAGGCCCCAGTGTTTGTTGTTCCTCTCTTCCTATCCATGTGCTCTCATTATTTAGTTCCCACTTATAAGTGAGAACATGCAGTATTTGGTTTTCTGTTCCTGCTTTAGTTTGCTAAAGATAAAGGCCTCCAGTTCCATCCATATATTCCTGAACAAAGGACATGATTTTATTCTTTTTATGGCTGCTTAGTATTTCATGGTGTACATGTACCACATTTTCTTTATCCACTCTACCATTGATGGGCATTTACATTGATTTCATGTCCCTGCTGTCATGAATAATACTGCAGTGATCCTAGACGTGCATGTGTCTTTATGGTAGAACAGTTTATGTTCCTTTGGGTATATTCCCAGTAGTGAGATTGCTGGGCCAAATAGTAGTTCCATTCTTAGTTCTTTGAGGAATCACCACAGTGCATTCCACAGTGGTTGAACTAATTTACACTCCCACCAGCAGTGTTAAGCGTTTTCTTTTCTTCATAACCTCACCAGCATCTGTTATATTTTGACTTTTAAATAATAGCCATTCTGGCTGGTGTGAGATAGTATTTCATTGTGGTTTTTATTTGCATTTCTTAAGTGATTAGTGATATTGAGCATTTTTTATATGCTTGTTGGACACATGTATGTCTTCTTTTGAAAAGTGTTCATGTCCTGTGCCCACTTTTGAATGGTGTTGTTTTTTGTTTGTACATTTGTTTAAGTTCCTTGTAGATTCTGAATATTAGACCTTTGTCAGCAGATGCAGAGTTTCAAATACTTTCTCTCAGTCTGTAGGTTGCCTTTTCACTCTGTTAACTGTTTCTTTTCCTGCGCAGAAGCTCTTTAGTTTAGGTTCCATTTGTCAATTTTTGCTTTTGTTGCAATTGTTTTTGGCATCTCATCTTCATCATAAAATTTTTGCCTTTTCCTATGTCCAGAATGGTGTTGCCTAGGTTGTCTTCCAGGGTTTTTGTAGTGTTGAGCTTTATATTTAAGTCTTTACTCCATCTTGAGTTGATTTTTATATGTGGTATAAGGAAGGGGTCCAGTTTCAATCTTCTCCATATAGCTAGCCAGTTATCCCAGCACCATTTATTAAACAGGGACTCTTTTCCCTACTTCTTGTTTTTTGTCAGTTTTCTCAAATATCAGATGATTGTAGACTTATGGCCTTATTTCTGGGTTCCCTATTCTGTTCCATTGGTCTATGTGTCTGTTTCTGTACCAGTACCATGATGTGTTGTTTGTTGTAGCCTTGTACTACAGTTTGAAGTCAGGCAATGTGATTCCTCCAGCTTTGTTCTTTTTGCTTAGGATTGCTTTGGCTATTCTGGCTCTTCTATGGTTCCATATGAATTTTAGAATAGTTTTTTCTAGTTCTGTGAAGAATGTCACTGGTAGTTTGATAAGAATATCATTGAATGTGTAAATTGCTTTGGGCAGTATGGTCATTTTAATTTCACTGATTCTTCCTATGTATGAGCATGGGGTGTTCTTTCATTTGTTTGTGTCATCTCTGATTTCTTTGAGCAGTGTTTTTTGTAATTCTCACTGTAGACATCTTTCACCTCCCTGGTTAGCTGTATTCCTAGGTATCTAATTCTTTTTTTGTGGCAATTGTGAATGGGATTGCCTTCCTGATTTGACTCTTGGCTCGGGTGCTGTTTGTGTATGGGAATACTACTTATTTTTGTACATTGATTTTGTAGTCCAAAACTTTGTGAAGCTACTTCAGCTCGAGGAGTTTTGAGGCAGATACTAAGGGGTTTTCTAAATATAGAATCATGTCATCTGTGAACATGGATAGTTTGACTTCGCTTTTCATTTTTTCTCTCTTGACTGATTGCTCTGGCCAAGACTTCGAATACTATGTTGAACAGAAGTGGTGAGAGTGGAAATCCTTGTCTTTTTCCAGTGTTCCAGTTTTCTAGGGGAATGCCTCCAGCTTTTGCTCATTGAGTATGATGTTGGCTGTGGGTTTGTCATATTTGGCTGTTACAATTTTGAAGTATGTTCCTTCAGTGCCTAGTTTTTGAGGGTTTTTAACATGAAGGATGTTGAATTTTATTCAGTCTTTTCTGCACCTATTGATACAGTCATGTGGTTTTTTGTCTTTAGTTTTGTTTATGTGATGTATTGCATTTATTGATTTGCATATGTTGAATCAATCTTGCATCCCAGGGACAAACTCTACTTGATTGTGGTGGATTGGATTTTTGATGTATTGCTGGATTCAGTTTGCTAGTATTTTTTGAGGATTTTTGCATCTACATAAATTAAGGATATTTGCCTGAAGTTTTCATTTTTTGTGTGTCTTAGCCAAGTACTGGTATAAGGATGATGCTTATACCAGTACCTTATACCAAGTACTGGTATAAGGATGATACCTATAAGTACTGGTATAAGGATAATATCTCATAAAATGAGTTGGGGATGAGTCTCTCCTCCTCAATTCTTTGGAATAGCTTCAGTAAGAATAGTACCAGCTCTTCTTGGTGCATCTGGTAGAATTCAATCATGAATCTGACCTAGAACAGTATTTCAAGGATGAAAATGGAATGGAAGCAATTGCTACATTTTAGAAATAAATTAGGAGAGAGAGAGAGAGAGAAATTCAGATAGATATCAGGGGAGAGAGAGACAGAGAATAATTTCAGATAGAAATTAGGGGAGAGGCAGAGAGGGAATAATTCTATTTCCATTTAAATGAATATAATTGTATTCATGGATAACCAATGGTTGAGAACCCTCCTGTAGCAAGTATGCAAGAAATAGTTCCACAGCCAGCCAGCACGGAGAGTCTACCCAGCCTCCTTTGACCCCTGCACAGTGGCATACTTGGCTGATATATCTGGTCACAGTAGAATGGGCTGTTATGTCATTGACAGCTGGAGCTGTAATTTCAGGTGGTGATGGAAGTACCCAAATTTCCCCCTGGGAATGTGGTACTAGACAACTGGGTGTAAAATGCACTGAGTAAGATGAGCATCATGAACACTTCTTTGAAGTATCTGATGATTGCAGAAGCCCCAGCCCAGCTCATTTATGTGTGGGCCCTGCCAGGGAGTCTTGAGCTCATTTTGTTGTCTTTTAATAAGGACCAGGAAATGCACCAAAGAAAGAAGATTAAAAACTCATTTTCAAATCTTTCTTTTGCCATCCTTTGGAGAAACCCCATCATTTTTCATTCATATCACTTATTTCATCTGAGGATCATGAAGTGTGACCTCGGATGTTTTCCAGATGACTAATGGAATGTGTTTTGGAGACAAATAACTTATTTTTGTTTAGTGCACATGTTTAGCTCTGTTATTTATATTACAGAAAACAAACAAATGGCATCTGAGAGCATTCTTTCTACTGCATATCATTTTAAGTAAAAAAATAAAGTAGAAGGTAGACAATAATATATGGTCAAGGTGAAAAATACCAAGCAATATCAAACATTTTAATTTATAATTCTCTTTCTTTGGTTATTTTTAGTTAAGAGCATGAATCATCTAGACCCTTTTTGAAGTCCTTCAACTAATTAGCTCATTTCTGATTCAATAATAAAATTATTTTTGTCCCCATCCCAATCCTACCCAAATACTTTAGTATTGCTTAGTTACTCATTGCATAGCTATGGTACCTAATAAACTTTGCTTCACACAATACTAAAGATTTATATCCCACTAACTTCTAAAAGGGCTCAAGTCAGCTAGAAACATATATGAGTATAACCAGGCCATAGTAATTTTTCTCCCTGCTTATGACATGTCATTCTCTTTGTCTCTATGAATACAAATGATCTCACTTCCTGCTTGTGCAGCTGATGAGAAGGTAATGAAAAATGAAAGGAAAATCACTTCCCAGTTCTTCAAACCGACATCACTAATTCCCTGTCTCTTTAAGACTTGGCAGTCACAATGTAAGATGACTTCCCGAAAGAGGAGAAATCTCAATCGTGCATCAAGTTGACTTTCCACACTGTCATGATATGACATGATAGTCCTTCAACTATGATACCCTTTGATTTTGCCAGCTCCTTATTTACTCAGTAATTCTGTTACATATTACGCTAGATTGCCTGAAAGATCATTTATAGGAAACACAATGACTTCAAGGTCCAAAGACACCATATATTTTAGGTTTCAGATGCTGAAAAAAAAATGAAAATAATACATGTAAAAATGGTTCTGGCCAACATATATAGGTGTTTCCTCAATGGTTTCCCCTCAATCCTTCTAGCCCAAGCATTGTGAACTCCACTTCTTCCTCCTCTCAGTCATATTTCAGTGCTCACATTGCAAGGAATCCTTCAAAACTGAGAGCCCGTTGTAAGGGTAGGAAACACTAGGGAAGTGAGGTAAGTAGTGAGAACACAATGAGATGTGTTTTAATCCTGGGCCTGGCTTTCAGGTAGGTTATTAGTGGTTATAGCCAACTCATTTATGTGGTGGTGACACAAGAACTGCACCATGGAAAACTTAAATAATGCCCACATGAATATCTAACTGTTAAAGGATCCCTGAGAATGATTTCATGGGATAGTAATTTTTAAAGTTCAGGAATACATTTTATTGTTATTCCTCAAAATAAACTGAATTGCTTAGGATATGGTTTTTTATTAATATGATTAGTAGTAATTGTCAAAAATGCTAAGAAATGGTCTCCAATGAATATGTATGGAAGATCAATATTTTCACCACCATTACAACAGCAACAGCAGCAATAGTGATGATAGTTGCCACCATTAAGTCATTAAGTACCTACTTTTTGTTAGGCTCTGAACTGTATGCAGCTTTCTTTCTTTCTTTCTTCTTCTTCCTTTTTTTTTTTTTTTTTTTTTTGATGGAGTCTCACTCTGTCACCAGGCTGGAGTGCAGTAGCACGATCTCGGCTCACTACAATCTCCGCCTCCCAGGTTCAAGTGATTCTTCTGCCTCAGCCTCCCAAGTAGCTGGGATTACAGGCTCCCACCACCACGCCTAACTAATTTTTGTGGTTTTAGTAGAGACAGGGTTTTACCATATTGGCCAGGCTGGTCTTAAAATCCTGACCTCAGGTGATCCATGTGCCTTGGCCTCCCAAAGTGCTGAGATTACAAGTGTTAGCCACTGTGCCCAGCCAACATTCTTTCTTCTTTATCCTGTTATGTAAACAGTGGAATAAATCCTCAGATAATCTGAATTCATTGCCAGTGCCACATAGCTTGTTAATGGCCAAGTGAGGATTTCAACCATACGACTCTGGTCACTAGATGGTTTTCTGCACCCTTCTCTCTCTCATGACTCCTTTTTTTCAGTAAGTTGTCAAGGTATTTGTGGAGAACAGTGTAACTGTCAGGCCTCTAAGAGACTCTGTTAACAACAATAGTAGGGTATACACACAGAGACACACACGCACATATACATACACCACAAACCTCAAAGAGCTTTCATAGCTTGTCAGGGTTTAGGGAAAATGTAAAATTATTCTTTTCTCTAGAAAATATTTGGAGCACTAACCACTCAAAATATTAAAGAAAATGAAATGAAAAAAATAGCATGCTCCATTAAGAGACAGAAAAATTGTGAGAGGCTGGTTGAGAGAAGCAGAGAGGAAGCTTTATAATAGGTTTTCGAGTACTCAAGAAAGATCAGTTATTTCCCATTTCATCTGTGCAAAAAATAGAGGAGGAACTTGGCTTAAAATATAGCATAAAAGCAATAACAAAATAACTAGCGATGGAATTAAGACTCAGAGGAGGATATTGATGATGCTTATGGAGTAATCAACTCTCTTAGTCTTAACAAGACGTAGAGCTCATTGTGTCTTGGAAATGGTTCTTTAGTACTTGAGAAATAGTGCATCCCAGTGGTTAAGAGTCAGGGTTTGGTACTCTGACCAACCTGGTTTCTTTCTTGGCTTTGCCACATTGAGCTGTATGAATCTGAGCAGGTTACTTAACCATCTTAAACCCCATTTTTCTCATTTCTATAAAGGAGATACATTATCTACAATAAAAGGATAGATCATTCTTTTAACAATTGGTTAGCACAACGTAAATGCATGTTGACTGTTACTGCTACTGCTGTAATGTTTAGGTATAGTCTGGCTTGAAAATATGACTGTGGGTTCCACTGAGTTATCATTCCCCTTCAGACAAAGACTTGTAATAGACATTTGTCATGTTATAGCTACCCAGATTTCACGTACCTTTTACATGCTTCAGGAATCACACGATTGTTATAAGCCACAGCAAGGAAGATATTCCTTCTCCCAACTTTCTGGCAATGAGAATGGAAACACGTGACCTTGGCTGGCTAATTACTTGAGTTTTGAATATGGAAGAGTGATGAAGAGAGCAGAGGCCACTAGAGATTGTTTTCTGAAGCTGTGGCTGAATAGTAAACTCTCAGCATGTACCTGAGGTTTGCAGAATATGCTGGGAGAGTGGAGTATCCAGTGGTGATGAGACCTATAGTACCCTCCTAAGAAATCCCTTCTGTGGTGGAGTCTTAGCTATTCCTAGTTTCCTTTGGCTCTTGCCGCCATTCTCAATCTTGGTTATCTAGTAATTCTGGTGATTCTATGATTTCGTGATGTGTCCATCAGCTATATCCACAAAAATTCTTCAACACAATCCTCCCTGCTCCCTACAAAAAAAAAAAAAGTCAATGGCATTTAACACATTCAACATAAGCTTTTTTTTAAACTTTTATAGATGCAGGTTGATAGAAGATCAGCCCTTCTAGGCTGGACTTTGCAGGGTGTGGCTACAAGCTGTGGTTAGGTCCAGGTCTCCTCCACATTTTCTTTATGTTTCTTGGACTACCAGTTATTGGAGGGATGTCTTTCTGATGATGAAAGGTAACAATGCATGACAGAAGGCCCAAGCAAGCAAGCACATTTGAAGTCTCTGCTTACATCACACCTTCGAATGCCTGATTGGACTATGCAAATTCCATGGTTGAGCCCAAAATCGATGGGGTAAGGAATATATGCTGCCTCTAGTGGAAAGAAATGTAACATCTTAGGGAGTGGATATTACAAAGCCTGAGGCTGTGAATACGAAGAAGGGTGAAGAACTGAGGAAGGTAAAGCAAATGACCATATATGTGTTCTTCAATATCTTTCCAACAAAAGTCTTTTCCGCTTAAATCAGTGTTTGTTTCTGCTTCTTGTAACAAAGAACCTTGATATATAGTATGGGGACTATTAAGGGAGTGAATGGTCTTTCCTTATAGGGTTTGGGGGAATCTCACATTGTTATCTGACCTGTATGGAAAAGAAGGCAATGAAAATCTAGTGCTTTCCAGAGCATTAAAGGATGAGCCTGTAGCAGCCTGTGATATACAGTTGCAACATAATTTGTTAAATTATTGCCTAATTGTGACCTGGAATACACACTGAAAGCCACTAAGTGACTACTGCTATAAAGTATTATAAAGAATATACATTATTCAAAGAATGAATAATGTATTCATTATTAGATGTGGGGTGGTCACATCTAAGAGCACTGGATAGCGTGAAAAGGAATAATATGCTGAAATCAGTGTATTCTTGTATCAAAGCACAAACTGAAAACTAAGAACTTTCTATAACTACTAAAATAACATCTTTAATACATTTTATACCTAAAGTGCTGAGATCGTAAGCTGAGAAACAAATGCGTCGAGGATTATATGCTTTGCCAAATTACAACATTGGTTAAATATATAGTGTTTCCAAATCTCTTAGGAAATTGATTAAGAAAGAATGGGCTCTAAGAATTGCCATAGTAGCATTTGGAAAAATTGGAGCTACCCAAGCTTCTAATGCTGCTGAGCCTACCTTGCTGGCTGAAGTAAGCTTGTTTTTGTCTAAAGAGTCTGTTCCAGCTTGGCTTGAAGTCATTGTGTCTCCCTTGTCTATTTTGCAAAAGAACCTCAACTTTGTTCATTCCCTTCCCTTCCAACCCTCATTTCCTCCAGATACATAGGTGCACACACATTGCAGCATGCATGCCTAAGAGGTCTGAAGAAGTCAGTTCTTCGTTAATTTGTATCAGCAAAAACAATCTGAGCAGTATGTGTAGGAATGGATTCCAAGGATGCTAGAACAAATAGGGAAGAATGTAAATATAGATCAGACTAATTTATTTTAAAATCTGGAAGACATATGAGATTCTGGATTCAATATGCTACTTAGAGCAGTAGGAGTAGTTTTAAAGGTTTGCTTGGTCTACTCGAGAGGCACAATCTAAGTTAATTTGAGATACCATAAATTCTTTCAGATAACAAAGAGAAAAATGCTAGGGTGGAATTATTGAGTGTAATCCATTCATTATTCATCTGTAATCTATAGGAAGACACAGAAGACATGACTTTTCTAAAACCTTAAAGAAGTCGTTAGTGAAAGGAAGATTAGTATTTCTTTTTTTGTCAACAGGAATTTATTTTGTAGATAACTATCACTTTGAATATATTAATTTTATAGTTTTTTATTTTTTATTTTACTTTAAGTTCTGGGATAGATGTGCAGAATGTGCAGATTAGTTACATAGGTACGTACACATGTGACATGGTGGTTTGCTGCCCCTATCAACCTGTCATCTAGGTTTTAAGTCCTGCATGCATTAGGTATTCATCCTAATGCTCTTTCTCCCCTTGCTCTCCATACCACGACAGGCCCCACTGTGTGTTGTTTCCTTCCCTGTATCCATATGTTCTCATGAATATTAGTATTTCTTAAAATAGTTTAGTGGTTCTCTCTGGGCTGATGATGCATGTGGACAACAAGGTAGTTCAAATGGGCTATCTAATTTTAATGACATTAAACTATGTAGGATGGCAGACACCAATAAGTAGCACGGGATCACTACAAGCATGGTGGAAAAGGTACTCACATATTGGGACCAAGGGGGTGAACTAAATGTCCTGACTCTGAGTGAGCTTCAATTATGACTTTTTGATCACGGACTCCTAGGGGCTAAAACAAAGGATAACTTACTAAACAGCTATTTCACATTAAAAAAATATAAATCAAAAATCTGAGGTCTCCTTAAGAAACATAGTTTCTTATCAAATTCAAATAGATGTGTCTTTTCACATATCCAAAGCCCTAATAAAGTGAATGCCTAGGAACTCAAAAAGAAGAGACTCACAATATCGTCACAGGCATGTCATGTGAATCTTCATTCAGCCTTTCTTAGAAGAACTTGCATCCATTTAGCAGGGTAATGCTTAGAGGTGTGGAAGTTGTTTAACCCGGTCATAGAGAGACCTAGAACAAACCTTCAGTGATTTGGGATTTAATGGGTTAAGTTATAAATAAAATTTTGAACTGAGGCTCTCTCCCAAGAGGTCCACCTCTCAGTTCATGCTACGGTTATTTCCCTAGCTGATGAATGCAGATATATAAATCCTCATCAAAAATGAGAATTTTCACACTCATTTGCTCATCTGCAGAGTGAGTAGTATGTTTGTAACCTAAGCTCTAATTTCATGCCAATATACTAAATATAAGATTATTAGTAGGGGAAGCAATGGAGGGCATTCCTAACTTCTCAGGCAAACAAACAAAAAAACCTATGTAAAACTTATACCCAAAACAAGAAAACAGAGAACATTCAACGCTCAAATTAATTGTAAGTAGAAAAATAAATACCAAATCCTGGCAAGGTGTCTCCTACCATTCTTGATACAAGCTTTTGGGTAATATAAAAATAGCTCTGGAAAAATTGCAAGACACAGAGTATACAAAATTTATGACAAGCCTAAAATTGATCAGAAAAAAAATACCAAAAAAGAAAGTAGGCACAGATGTAAAAAACACCGAAATAATGTATTGTTCAGGGCACAGTTTACAGGAAAAACACTAAAAATTCATCCAGAACCTAAAAAGTGAGCCTTAGAAAAATATTGTTTGAAGGGAAAAATATTTTTAGAAAAAGTGGAGTAGTGCCTTTTAGAAATCGAGTAGACAAGGAAAAAATAAGCAAGAAGAGGGAATTCATTATCCTGCAAGATTACTAAATCAAATAAAGAGGAACACAAAACACCTTCTTATATATTTTCTCTCATTTATTTATCTCCCATTACCAAATCAGTAAAGAAAACCTTCTTTTCTATACTGGCTGAAGATATGCTTTGTGCCTGGAACCTCATAAACAGCACTTAACTACCAGCTCTGTCCACAGACTGCAGATACAAAAAACAGTATCCGTTTATTCATCTATCTATAAGTACTTTAAACAACTTAGAAAATTAAAATCTAAACAGTTCACGTCAGGAAAATTCTCTCAATGAAAT
Source organism: Homo sapiens (assembly GCF_000001405.40). Classification (NCBI taxonomy): domain Eukaryota; kingdom Metazoa; phylum Chordata; class Mammalia; order Primates; family Hominidae; genus Homo; species Homo sapiens. The sequence continues at coordinate 228,980,616 of NC_000002.12, read as the reverse complement.
TAAAATTAATTGAACTCAAAAAATAAATTTAAAAAGACAAAATATACCAGTAATGAAGATTAAATTAGAAGTTGCCTAAGGAAGATAAAAACAATTTGAAACAATATGAAAAACATTGAGTAAAAGCAGGAAAATATAAAATATAATAAAAATTATGTAAAGAAAGCAGTAAAAAGAGTCAGAAAGAAAGTGGTTTAAATGAAGGACAAGCAAAGAAATAACAACATACATATAATTGGTGTGCTGAAAAGGACTTTTTTTTTAAAAAAAAAAACAAGAAAACAGAAATAATGTTTAAAAGTATTATCCATTGTTCTACTTTCAGTAATGGATGAGAAACTCCAATTAGACAGACAAACTCTACTGCAGATAAAAATAAACTCTGAAAAAAAAAAACCACAAAAGGCAGTTACTGGAAAACAATAGATCGAAGCAGATTCTAGTGGAGTCCATGCTTGTAAGCAGGAGTTGTATAGTAAGAAATCTCTATTTTTATCCTTTTAGCCTGAAGAAGGTGCAGTTGTCAGGGCACTGTTGGAAAAATGACAATCTTTCTGGTTAATTAGAAGATTTAGGATGAGACAACCATAACCATTGGAGAGGGAGGAGTATTCACAGATGAGGAAGAGTCAGCCAAGGACTATTTGGTTTATGTCTACCTGCATCTCTGAATGACTGATGAAACATGAGTGGTTGGAGCATACTCAGAACAGTTTAACTGTCTTTGCTGAAATAGCTCAGCTGGAGGAGCATTAGACTGAAGAGAGCTTAATTACAAAATTCTTATTTTAAAATTTTAGCTAACTCCCAGGAGTGCATTTGTAGTTCAATCCGACCAAATTAAGTGTCTGTTAGAACAAACAACAATATCCCTAAAAACCAGTTATCAGATAAAAATAAATAAATCCAGAATCTCTATAGCTTAACATTAGAATGTTGAGGATATAATTCAAAATTACCTGACATACGAAGAACCAGGAAAATAGAATCCATTCTCAATAGAAAAAAGAAAATCAATGAAGGCCAGACATGAGATATAGAATAAATGTTAGAATTAACGTTTGAGTATTTCAAAGAATCTTGTATAAATATCCTTGATAATGTAAAGGATTATATGTTTTCAATGAATTTAAAAATATGAAATCTCAGCAGAAAAATGGATAAAAGAAAACTGCATCAAAACATTAGAACTGAAATAAACTTACCAGATAGCAGAATGGGGAAGACAGAGGAGAGACTCAGTGAACTTTAAAATAAATAAAGGAAGCATTCAATTTGAAAATAATGAGAAATACATTAAAAAATAAATAGAACATTAAAAACTTGTTAAATAATATTAAAAGATCAAACATACATGTAACCAGAGTCCCTTGTCGTGAGAAGAAAAACTATCAGGCAGAAAAAAAGTGTTTGAAAATAATAACGGCTGAAATTTCTCCAAATAGGGAAAGACATATATTTACAGATTTGAGATACTCACCGAACATCAAGCGTGAAAAAGATGAAAAAAAAATGGTTATGCCTAGGCACGTTATAGTCAACCTGCTGAAAGCCAACATTAAAAAAGAAACTTTGAGAGGAGCAAGAAAAAGATGACAAGTTGCATAAAAGTGAATGATAATTTGATTAAGAGGTGTATTAGTCTGTTCTCAAGCTGCTAATAAAGATTACCCAAGACTGGGTAATTTATAAAGGAAAGAGGTTTAATTGACTCACAGTTTGCCTCACAATCATAGTGGAAGAAAAACGAGGAGGAAAAGCATGTCTTACATGGCGACAGGCAAGAGAGCATGTGCAGGGGAACTCTCCTTTATAAAACCATCATATCCCATGAGACTTATTCACTATCATGAGAACAGCATGGGAAAGACCCACTCCCATGATTTAACTACTCCCCACTGGGTCCCTCCTATGACACATGGGAATTATGGGAGCTACAATTCAAGATGAGATATGGGTGGGAACACAGCCAAACCATATCAAGCAGTGACATTGGAAATTTTTAAACTCGAAGGAGAGTGGAACAACATTTTTTTATGTGTTGAAAGGAAACTATAATTTAATAATACTTTCTGGGAATAGAAGACCTGAATGTACATAACAATAGGGTCATCTTACTACCAGGAAAATTTAACAAAATGTTAAACTCCAAGCCATATCTTAGAAAAAATATTAAAGTTGGAAGATAAAGAAAATGCCTGCAGACCTCTAGGGAAAAGATCAAATAACTTACAAGGGGAAAAGATTATTATCACCTGTCTCAGAAACAACATACAAGGCAAGGCAATAATGGAGGAGCATTTTCAAAAGCCTAAGAATTGCATACCCAGTCAAACCATTCTTCAAGTATTATTGCTATAAAAAAACTTTTAGACATTCAAGAGATCAAAGATAGACATTCAAGAGATCAAATAATTTTATACTCATTATCCCATCTTAAAGAATCTACTATAAGATGAACTTCAATCAATTAAGAAAAATGACAGATAATGAGTAAAGATTTGTTGGAATGAGACCAAAATGAAGGTGCAGTCAAGGGTGAAATGTTATACAACACATGCTATAAGTTACATATTGTATGTTCTGATAGAATTAGGGCAACTAAAATTTGGGAGGAAAAGTCTCAGGGCAAAAGGAAATTGGAGTGAAGTCATTGATTGTTATATAGGCAATAGGTGAAAATTAAGGATACCATTAAAAACTGACAAGATATTAAAGGTTAAAAAAGGAAACATAAAATAACAACATCAGAAAGATAAATACAAAGGTTATCACCTGCACAAAACACAAAGCTTCCTAAATACTAAGGGAAATTTTAGAAATAGAAAAACAAACAATAAATAATTTACAGAGAAAAGACAACTCTTCCTTACTGTGGAAACCAAGCTTAAACAAACCAGTGCATACCATCTTAACCTAATGGTGAAAATTAACATTGCCAGCAATGGAATAATCAACAGCGTGTGCATCCTGGTATTACACACTAAGATGTCAATCTAATTTCTATTGTATTTCTGACTACAATGCATAACTTGAATCTAACCATAAGGAACCATCAAACAAACATAAATTGAGGGACAGTACATGAGATAACTGATCTGTACTTCTCAAAGTTATCAATGTCATAAAAAACAAATAAAAAATCATGAAACACTCCACATTAAAAATGATTAGAGACAGGATGACTGAAAATAAATACAGTGAATTATCTTGGATTTTTTTTTTTTTTGCAACGAAGGACATGTTATTGTAGAATTGGCAACATATGAATGAGTTCTGTGGAATTAGATAATACATTATCCATGTTAGTATCCTGATTTTGCTAATTTTCCTACAGATAGGTAAAAAAATTCTATATTTGGTCAGGCCTGGTGGCTCATGCCTGTAATCCCAGCACTTTGGGAGGCCGAGGCAGGTGGATCCCTTGAACTCAGGAGTTCAACACCAGTCTTGGTAATATGACAAAACCCTGTCTCTGCAAAAAATATGAAAATTAGCCAGGTACAGTCAAATATGCCTATAGTCCCAACTACCTGGAAGTCTGAGGCAGGAGGATTGATTAAGCCCAGGAGGTTGAGGTCACAGTGAGCCGTGATTGCATCAGGGCACTCCAGCATGGGTGACAGAGTGAAACCCTGTCTCAAAACAAAAACAAACAAACAAAAACAATGGAGAGAGAAAATATACGCTATAGTATAGGGATAAAGAGACATTAATGTATGCATTATTAAAAAAATAACAGTGAGAAGAACATGAAGAAGAAGGAGAGAAGGAGAAGGGAGAAGGGTAATAAATAAAGGAAAGAAAAGAGAAGAAGAAAATTACTGAATGAAGGGCATCGGAGGGCTTTTGTACTTTATTGCAACTCTTATGTAAATTTAAAATTCTGTCAAACATAGAGAAAAAAACAAATTACCTCAAGTAATATTATTTCAGCTTAATTATTCAGTACATCCAAGAGGTAGATTCTTCCCTCAATAAGAAATAATATTGGACATCTAAGCTTGCTTTAGTAAAATAAGTAACAACGAGATAACTATTTGTGGAGTGACTTGTGTTGTATGTTGAGAAGAGGCCAAACTGGTCAAGTTTATGAGAATATCTTCACAAAATTCACCAATGGAAAATCTCACATCAGACCTCTAGACCGGGAAGTCAAGCTACCCAGGGACAGGAAGTTACTAACGGTTGGTAGTCCATGCAGGTCTTGCCAAACTCTAATGAGAATGACTCCTTTGTTTCATTAAAAAGAATTTGCTATCTCTGAAAAAAGGAATGGAAAATATTTAAAATAAAAAGTTTTTTTTTGTTTTTTTTTTTTTCTTTTTTTTTTTTTCTGTGAGACAGAGTCTTGCTCTGTCACCCAGGCTAGACTGCAGTGGTGCGATCTCGGCTCACTGCAATCTCTGCCTCCCGGGTTCAAGTGATTCTCCTGCCTCAGCCTCCTGAGTAGTTGGAATTACAGGTGTTCACCACCACGCCTGGCTAATTTTTGTATTTTTAGTAGAGACAGGGTTTCACCATGTTGGTCAGGCTGGTCTCGAACTCCTGCCCTTGTGATCCACCCGCCTCAGCCTCCCAAAGTCCTGGGATTACAGGTGTGAGCCATCGTGCCCATCAAGAAGCATTCTTTTCTATGCAATTTGGTGATAGATTGTGAAAGCATCAGAGTTTGGTTTAAATTAAGTCATGTAAATCTGTAAGCATCCTAAAATACCAGAGAATTGTCACATTATGAAGTTGTCTTTTAGGAATGACAGTATGATGGCCCTCTGTGTCTTTTTAACTATCTTTTTAAATTTCAAGTTTTATTTTAGATACATGGAGTGCATGTGCAGGTTTGTTACATGAGTATATTGCATGATGCTAAGGTCTGGGATACGGATCCCAACAGGTCATGAGCATAGTACATACTAGGTTGTTTTTCAACCCACAACTCCTCTCCCTCCCACCTCCAGTAGTCCACAGTGTCTACTGTTCCGATGCGTGTGTCCATGTGTGCTCAATGTTTAGCTCTCCCTTATGTGTGAGAACCTGTGGTATTTGGTTTTCTTTTCCTGTGCTAATTTGCTTAGGATTATGGCCTCCAGATGCATTCATGTTGTTGCAAAGGACATGACTGTATAGCATACCATTGTGTGTATGTACCACATTTTCTTTATCTCCAGTGAGATACCATCTCACATCAGTCAGAATGGCTATTATTAAAAAGTCAAAAATCAATAGATTCTTCCAAGGCTGTGGAGAAAAGGGAGCATTTGTACACTGTTGGTGGGAATGTAAATTAGTCCAGCCACTTTGAGAAGCAGTTTCTCAAAGAACTTAAAAGAGAGTTACCATTTGACCTGACAATCTTGTTACTGGTTGTATACCCAAAGGAAAATAAATCATTGTACCAAAAAGACATATGTACACATAAGTTCATTGCCCTCTCTTTTTTTTTTTTTTTTGGAGATGGAGTTTCTCTCTGTCACCCAGGCTGGAGTGCTGTGGCGTGATCTTGGCTCACTGCAATCTCCACCTCCTGGATTCAAGCAATTCTCCTGCTTCAGCCTCCTGAGTAGCTGGGACTAACAGTACCTGCCACCCCGCCCAGCTAATTTTTTTGTATTTTAGTAGAGACAGGGTTTCACCGTGTTGCCCAGGCTTGTCTCCAACTCCTGAGCTCAGGCAATCCGCTGCCTCGGCCTCCCAAAGTGCTAGGATTACAGGCGTGAGCCACCGCACCTGGCCTCTCTTTCTACTACTACCCAGCTAAGCATAAAATGACATTCTTAAAATTAACAAACAAAGCCTTCGACAAGAGTGTAGGAAAGCTCCCATCCAGAAATTCTAGTAAAGATATTCAGTTCAGATTTCTTACTGAGTCCACATGTACTTTCTTTCTACTGTTTTTGTTCATTTGTTTGTTTGTTTGTTTTTGAGATGGGTCTTACTCCGTTGCTCAGGCTGGAGTGCAGTGGCTATTCACAAGCACTAATATGGCACACTACAGCCTTGGACTCTTAGAATCAAGCAATCAATTCTCCTGTCTCTGGAATTCTTTACTTGCTCAGTTCCTTCTAGGTAAACCTATCTGAAAATGTAATTCAAATCAATGCCATGATTATTTATACTGTTGAGTTTTTGTTGCTTTTCAGGAAGGATCCCTGTTTCATGACTTTATGCACTCAACTGACAAATCATTGGCACAAGCTTTCAACAGTACTGAGGTTGGGAGATAAAGGTTGGGAGCTCACCCACAGAGTTGGCTGGGTTGGCAGCAGTACCTGAAATCCAGTATGGGGTAGGTAGGCACAGTTATGAAATTGCTATCTAGACTCTTATTTGAAAGACTTTAGAAAATCATGCATATGAAAGATGAAGTGCTTACATAGTCATTAAAATTCTTTAAAGATTTTGCTGAAAAGTATTGCTGAAGACTGATAGAATGTTCCCATTTTGTACGTGATCAAATTTTTGTTTGACATTTCTTATATACAAAGTATTTTTAAGCAGATGACTTTTTTAAAATAAACTTTATTTTGTGGAATAGCTTTAGATTTACAGAAAAATTACAAATATGGTACAGAGAGCTCTCCTATATTTCCAGTTGTATTCCAGGACTATTTATAGTTCCTCTATATCCAGTTTCTCTTATTATTAACATATTAATTTAGTATGGTACATTTGTCACAATTAATGAATCCATACTGGCATACTGTTATTAACTGAAGTCCATGCTTTATTCAAATTTCCTTAGTTTTTGCCTAATGTTCTTCTCTTTTTTTTTTGTTCTGGGATATCATCCAGGATACCATATTACATTTAGTCATCATGTCTCCTTAGATTTCTCTTGGTCGTGACAGTTACTCAGACTTTTCTTGATTTTGATAACTGAGTCTGAGGAGTGTTGATCATGTGTTTTGTAAAATCTCTACTGTGGTTTGTCTGATATTTTTCTCATGATTAGACTGGAGCCATGAGGTTTTGGTAGGGAGAGCACACAAGTAAAGTGCCATTTCATCACGCCACAGCAAGGGTACATTCTATCGATGTGACTTTTCACTCTTGATGTTGACCTTGATCACCTGCTGAATGAGTGTCTGCCAGGTTTCTCCACTGTAAAGTTACCCTTTTAACTTCTCTCTTTCCATTCTGTGCTCTCCAGAAGAAAGTCACCATACAGAGTGGGGAGTTACTCCTCTTCCTTGAGGGCGGAGCATCTACATAATTTTATGAAATTATTTTCCATGGGAGATTTGTCTCTTCTCCCTCATTTATTTATTTGTTTATGCAACAACTTATTTATATTAGTAAGAACTCATGGATATTTATTTTATGCTTTGGGTTATAACCCAGTGCTAGGGAGCTGATATTTTAAAACATTTTAAATGATATTCTGTAATTTTTATTTTATTTCTATTGTAACAATAGAGTAATATTTCAAAGTTACTCTTTGAGCTCAAAACTAGATTTCTAAGCCAATATGTGCATTTCATATTATCAAATTGTTAGTAGTGAAAAGTGTTGCTTATATACAACCCACTTTTTCCACGTCTGCGTAATATAATTTGCATATTTTGTGGTATTGAAGTTATACAAAGTTTAAAGTGTCAAACATGTATTTAGTGTTTATTTTAAGAAGACATTTATGGACATTAGACTATTTTGAAACAAGGGCATTGCATTTCAATTTGTAAAGTCTTTGTCTTTTTTTTTTTTTCTGTTTAACCACTACTGTGTCATTAAGAATGAGTGAGAGCTAAGCTATGAGGATGCAAAGACCTAAGAGTGATGATACAATGTACAATGGACTTTAGGCACTTGGGGGAAAGGGTGGGAGGTGGGTGAAGGATAAAAGATTGCAAATTGGGTACAATGTTTACTGCTCCGGATGATGTGTGCACCATAAGCTCACAAATCACCACTAAAGAACTTACTCATGTAACCAAACACCACCTGTTCCCCACAAACCTATGGAAATAAATAAAATAAAATAATGCTTTATGTAATGTCAAGTCATCTCTGAAGAAACTAAGTTCAGTAACTATCAAATAGATGTTCTGTATTAAACTTTAAAAGAGAAATAAACCTCATCCATTATTCTCTGGGACCATTGCACTAAAACCAGACTATCGTCACCTCAAAAAAAGAATTATTCAGCTTTTTAGAATGAGCAAAATCTCTTTCATTTTCTACGGGTATCAATAATTCTAATAATTGATTCTAAACTGCAGGAGAAAATGTGCCATGCCAAGAAAGGACTGATGAGGAAGTCTTTGTCTTGCAAGCCACTTATCATTCTAAATGGATCTCCTTGTAGTCTGCTCCTATAACACACCAGCAGTCTTCCAGAATTCCCCCATAGTGTGGATGAGAAAAATCAATACATCATCATTTATGAATCATATTTATTCATGTCTTATTAGCATAGTCTAGCAAGGTAGTGGCTTTTAACCCTTTTAATATTATGAGCTATTCTGAGACTCCGAGGAAGTCTCTATGAATAGATAGAATGTGCAAAACACAAAATGGCTACATAGACCCCTCCTAGAATCCATGGGCACCACATTAAAAATGAATAGTCTAAGTCATTTGCCATACCTAAGCCTGGAGCCAGGGAGATGGAGAAACTTGGGTTTCCTTCTCTTACCCTATGAGAAGTAGACACTAATTCCATCATGACCTGTCAGGCTAAGTGTTTATCCTCTTATTTTCCCTCCAAAAAGCCACTAGCTCTGAGATGGAAATTACATGAAGTCACAGATGGAGAATATTTGTAAGCTGAACACATTGTCTTGAGTGTGCTAAGCACTCAATAAACTTGTTTGAATAAAAGAATGGATTAATAGATGTATGTGTGCAGTAGGACTCAACACAAGCTTTCTTGTTAGATTTATATTGAAAACACCAACAATACACAGACACATAATTTTTGCAACTTTTCATAGAAAAACTGAAACTAACATAGGACAGTGGTAAAAAATAAAAATCCTACAATTTCTAAGATTTTATAGAATGAGGCGATAAAGAAGTATAATTTATTCATTTCACAATACTGTTCCCCTCTTAGTGTCGGTCAACTCAACCAAAGCATTAGGATTTGTGGGTAGCAGAAGAAAGTCTTAGTAATACCACAGGAAAAAATGTCAACCGGCTTTAGTTCAGTAAGCAAGGGATACAAACAGGAATAAGTGTTCTCCTATAACTCCCCTGCTTACTCTAAATCACAGTGTTTATGCTTTTGTGATTCATAAGACTTGATTTAGAAACTCATAGTGTTTACCACTGTTCAAAGAAATCATCAGAGCTGAAGTAGTTTCTATTACTTGTAAATCAAAAAATTATATCAAGTCACACATACTTTAGTAAGCCAAATGTATTTTAGTGGCAGGTACTTGTAGTTAGGCAGATGCCAGCATAAAATTTCTTTGGGTTCAAGAATATCCAGGCCAAATGAAGACAATAGATATATTCTCATATTTAGCTTTCATAAATATATCTTATTCTTCTTCCCTGAAAACATACTACCCATAGTAATTCCTGAAAAAGGCTATCCCAAAAGATATACTTATTCCCACATCATTAGAAAAATGGAAAGGAAGTTGTAACAGAGACTGGCAGTGATTGTTAAAATCAGCTTCATATGTCTTTATACAATTGTAGCAATTAAAATTTTGTTAAAGTGATCATTTCAAAAACATACAAAAAGAAAAAAGCATAATGAACTCCCATATACACACCACTCAGCTTCAACAGTTGCTAATCCAGGACCAAGTTTGTTTCCTCTATATCCCAACCCTGTCTCTCTAACAGCCTCCTACTCCACCAATCACTGGATTACTTAAAAGCAAATTGAAGACCATATACTTTCATTAATAATTATTTCAATAGGCATATCTAAAAAGATAAGGACTTTTAAGGCAAACATAACCACAGTGGAAAAATCACACCACGAAATTAGAGTAATTTCTTAAACTTATCTAATATCTAAGCAATGTTTACATTTGAGAATAATTATTTATTTTTAATTTTTAAAATTATGGGATTATATAAACCCAAGTCAGAAGTACCAAAATCGTTAAAGTTATTTTATTTGGGAATGGATATCAAAATTTATTGTTTTATTATCTATCTATGATATTATGTATATAGTATATTTTAAAACACTTAATGTTTTTATTTGATAATGGATGTTAACTCAGTTTTGTAATATATATTAGATACATGTGATATAATGTTAGTTACTTTGAGAAATTTTAATGGGACCTACCAGTTGGAGTTACTTTTAATTTTATTTTTGCAGAAGATAAATGCAAACAAAACATCACTTTATTGCAAGGATAGAATGAAAAAGAAGCATGAGAAAACAAAAGGATCAATATGGTTACAAGAAAGAGTGGACATTCCTGTCTGTTTACTTCTCCTTTCTGTGTGAAGTAGGAGATGACTTTATCTGCTAAGAGTGAATGGGGATGTGAGAGCAGAGGACGGACATTTGAAGAAAGCAGAGGAGGTTGGGATAGTCTTTTTTTAAAGTTTTTTTTTTATTATATTTTAAGTTCTAGCGTAGATATCTAGTCTAAAATGAACTCTCACTAGCAGTCTCCAGTGCAAATTTTCCTCAGAATCCCTGATGATATGTGAAAAATAAAATAGCAACTTTTAAGCATCTAATACTGAAAGTTAGAATCTAAAAAGAAGTGATACTCATTTGAAGGAAGAGTGTGAGTTAAGAAAATCTCTGAAAAACCTCATCTTGGGGCACAGTATGATTCCATGTCATGAAACAAATATGATATTCTTGATCCAAAACTTCAAATAGATTAACAGATGAAGGAGAGTAAAAGTACACTCTCATATAAAGTTCATCTCATGTAAGAGACCAAAATGAACATTTCATTTTAGTCTTTGGTATTTACATACATATAAGTTGAGGAGTACTCCTGAAAAACTTACAGGGAACTGTTAAAATTATCACTGGCATAATCACCTTCAAAAATACTGCTTAATTTAAGCAAACCAACCATCACCACCACCAACAACAGATTTTACACATTAAAAGACAAGGGCAAAAGATATCAGTGAAAAATTAAAGAAGAAAAGAAAAGCTCAGAACCAAATGATTATAATTTAAAAAGTAAATTAATTAAATTCCCCAATTAAAAGTCAAAGTCTTTCAGATCAAAGAATAGCAATTAAGTTCTGGGTACAAAAGATCAACTCATAACAGAGATTGAAAGGTTAAATGTTAAAAATGAAGAAAGCTATATCAGCAAAATCTAAAAAGAAAGTAGAGCACTACAGTATTAATATTAGGAATGCAATAAATATAATAAAGATCTACAGGAAGATTTCGTTAAACTAGTTTTTAAAAAGGCTCTGATAAAACTAAACGATTAAATTTATGATAAATATATAATGACTAAGAAACTATTTAACAAAAAAACTCTCACTAAAATGCATACATAAAAATTTGTTCAAAATTAAGATAAAATGAACAGAAATACCATAGGGATGAAAGATTTTACCATATCATCCTCAGTTATTAAAGATGAAGTAAATAAAACATAAATGAGATTATATAAGATTTGACTAATACACTTTATCAGATTGATTTATCAGATTCGTGCCATAGATATAGAGTCACATCACTTCTTTTCAACATCTACGCTATATTTACAAAATTTAGTGATATATTAAGCTACAAATAAAATCTTAATAAGTCCTAAATAGCTGAAATTGTATAAACTCCACTTTCTAATTGCAAAGGCCTTAGAAAGGTTACAACCAGAACCACGACAAAAATAAATACAATGATGTAGAGTGAAAGCAACTCAAATTCAGGGTCAAAGAAAAAAATAAAAAACTGTGATATTTGATGTATTATTTCCTACTGTATAACAAATTGCCCTAAAATTTCAAGACTAAAACAACAAACATTTATTATCTCTCAGTTTCTGTGGGGCAGAATTTAGGAGCAGCTTAGATGGGTGGTTCTACTTCAGGGTTTCTCCTGAAGTTGCAGTCAAGATGTCAGCTAAGGCCATGCTCATCTGAAGGCTTGACTGGAACTGGAACTGGAACTTCCACTTCCAAGATGGTGCACTTGGGATCAACAGATAGCTCATGCAACAGACTGCTGTTGGCAGGACACCTCAGAATATAGCCATAGGGCCTAGTCTAGTACTTCTCCATAAGGCTGTATGAAACACGGCAGCTGGTTTTCCCTAGAACAAGTGATCCATAGAGAGAGGAGGAAGCGTCTATATTTTTTATGACCTAATCTAAGTATACATGGTCACTTTCATCTTATTCTATTCATGGTGGGTTGCTGAGAACAGCCCACACTTAGGAAGTAAATTAGGTGGCCCCTTTTGAAGAGAGTGTCACAAAATTTGTGAATGTATTTTATGCTACATTACACCGTTTTAAAAATAAAGATTATAATCTTAATACTTATCAATATTTGTGAAGTGTGACTGTATTAGTCCATTTTCACACTGCTGTAAAGACACTATGGGAGATTGGGTAATTTATAAATAAAGGAGGCTTAATTGACTCACAGTTCTGCATGGCTGGGGAGACCTCAGGAAACTTATAATCATGGCAGAAGGGGAAGCAGGCACCTTCTTCACAAGGCAGCAGGAGAGAGAGCGAGGAGGGGAAACCACCCCTTATAAAACCATCAGATCTTGTGAGAACTCACTCACTTTCATGAGAACAGCATGGGGGAAACCACCCCCATGATCCAATCACCTCCCACCAGGTCCTTCCCCTGACACGTGGGGATTACAATTTGGTTTACAATTTGGGATGAGATTTGAGTGGGGACAGTCAACCCACATCAGTGATGGAAGCTTTTATTATTTAACCAGATAAAATAAAGAAGAATTAAAGGGAAATAAAATTTTAAGTTCAAGAGGCTAAGAAAAGCAGAAACAGCACATTCATAAAAGGAAAAAATTGTTTACAAAGATCAAGACAGAAATTAAGTATGTAAATAAATAAAATAAAATAAATATTGAACTATATGAACTAATTTAAAGTCCCAGTGCTGGCCAGGTGCAGTGGCTCATGTCTGTAATCCCAGCACTTTGGGAGGCTAAGGTGGGCGGATCACTTGAGGTCAGGAGTTCGAGACCACCCTGGCCAATACAGCAAAACCCTGTCTCTGCTAAAAATACAAAAATCAGCTGGGCGTGGTGGCACATGCCTGTAATCCCAGCTACTCAGGAGGCTAAGGCAGGAGAATCTCTTGGACTTGGGAGGAGGAGGTTGCAGTGAGCTGAGATCACACCACTGCACTCCAGCTTGGGCGACAGAGCAAGACTCCATCTCAAAATAAATAAATAAATAATAAAAAAATAAGGTCCCAGTGCTCTGGAAGGCCCAAGAAAGTAGGCTAACTTCAGAGAGGAAGAATGAGTAACCATAAACCACGGCATTAGAAATGTGAAAAAAGATACAACCACAGATAGAGTTATTTTTAATTATGAAAGAACAGTATTTAAAATTATGCTATTGTAAAATTGCTTCAGAAGAAATTTTTAAAATCTGAATTGACCTGTAACTATGAAGGAAACTGAAAATCATTATAAAAAAGTCTTCTTCCCTTTCCCCAAATTATTCTGGATCTGGAAAGTTTAATTTTGCATTTAGATATTCAGTCAGTTGATCATTCTCATGCTACTTAAAATGATCCAGAACATTTAAAAAGTTACAAATTAATGTTAAGAAGCAAGTAAAACTCAGGTATCCAAATGATGAGAGTAGTAGAAAATTATTCAATTTTTCAATGCCTTTTTATTATAAATATATACTCAATAGTCTGAAGGATACCAGTAGTGTATTAATGGAAAGACTATGAATTTGTCAGACTATGAAAATCAAGTCAGCAATTACCTTCCTATAAGAAATACACTGAAAACAAAAAGATACTGGAGAATTAAAGTGAAGGGATGGACAACCATGTAATAGGCAAATACAAACACAACCAAAAAACCAATTGAAGCTAATAGCATGAAAATTGACAAAAAGGGTTAATTATGAGGGAAATATCTAACAGGAAATATGAGGAATCGTGTTTTATTGACTAAAAAATCTGCTGAAGATAAAACAGTCTTGAAGCTTTAGAAACAGAATATGATGACTTCACAATGTATCGACTTAGGAGAAAATGACAGGTACAATATTTGTAACGGGTTTGGGAAGCAATTCAGCAATTACATTTTGGGAATCTTTGAAGTGCTCTTACTTCCTGGTTCACTTATTTTCCTTCTCAGAAAAGAAAGTGTATCTTAAGAAAAACAATCCTAAGTGAGGGGATAAAGACTTCATGTCCAGAGGTAGTAAAGAGTCATAATTGAAAACATAGACTCAAGGGCCAGATCGTCTGGGTCAGAAACTCTGGTTTGCTACAGAAGCTGGGTGTATTCTCTGTGCCTCAGTTTCTTCATTGTAAAATGGAAATAAAAACCCTCCACTTCACAGTCCCCCCACCGCCCACTGTATTACATGAGTTAGTATATGTGAAGTGCTTAGGATAGTAAATCTCATTTACTAACTGGTGTATATGCATGCCTGTTTTTATTAAATTTATCAGCTCTGTAAGTGTCAATGGAAAAATGATGAAGAAAGAAGAAGAAACTATCCAGTATAGGAGGGGAATTAGACATATTTATAGAGGAGTGCTATGCAACCATTAAAAATGATGGCTAGGAAGACAACATGGAAAAATTAAAAATGCTAATAATATACTGTTAGGTAAAAAAACAAAAATACAAATGATATTGTATATTACATTACTACCAGCATATGCACTAGATTTTCCATGCATATGAGAAAATGGAAGTTCACACAAATGTTAATCATAGAGTATTGCAAATGGATAATTTTTTTCTGTCATTCACTTTTTTATTTTCTAAATTTACCTTTTTTGGACTAAAAAACCCCAAACATCTCTGTTTATAAATAAGATGCCCAGAATGGTTGCTTCACAATCTTTCTCCTTAAAGTTGAAAAAGAACATTTCTTAGGCATTTCATTATTCTATTACCTTTCTTTCGGTGAGATGATCACAATGATTGGAAGATAATTCAGACCAGGATTCAGAGCTAGTGAAATCATTATTGCACTTCGTTTTGGGTGGTTAGACTGATGCTGGAGCCCCAGCTGCAGAATTGACTTGTCATGACAATCATGGTTTCTTGCAAATTTGTATATGCTTGCCCCATTTATTTTCTGTTATACCGTTATAATTGAAGGACTCACACAGATTTTCATGGGCTCGTTTTTGAATTGTAATTTATTGCTGATTTTACTCCTGTACATGTTTGCTTTTACTATGCTGAGGCAAGGGTTTGAACTGGCCACACTGGAAGCTGATGGCATTCTCTTTATATTCTTTCACCTTCCCTTATATTTATGCTCAACCCTATCAACTTCAGACATAAAAACATCCACACTTTGCATGTTTCTGAGACACAGGTTCTGTTGCAGTCCTGCACTGGAAAGTGACATTGATGTAATGCATATCTATTCAACGTTGGCCATCTCTGTCGGGGGAGAGCCACCACAGGGGCAGACCAGCTTTACATGAGCATTTCATATGCCTCTTTTGATGGCTCTGCTGAGTGGTATTGGTCAAATTTAGAAACAGGGATAGCTCTATGTCATTTGTCAATTGACTTCAGGTGGATTGTCACTCTCTCCTATGCAGGCTGGTGCAAACAGAGGACTTTTCGTAATCAGCAGGCAGAGCTCCAGCAGACTTCAGCATGTCTGTTTGAGCCGAACACTTGAAAACAGAAGAAAATTGGTTTGGAGGATAGTAAGGACAGTTGACTTTGCATGAAATGAGGTTTTGTACATTTCTTGAGGTGTGCTTCAATTCAGGCACAGCAATTCCAGAGATGTGGCTCATCTCCCCTTCTATCGATCACAGGCAATTCTGAGTGTCTTATAACTCTTCTTTAAAAACTGGCTGTGAATTTAAACAGCTGCTGCACAAGGAGAAGGGTGACAGAGTCAATTTGGCTTCCTGGGAAGAGTGTTACCACTGTTTCATGGAGAAGATTAGAGAAGCATTTCTAATCTAATTGTCTTCCAGTAATAGAGTCACTTTAAGACAGTCTCTTCTAATGGAATTTGCTCCTGGCTTTTTAAATGGTGCTTTCTGAAAAATCTAGACAGGCTGGCTTACTCCTAGTGCTGTGTGGTCTAAAGAGCGAGGCTGTTCCAGGAGTCCACTTCCCAGTACCAATACCTGATGTTGGTTACCCTAATTGGACCTCTGGGAGTGGTCCAGATTTCCCCCAGAAAGTTTTAGGATGGGTATTGGGTTTTAGAACAGTGTATTGTTCAAATCAAAACCCATGGTCATTTGTTGCTCAAGGCTAAAATTTCACATCCTATTATATTTCTGATCCCAAATTATGTCCAGCCACCTACAAGTAAGCCTAGAGATTAGAGATTGTTGAAGAGCTCATAAGTATTTTTCGATATTAAAATGTCAATATTAGATGCCCCAAACTTGAATATAAATCCTCTTTCATTATTAATTTTTATGAAAACCTTAAGTCACCTTGCAGTAAAGTTATTAATGAGAATAATAATTGAAGTTCAAAACAATGGTAGAAAGAGAACATCTTGGGTTTTAGCTTCTCCATAGTGGTTTTCAGTCTTAGTGACCAGCCAGAGTACATGATCTGTGAACTTAAAATAAATTAAGAGAAGCTTCTCAGCAGACATACCTAAGTACTCTGAGACACTAAGTACTTACTAATTAGATACTTAAGTACTCGGAGATATGTAAGTAACCTAAGTACTGTGCACTTACCTTACCCAGGAGGAAATCTGTCTACAAACCCATTCAAAGGGCAATATTAAAAACTGCTACCTTCTTGCAAAGACCAGAAATTTGCAATGGTATAAGCTCCAATCACAAGATTTAATTTGCATTTATTTTCTTTATTGATTTAATCCAAAACCTCTTAATTCTTATTTCTCTGGTAAGCCTCATGCCCCTGGCTCCCAAGGACCAGATGGAGTATGGGCTCTATCCAGGGCCTAACGTCTGTATACCCTTGTGAGGGGGTGTATTTGTCTGCCAGGGCCACTGTAACAAAGCACTACAAACTGGGTGCTTACTCAACAAAAATGCATTGTCTCAAAGTTCTGAGGGCTAGAAGTCCTATATCAAAGGACTTGGCAGTCCTGGTTGGCAGCGCTGGTTCCTTCTTAGGTCTGTGAGGGAAGGATCTGTTCCAGGCTCTTCCTTGGCTTATAGGTGGCCATTTTCACGTTCATGGCCATCTCCCTGTGTGCGTGTGTGTGTGTGTGTGTGTGTGTGTGTGTGTGTGTGTGTGTGTCTGTCTGTCTCAAAATTCCTCCCTTTTTATTAGGATGCCATCATGGTGGATTAGAGACACCCCCCGCAATGATCTAATTTTACCTTAATTACCACCATAAGGACCTTATATTCAAATAAGGTCACATTCTGAGGTACTTGGCATTAGCACTTCAACATACACATTCAGGAGGGAGAATAAAATTCCACCTGTATCAGTGGGCACTTTCATCCTAGGCTTCTCTCACTATGTTGTACGAAACCACCTCTGAGGGAAGGCTCGTCTCACCCTGCAATGTGTTTCAGCTGGGGAAAGGCTGCCTCCTGATCCCTGAACTCAAATTGCTCTTGATGCTTCTGAAGCTTCAAGCTGGGCAGCACGTGTGCCCTGAGACCCAGCTTCTGTTCAGTATGTCACACACATGTGCAGAAGACAGACATGCCTTTCTGGTTTGATTTTCTTCTGCTCTTTCCATGCTTCCCTCAGAAAGATTCAGACAAAATGATAAAGGTTTAACCTGCCTGCTAAGGTGGATGGCCTTCTCCCTTCTCTAACACAGGTGCTGTCTTCTGGAATAAGTACCTTTTTTTCCTTGTATATTTCTTTGATTTGAAGTATTTCCCAACTCCCCAATCTGTGAAGCCACATGGCAGAAAGATTGATTCTGCCATAATTCCCTCCTTGGCTCTAGAAACAGAATGGAATTTGGGGCAACTGATACAGCTTCCTAGGCCCAGAGCTAGAAGTTGGAGCTTGATTCTCACTAATGAATGCATCATAGGGCATGAAAAACTAGCTGGCCTTGCCTTCTAAAAAATGGCATATACTTTTCTATTCACTAAGGCCTGAAAGGCCCATATGTAGAAAGGTACACTTTTTTTTTTGGTCTATAACAGATCGTTGTCTCAGCTATACCACCTTAAGAAAAGCTTAAGAAAAGGACTATATATCTTTATAAGTCAAGTTATAGCCCTATTCCTTCCTAGCGAGCATCTGATCTGGTCCCTGAGGCCTGTGCCTCTGCTGAAGAGTTCAAATTTGCTTCAAGCAAGTAAGGCCTGCAAGCTACTTACTTCAGGCCTAACATCCACAGCCCTGACTCTATTAAGACGGCAATTTGCCTGTGGACATGGCCATCATCTAGCTGCAGTGAGCTGCCAAGCCTAGAGTCCTGACTAATACACAACTCAACTTACACCTACCCACCAAGTATCAAGAGTCAAAGGCCTATTGCAAACTCAGGTTTCATCCAACCTCATGGCCCAATATAAGTCTGAAATCGCAAAGTCTAGACATCCACTTGAACATTGCACACTGAAGTTCAAGATCCAAAGCTATGTGCCTCAAACTCACCTACATTTTGGTCCACAGATTCCAGTCTTTCTTTCTCAAGGTCTCTGGCACTGCATAATAAATATGGAGTTTGAGAGAGGCCCAATAGGCAATAATCTCCTCACCTGAGTTTTGAACTAAGTGAAAAGTAAGGCAGATGGGAAACGAAAATGCTATTTTAATTTTCAATAATGCTGATTTTGAGGAATGCAGCATATACCTGGGGGCAAGTGAGCTTTGTCAAACTGAACCCCAACCTCAGCTGGACCTACTGGTCACAGGAAGGCTGGACCATCATAGGTAGCCCCACGCAGGCCACTGTAAAACTTAGAACAAGGCGGAACAGACCAGAACTCATGCTTCTGGGCACAGCTGGCTCTGGAAAACAAAGGGAGAGGAAGAGCCATGTTTACAAATGCCCAGTCCCTCTCTTCACCTCATCAGTAAGAGCTTTCCTCCCCTGGGGAAGGAGCAAGGTGGAAATGTTATAATAACAAAGCCCCTCCACGTGGAAGAACCCAGCAGACATAGGGAGGAGGTCCCTGCCAACCACTTCACAATTACCCCTTAACAGCAGCAAAACTAATACATTAAATAAAAAACATTTTAATAATAAGATAAAAATAAATAAAGGAGAGAAAAAATATTTTTGCTCTGCACGTCACACTAACCCACTTTACCCTCCACTTCTGTGCTGTTTCCTCTTTTTTAGAATCTCAGGGCTCTTGATCTCTGTCTTGAGTGTACAGAGCCCTCGAGTGTGGCACCCCATAGGGCTCAATTATCCCTGGGAAATGCCACCATATTCCTTGATCTCCCATCAAAATGCACCTGTCAAGTGCATCAGATGCTTCTCCATCTGAACTGTACCTTGTTGGCGTGATGGGAATATGTAGAGCCACGCTGCAAATGTGGCTTCTCTTTAAGGGGCAATGATTTTTTAGTAGACAATCTGGGAGAAAAAAATAGCAAAAGCAACAGTGATATGGTTTGGCTGTATCCCCACCCAAGTCTCACCTTGAATTTTAATAAATCCCCATGTGTCAAGGGCAGGACCAGGTGGAGATAATTGAATCAAGGCGGTGGTTTCCCTCATACTTTTCTCGTGGTAGTGAGTAAGTCTCACAAGTTCCGATGGTTTTATAAAGAGGAGTTCCCTTGCACAAGCTCTCTTGCCTGCCACCATGTAAAACATCTCTTCGTTCTTCCTTCATCTTCCAACATGATTGTGCGGTCTCCCCAGCCATGTGGAACTGTGAGTCAATTAAACCTCTTTCCTTTATAAATTACCCAGTCTTGGGTATGTCTTTGTTAGCAATGTGAGAACAGACTAATGCAAACAGCAAAACCACATTATCTTGATCATAATAAAATTCATTCCTATTTTGAGGTACAAGGCAAAATTTACATAAATTTTTAAGTAAAATATGAGGTTTTAAGGGAAATTATCCTGCCACTGGCTGCTTTGATTTATTCTCCCAGTGCCTTTGGGGGCACACTATTCGCTCTTTATTTGGATGGGAAAGCAGCTGTAGCTTAGTTCAATATTAGGAAAAAGCACCAAAATAGTGGTAAAAATAAAACGTTTTGAGTCAGGTAAATTTTGTGGGCAAAGTGTACTTTCTTTCTAGGTAATATAAGTAAAGTAAATGAACTGAAGCTCAGCTCTCTGATTTTAAAATTGAAGCAAAATTAAAGTTTCCTGCCTCAGAAGGTTGTTGTCATGTGTGATTGAGATAATATCTATGTAAGTCATCAGTGCAGTAATGGGTACAGGGTATGGGCTGCTCCTGGGATGGTTCTGTCTTCATTTATTTGTGTAGCCATTTGTTTATCTATTCTCCTGACCATTAGTTCACTTGTTCACTCATTTAATGACTATTATGTAATTTTTATCTAAATATATAATTATATATCATATAATAATTTTATATAATAAAATTAATGTACTGCAACCTAGAAATAACACCCTCAGAAGCACGGTCTGCTCTGTGCTCCACATGCATGAGCTTATTTAATACAGCAACCCTTGGGGCCAGTAGTAGCCTTACTGCTTTTTTTTTTTTTTTTTTTTTTTTTAGAAAAGGTAAATGAGACATAGGTTCAGGTAATGCAATGAATCATATAATTGAAAACACAGGCCCTTTATTTTTAACCAGAGTTCCTCACAGATTTAATGCAAGTTAGATGCTTCAAGCCTCAGAGGAGTTCACACAAATTGGAAAATGTAGAAATCGCTGTAATGATGGGATGGTTTCTGCAGAGTGTCAGCCCACAAGTACAGTGGGCTCAGTAACTGAGGACAAGGCAAAGCCAAAGGCAGGGTGTCATCAATCTGGAAGTCATCGGTGGAGAGGTGAGGTGTGCACAACCCAACACAGTCTCTGGAGGTGGCAGCTATGAAAGCATCCGGATCCTAAGGTCTCAGGAGCGCTTGTTTGTTGCTTTTGCAAAGGTGCATTAAATAGGGTAATCAGGTGACTAAAGACTCTGTGACCCGTGAACAACTCCTGCAGAAGGAAGTGGGAGAGGGATCTGTGGGCATCAGCAGGGCTGAAGCATGGCTCTGGCACACGCTGGTGGGCACCTGATGTCCTTCCCTGTGTGTCTACCTGACTGTTACAGATCCAGCCAAGGTCGCCTCAATGTATTCTGAGTAAGTTATCCTGTAGTTTAATTCTTCCTTTAGCGTGCTGCACTAAAAAAAAAGACTTAGGGTACATTGTAGCCTACATGCACTTAGAAAAATTGCCTGGTCCAGTTTCCATAATCTACACTAGAAGAGACTGAATCAGGTTGGATCTGACCTACCTTATAATGGTGTCAGCAAGTAAATGAGATTTGGGAAACCCTAGTCAGATCCCATTCCCTGCAAGAATTTTGGCTTCTGTAACCTCTCCTGCCATGTTTCTAAATCAGATAGTCTTTATCTAATGGCACAGTTGAGTTGTTTGGTAAAAGGAAAACAGAGTCCGTAACTTGGATAACAAGCACTGGGAGGAGGAAGCCCTTGGCTCTCCAGAGGTGAACTCCTTGCTTGAGTAGTGACAAGGCTTCATGGATGGGCACTGAGGAAGTGTGGTGGGCAGGCCTCTAAGACACGTGATTGAAGTTTATTTCAATAGCAGAATTGAGATGAGAAAAATGGATTGGGAGAAATCCATAAGGAGTGACTTCACACTGGTCCAAGATGATGACTGATGGCTCCCGAAGTGTGTGGCAGGTGTGGTGGACGCTCCTGGAGAGGTGGACCATGCTGGCAGGACATATGATTTGGGTCCTGCTGGTGGCCTTTGTTGAGCCTTGCTGAGTGCCAGCCACGGTCTGCTCTATCCTTCGTGTGCATGGACTCATTTAACACACACAGCAACCCATGGGGTAGATATGAGCCTTTGGCATTTTATTCTTTTTAGAAAAGGTAAATGAGACATAGGTTCGGGTAATGCCATTAATAAAGTCAGAGTTTCAACCCGGATCTGAGGAAGCCTAGAGTGAACACACCCAGTCATTCCCTTATGCGCTTGTAAATACTGTAGGAAGGCAACTGGGAAACACGTGTGTGGAAGAATTGGAAAAGCCTTGCCACTGAGCACAGAAAGAGTCCAGTGTTTTGATGGCATCTCGGAAAGCAAATCTGCATAATGGTGAGGAGTGGAAGGGATTCCAGCTCTGAAAATGACGAGTTGCATGAGAGCTTTGCAGTTCAGCAAATCTCTGTGCGTCAGGTAACAATAGAGATAATGATAGTATTTACTTCATATTTTAAGGACTAATTGATACATTAAATGCGTAGGTTCATGCCTGCACTACAGTGAGCCTTTTTCGTATCACAACAGAGCTTAAAGAGTGAAGATGAATTTTCAATGGTTTAAAGTAAATGTTATTTCCCCATATTACTAGTCAATATTTAATCCATATTTATTAGTTAATATTTCTTTTTGATTGCAAGTGATAAATCAAAACTCAAACTAGCTTAAGTAAAATAAAAAAAGGTCACAGGCTTCAGGCAAGGTCCGATTCAGAGGGTCAAATCATGCCACCAATTGTTCTTTTTCCTGCTCTCTTTTGGGTTTTTCTGTTTGATTGGCTTTAATCTCAGGCAGGCTTTCTACACAGGGTCCCAGATTAAAATAAGCAGATCTTTCCCGATTGATCTAACAAAAGTCCTACCAGGGGAACATACTAATTGCTTGACTTGGGTCATGGAACTACCCCTCTGATGAGGACGACTGATCATAGGATCATTGATTTGACAGCCCCACCATGAGAATGGGTAAAAGGAAAGTTCCCACGTAAAAAGATTCCGGGCAGACAAAAACTAACAAATACAACTGAACCCTATAGTTGGCAGTAGATGAGGAATAAAAGCCTTGTAACACCTGATTTTTCCCTTCTACAATGTAGTATTGAATATGTGATAAATGATGTATATGAATATGTTTCAAATGTATTCGGAAAGGTTTTGAGAAAGAGCATCTTCCTGCAGGAGCCCACATTATTTGCCTCATATCATTTGCCTCATATCAGCCAGTAGCCAAAAAGTCTTTATCAAGTGATTCCCATAACCTAAGACTCCTGTTTGCACACAGCACAAATCAAATCAAAGCACAGTCAACACTACGATAATGAAAATCTTTCCTGGCAAGCAAGGCCCAGGCCCCAGCTGCAAGCACGTTTGTTCCAGTGACATTCAGAACCACCCCTTCAGAGCGGTCTAAGAGTATGCATCGCCTTTGCAATTTGCATAGGGCATGGCATCTACATGGGGCAGATACTTCGGGTGCTTTCATTTTTGTTTGCTTTAGTGCCCTTCTTTAGGAGATTTCATTCTTTATTAGCACTCTCTAAGAGAAAAAAGGAATGCAGATCTCTGATTAATCTGCATGGTTACCACTGGTTTGTCAGAGAAGTATAAAGCTACAGGATGAATTAGGGACTTTCATAAGGTCATCATCAGAGAGATAAAACATAAAACCTAGCACGATGAGGAAAATCTCCTTTTCCTACAGAAAATCATATTTAGTATATTTTAGACTATAAGTAACTGCCAGACATCAAGCTCTGCTTGGCTTCAAATCTTACACCAGGAGGCTTCATCTGGAGGAGGCTTTGTCTGGAGCAGTGGGCAGTCTGGAGAGCTAGACTTCACTGTAGCTCTTGGAAGCACTTAAAAGGTTTTGAAAAAGTGATAAAATAAGATTCGTGGTTTAGAAGAAACATTCTGGCAGGTGGAATGAAGTAGAAGAAGACAAGAGCTTTTACTGTCCAGAGTACAAGCCACGGTGCTATTTACTTAATGCAGAACTCTCGGCTCCCGTATTATCCTCAGTGATGGTGGCAGTGAGAATAGAAAAGGTAAAGTGATGGTAAGCATCCTGAAGGTAGATGAGGCTCAGAGTAGATTGCTTATGTCTGGAGGACAGTGGTGGAGAGAGAGAACAGGGGAGAGCATAGATGGAGGTCTATATTGGAGAAGGGAGCTGTCAAGATGCCACACATTGTCGCAATTGGCTGGTGGACGAGTCCTGCTATCCCCCTCCCCATGCCCCGGGACCATTGCATTTGTTTTTGCACTTGAGTGTGTCCGGTGTGAGAATTTGCAGCAGATGAGACCATGATGCCAGGCTGAGGCGACCTTGTGGAAGAGGAGATAGAAAGTAGAGTGTTTTGTGTTTCACCGTAGAGACCGCCTGGTCTCTTGATTATCCAGCCACTAAATCCCATGCCTTTTTTAAAAAACAAATATTTTGAGAGGTTTTCTTTACTGCATTATAATAATAGATTGTGTAACCCACCTACACACAAACATAATTTCAAACTGTACTTTGAAGTAGATGTCTTTGTAAATTAACTGACAGTATTATGCATTACAACATGTAGCCACTTGTAAATGACTATACTAGAAGATAAAAACAACAAGAATAACCAAACACTGCTATAGCTTCCCATAATACTCCATAGGGTCCTGTATTACTCCCATTGCCAGTCACTGGGCCAGTCTCCATTTCTCGTTTTAGAGGTTGATTACCTGCCCCAGGGCCCACAAGGAGGTAGATGCACCAGGAAACAGAGCCAGAGATCAACTCTGCCAGCTCAGTAACTGGCCCATCCTCAGCCTCCTTTTCTCTGAAACAAACTCTTGCCATGGAACATCCGGATGCAAACTTTGACCATGTTGAACAGTCCGGAGAGCAGGGTTAAATAGCATGGCTGTCAGAGCATCTCTTTCTGTCCAATAGGGTGGGGCAAAGAGCTCAAAAAAGGAGGCAAGAAGTCAGCAAAGCTATTATCAGGCATGTCCAATGACCTTAATAGTTCATTTTTTTATGGTTTGTTCATTTATTCATTCATCCTGGACTTTCAAGACTATCCATGCTGTCATGGAGTCTGTATCTCAGTAGAGCATCTGATAAGTCAGGTACGGATGAGTGCATTGAAGTAAATAAGGGAGGATCTTGGGATCTGGGAAGTGACTGCGCAGTGGGGATACTTGGATAGGATAATCAGGAAAGAGCTCTCTGTATGGGGGGGCATTTAGCTGAATCCTAAATGATGTAATGGGCCCAGCCAAGCTAAGATTCCAGGCAGGGGGGCTAACAACTTGTGAAGGCACTGAAGTAGACAGAACTTGTCACTTATAAATGCAAGTGCCAGAGTAAAGGAGGCGAGTACCATTATCTGTTGTTTGTCCTGCCAGCATTTCTCTCTCCTTATTCTCATTATAAAACATCATTTCTCCATGGGGGAGTGGGGGAAAATATCCCTTTATCTGTTCCATGTGGTCCACGGGGACTTTGAATCCCAGAATGATCTCCCTGACCTGCCTCTCCTCCAAAGTTGAACATAAGACCCAAGCTTTGATATGTACATCATTTTCCCCCAGACTTTCTGGAACTAAGACTTTCTGAGCTGCCCTGGAGCCTGTCCTCCCCGGACCTAATTGTTCAACTTTCTATTTGATTAAGTGAGTACCCCCAAACTATCTTCATAATTTATTTTTGTGCTTTCATTAGCCAGAATGGGCTTTTGTGTTTGGCAACTGATTGCTTAAAAAAATTGCCTGCTGTAATCAGCTCATCTTTCATAGAGATTCCTATAGATATTGAGATTTAACTTCATCCATTAATAAATAGAAGAGATTGGTTGCATATCATATTGGAGAGATGTTGATTCAGTGCAATAAGTATTATGAAAATCATCACCATCATCATCAAATAACAATTTGAATATAATAACCAATTTCTTGGATGTGCTACCACATGGCCATAATATGGGCGCTTTGTAAATATTGTTCCTGCCAGCTTGCTTTATATCAGATGGCAAGGATCTTTTTAAGACTTGCTGTTTGTGCACTAGATTTATTTTCCGTGAGAATGCAAACCAAATAATTAAAAGAAAATGGACTTGACTAAGTGTATAATAGGCCAAATTTATCCTAGGAGGCCCATCGTATTCAAGAAACAATTTGTCTTTCAGTTAGCAAATAAATAAGTAAATACATTTTGCAATCACACAACAAAATGTCAAGTGAATCCTTTTTGGTAGCGGTCAGATGTCCAGTGGAGATGTGTTTAGCGTCTGGGTGTGGAGCTGGCTGATGTCCTTTGCAGTCCCAGGGCGTGCCTAGAGAAATTTCAGGGAGAATCACTGGATAAGCACCAAGATATTTTTAAAAAAGCAAACTTCTAAATTATTATTTAAACTGATATTTTAAACTATGGCATATGCTTTGGGAAGTGCTAATTTTGTACCTATAATCATCTCTTTAATTTTGTCTTCTTTATGCTTTCCTAACTTAAAGCTTTCCTCTTTTCTACTTCCCTGTAGTCTTTTCAACACTAAGAATTTCACTTTTAATTTATTTTCTTAATTTTCTTTTGAGTTGCTGGCTCCCGGGTTTAAGGTTTCTCTCGGGTAATCTATTATCAGTAATAGATAAATGCATGTTGTTAATGTCAGGACACTTGACTTCCAGTTTTGTCTAATTTATGAATCTCCAATAGCACAAACATTTCTCTGGCTAATTTTTAAAATTGTTTTAAATCTGTACCTGAAAATAAATGTATTTTCTCTTAAATATGTGTTATTACTTTATATTTAATTTTATGCCTCAACCAGCCAGCTTTCTTCTGTTTTTCTGGTAAGATTTCTCTTTTCTCTAAACTTTGCCTTTGTTTCTATCTATATCTTTTTGTTATTATTCGCTATTAAAAATTCCTTTTTTTTTTTTTTGGCCAATAAGGCAAAGGGAGCTGGCTATTTTGAAAGTTCTTCTCTTTATGACACAAAGTCTTAATGGCAGTAGAGCCAGACGGTCCATTAGAGAGGTATTTTGCTGCTGTTATCACCAAGAGTAATACTGTTTAGGTTTCCAAGCTCAATGATTATAGTTTAGACATGTGTCATGCTAAAAGTAATTTAAAGCACTTCCATATATTTTAATATTTCATATTGCAGTGCAGTTTTGGGTAAGAATGGAAGTGTTGAACAGTGTTAGACAGATTTGTGTTCAAATCTTGGCTTAACCACTCATTTAGCTTTGTGTGGTTGAGCAAGATCGGTAACTTACTTTTCTGCATCCTGATACTTTCATGAGGAGTAGTTGAATGAGACATAATGTCAATGAAATACACATAATATGTGCTCTAAAAATCATCATTACTATTATATTTTATTTTTAGTGCCAACATCATGATTATAACAATTCTCATCACTTGGGAATTTGCAACATTTTGGTTTAGTTATAGGAGTGCAATCTAAATCGATTTTTCTCTTAATCTTGAGGAACTTTAACTATCTTTTAAGAATTTTTTTTTTGAGATGGAGTCTCACTCTGTCACTCAGGCTGGAGTGTAGTGGTAAAATCTCGGCTCACTGCAACCTCTGCCTCCCGGATTCAAGTGATTCTCCCTCCTCAGCCTCCTGAATAGCTGGGATTACAGGCAACGGCCACCACGCCCAGCTAATTTTTGTATTTTTAGTAGAGACAGGGTTTCACTATGTTGGCTAGGCTTGAACTGCTGACTTCAAGTGATTCACCTGCCTCAGCCTCCCAAAGTGCTGGGATTACAGGCATGAGCCACTGCACCCGGCCTCTTTAAAGAAAATTTGAACTGTGATTTCTGGCCATTAAGGTGACTATAAAAGGATAAAATACAGCAAGGTTCAAACTTTTGCAACACCTGCCTCTTCAATATCTCTACTTGGACATTTACTAGAGCATATGGAACTTAATGTTCTGTATGCCAAATCCCTGGTTTCTGCCCCTCTCACACTTCTCCATCTGTATCTTTCTTCCTCGTGTTGCTGGTATTTCCATCCTGCCAGTTGCCCAAACAAAAAACTTTGGAGTCATCCTTGATCCCTCACTTTCTTCCATCTCTGACATCAATCCACCAACAAATCCTATAGATTCTAACTTATTGCCTGGGTTATCTCATAGCCTCCTGACAGATTGCTCTGTATCTATCCTTGGGAAAGGTCTTGGGAGATCAAGGATATCCTCTTGAAAACATGATTTATATCATGGCACACTTCTCCTCAAACATGTGCAGCGCTCCCTCATTTTATCCAGAATAAGAACCATATTCATTGCTGGAACCTACTAGTTCTACATGGTCTAGCTCCCCAAGCCCTCTCTGCCCTCTCTTCCTGTTATCCTGCTCACTCTTATCTCCATCAGCCACACTGGCCGCCCTCCCTCTTCTCCCTCTCTGGACGTGAGTTTTTGCTCTAGCTGTTCACTTTGCCTAAAATGCTCTCTTTTCATCTTCTGAAATACCCACCTTATGGATCATCTTATATATTTATGTGTACATATATGTATACACACATGACAGCTTTACTGACATATATAACTAAACCATCTAAAGTATACAATTCAATGATTTTTAGTACATTCACGGAGTTGTGCAACTATCAGCACAAGAGAAATTCCATAACTACTAGCAATCACTGCCCATGCCCTTCCATTCCCAGCCCTAGGAACCTAACAATTCACTTTCTATCTCTGTGGATTTTCCTACTGTGGTTATTTTATATAAGCAGAGTCATATAATATGGGGTGCTTATTGACCAATTTAGTTTACTTAGCATAATGTTTTCTAGATTCATCCATTTTGCAGCATATGTCAGTACCTCTTTTCTTTGCCAAAGAATATCTCACTATATTGATATACCACATTTTATTTATCCATTAATTAGTTGAAAAATATTTGGGTCATTCACTTATTGACTATAATGGATAATGCAGCGATGAGCATTCATCTACAAATTTTGTGTGGACCTAGGTTTCCATTCCTCTTTGGCATATACCTAAGAATAAACTTGATGGAACACAGGGTGGGTGTGTGTAACTCTGGAGGAACTACCAGACAATTTTCCAAACAGCTATGAATTTAACATCTCCACCAGTAGTAAATGCAGGTGCCTTTCTTCCCATCCTTGTCAACACTTGCTATTGTCTGTCTTTTTGACTATAGCCATTATAAAAGTGTGCAAGGGTATCTCATTGTGGTTTTGATTTACATTTCCCTGAAAGCTAATGATGTCAGTGTCTTTCCACGTACACCTAATTTACTGTTAACCCTTTGAATCTTTGCTTTACTTTTATCTTCTCAATGAGACCTATCATGAGCACCTTATTTAAAAGTGTTATTTGCCCCAGCCCCTGCACCTTCAAAGACTTCACTCTTTTCTTAACACAGTACTTGACATCATTTCAAATGTCATATGGCTTATTTATTACATTTATGATTACTGAGGGCTTTCTCACTTCACTCTGATCTATTTGTGAATGCTCAATGACAGCAAGGATCTTTGCTCTGATCATTGATCATATCCCAAGTTCCCAGAACAGTGTCTGAAAAATAGAAGACACTTCAACAATATTTGTAGAATAAATGAGTGGAATGCAGAGAAAGTCACTGCAGAAGGGACAAGGCAATAATTGTAGTGAATTAAAGCTGCCCAAGTTGCGACTGGGTAGCATCATGTTTTTTTGCATCATCTTTGTGGGTAATATGCTGCAAGCTTTGCTACTCTTTCAGTTTGGCCACTTTTTAAGATGGCGTTTCTAGACTACCTCACCAAGGATATTTAAGGACACATGCAGGACACCTACATGTCCTGGAATGATTTTAAAAGAGTCCCTGGAAGTTTCACTGGGACTCATTTGCACCTTTGGCTTGGTGAGAAGACTCACTTGGTGAGTAGACTGACAAGAATTTTTCATTTCCATTCAAACCATACCAGAACTGGCCACCTTAAACCATTATATTTACCTCAGAGGTGAGGGGTTTTATTGATATAATGAAAACATGTATTCAAGACTATTTTTTAGTAAAAGGCAAAAGATGGAGTTGAGATGTAGAGATGGAGTTGGAGAGGACAGCACTCGTGAACTGGCTATAAATACCGGAACAGATAAGAAAATGCTGTTCATAAGCCAATATCTAATCTATATGGCCTTAAAGAAGAAGTCTCAGGTGATATGTATCTCATATGGGTTTCAGAACATTCTTCCACTGTTTTTGCTTTTCCATACCAACTCTAGTAAGGATTGGTGTAAATACAGTAACATGTCTATCATAAAAATAACGATGAATACCTTGTGGAAATGATAACCATTTTCTTAGTAAAACTCTCAATGACAGTTTAATGCTGTTAGAAACAAAATATTTTATTCTCTCATAACAGAGAACAAATTATATTTAGTTTATTGGTAAGAATGCTTTTGATCTGCTATACACATTTATGAAGATATTAGCTTTTTATTCAGATATGGATTTTAAAACATCTTTTGGCATATTCCTGCCTTTGTGCTCCTTGAACTTGTGAACTCAGCTAACTTATCTCTCTAGCATACTTTTTTAGGCTCTTTTGTAAACATTTCAGTTTTGGCATGGGAATAAGACAAAAATCCAACTGTAATCTCAGAGATGTAATGCTCTGTGGAAAAAGAAACAAAGCATTATGGCAAGGAAAGCTTTGGGATTCTGGTTATTTCTGTATATCCACAAAAAGCATACAATTTCAAATTTCAATGGCCAAATTATCATCTGTCTGTGATTTTATTCTGATCATCATGATCCTCAACTTATCAGTATAAAGACTGAACTGGGAATTATACAACAGGATAACTAATGGGGAAATAGTCATTGATGGGAAGTTCTGACCATATGGCCAAGGTAAAGGAATCCTAGGAGTTTGAAGTCAGACTTCATTAATCAATTATTAAGTCCAAGACTCAAAGACTGAAAAACTAGCCAGACTTTCCCCTTCAGTTACAACCTGGATCTAGATTTAGAGAAACTGCATGACTCAGGTAGTGTAACCCAGCATTTACCTTTTGTGTTCAGTGAAGACACCAAGTTTTAAGAAACACTGAATAAACAATTGAATAGTTAAGAAAGCACTATACTTACAAAAGGCACATTTAGCCAAACTTTTCCACTACTGGGAATTTCTTGCCTCTCCACA
This sequence comes from Homo sapiens, assembly GCF_000001405.40. NCBI lineage: Eukaryota > Metazoa > Chordata > Mammalia > Primates > Hominidae > Homo > Homo sapiens. Next base: position 228,949,471 of record NC_000002.12, on the reverse strand, counting down.
GCACTCATTTGCCATCTGGTTAGCTTTTTAAAGGCTTTTAACAGCACCAACAAAGAAAGCACTTTGGGCAGTGTTTAACCCAAATACCTATGTGTTCATATACTTTGTAATTTGGATCTTGCCATGATGGATGATCATTCCCAATACTTCCCAACCCCCAGCAATGCACAGTTCTATATCTTGCAGCATCTTGACCAGAACCCTGTCTGATTAACCAATTTTATTATTTTTCCTAAGAGGCTGATCCTGGTCTCGCTTGGTTGCCAAAGTGTGACATGTCTTTTAAATGGACAATAAACCAATCTTCAGTGGCAGGATAAAAAAAAAAAAAAAAAAAGGAGTTGACTCTCCCCAGGTGAATTTATATTTCCCTATCTCTTACTAAAGGCAAAATATGCCTAGTTCTATGAGAAATAGCGTGTCAAGAATTATTCTATGGTGGCCCCAGTGTGTTATTTTATATTGACACTTATGAACATTCTTATTTTTTATTATACTTTAAGTTTTAGGGTACATGTGCACAACCTGCAGGTTTGTTACATATGTACACATGTGCCATGTTGGTGTGCTGCACCCATTAACTCGTCATTTAACATTAGGTATATCTCCTAATGCTATCCCTCCCCCTCCCCCCCACCCCACAACAGGCCCCAGTGTGTGATGTTCCCCTTCGTGTGTCCATGTGTTCTCATTGTTCAATTCCCACCTATGAGTGAGAACATGCGGTGTTTGGTTTTTTGTCCTTGTGATAGTTTGCTGAGAATGATGGTTTCAAGCTTCATCCATGTCCCTATAAAGGACATGAACTCATCATTTTTTATGGCTGCATAGTATTCCATGGCGTATATGTGCCACATTTTCTTAATCCAGTCTATCATTGTTGGACATTTGGCTTGGTTCCAAGTCTTTGCTATTGTGAATAGTTCCGCAATAAACATACGTGTGCATGTGTCTTTATATCAGCATGATTTATAATCCCTTGGGTATATACCCAGTAATGGGATGGCTGGGTCAAATGGTATTTCTAGTTCTAGATCCCTGAGGAATTGCCACATTGACTTCCACAATGGTTGAACTAGTTTACAGTCCCACCAACAGTGTAAAAGTGTTCCTATTTCTCCACATCCTCTCCAGCACCTGTTGTTTCCTGACTTTTGAATGATCACCATTCTAACTGGTGTGAGATGGTATCTCATTGTGGTTTTGATTTGCATTTCTCTGATGGCCAGTGATGATGAGCATTTTTTCATGTGTCTTTTGGCTTCATAAATGTCTTCTTTTGAGAAGTGTCTGTTCATATCCTTCGCCCACTTTTTGATGGGGTTGTTTGTTTTTTTTCTTGTAAATCTGTTTGAGTTCATTGTAGATTCTGGATATTAGCCCTTTGTCAGATGAGTAGATTGCAAAAATCTTCTCCCATTCTGTAGGTTGCCTGTTCACTCTGATGGTAGTTTCTTTTGCTGTGCAGAAGCTCTTTAGTTTAATTAGATCCCATTTGTCAATTTTGGCTTTGGTTGCCATTGCTTTTGGTGTTTTAGACATGAAGTCCTTGCCCATGCCTTTGTCCTGAATGGTATTGCCTAGGTTTTCTTCTAGGGTTTTTATAGTTTTAGGTCTAACATTTAAGTTTTTAATCCATCTTGAATTAATTTTTGTATAAGGTGTAAGGAAGGGATCCAGTTTCAGCTTTCTCCATATGGCTAGCTAGTTTTCCCAGCACCATTTGTTAAATAGGGAATCCTTTCCACATTGCTTGTTTTTCTCAGGTTTGTCAAAGATCAGATGGTCGTAGATATGTGGCATTATTTCTGAGGGCTCTGTTCTGTTCCATTGATCTATATCTCTGTTTTGGTACCAGTACCATGCTGTTTTGGTTACTGTAGCCTTGTAGTATAGTTTGAAGTCAGGCAGCGTGATGCCTCCAGCTTTGTTCTTTTGGCTTAGGATTGACTTGGCAATGTGGGCTCTTTTTTAGTTCCGTATGAACTTTCAAGTAGTTTTTTCCAATTCTGTGAAGGAAGTCATTGGTAGCTTGATGGGGATGGCATTGAATCTATAAATAACCTTGGGCAGTATGGCCATTTTCACGATTCTTCCTACCCATGAGCATGGAATGGTCTTCCATTTGCTTGTATCCTCTTTTATTTCATTGAGCAGTGGTTTGTAGTTCTCCTTGAAGAGGTCCTTCACATCCCTTGTAAGTTAGATTCCTAGGTATTTTATTCTGTTTGAAGCAATTGTGAATGGGAGTTCACTTGTGATTTGGCTCTCTGTTTGTTATTGGTGTATAAGAATGCTTGTGATTTTTGCACATTGATTTTGTATCCTGAGACTTTGCTGAAATCATCTTAAGGAGATTTTGGGCTGAGACGATGGGGTTTTCTAGATATACAATCATGTCATCTGCAAACAGGGACAATTTGACTTCCTCTTTTCCTAATTGAATACCCTTTATTTCCCTCTCCTGCCTGATTGCCCTGGCCAGAACTTCCAACACTATGTTGAATAGGAGTGGTGAGAGAGGGCATCCCTGTCTTGTGCCAGTTTTCAAAGGGAATGCTTCCAGTTTTTGCCCATTCAGTATGATATTGGCTGTGGGTTTGTCATAGATAGCTCTTATTATTTTGAGATACGTCCCATCAGTACCTAATTTATTGAGAGTTTTTAGCATGAAGCGTTGTTGAATTTTGTCAAAGGCCTTTTCTGCATCTATTGAGATAATCATGTGGTTTTTGTCTTTTGTTCTGTTTATGTGCTGGATTATGTTTATTGATTTGCATATGTTGAACCAGCCTTGCATCCCAGGGATGAAGCCCACTTGATCATGGTGGATAAGCTTTTGGATGTGCTGTTGGATTCGGTTTGCCAGTATTTTATTGAGGATTTTTGCATCAATGCTCATCAGGGATATTGGTCTAAAATCCTCTTTTTTTTTGTTGCGTCTCTGCCAGGCTTTGGTATCAGGATGATGCTGGCCTCATTTTAGGGACAGAATATTGTAGCAAAGTATAGGAAATGTGAAACTCGAACAAATAACTTCTTTTCTAAGCTACAGTTCAGTTTCTTAGCAGCCTTTCTTTTCTTTATAAGCTTATGGCATTTAAAGTCACTTTCCTCATATTTTTTCTCCTTGTTTGACAATTTTATTAAATGGTCTGTGACATAGTTGCAAAGATAGCCTAACAATATCTCCTTACTGACCTTCTATTTAGTGATGTAACTTCCTATTCTTTGTTAAAGGAGTGGAATCTACTTTCTCTCCCCTTGAAACAGCTGGACTCAGGGATTTACTTTGAATTCTATTCACAGAATAAAAATTCCATAAAATATACAAGACTTCAGATTATAATGGACAGTATGATGTGATAGAAGTGAAGTTGCATGACTTTCAAAGATAGGTCAGAAGAAGGCTTAGATCTTTCACCTGTTGTCTTGGAATGATTCTTCTTGAAATGTAGCTTCTATGTTGTGAGAATCCCAAGCAATATGGAGAGACCACGTGTAGGTGCTCTGTAAAGTAATCTCAGCTCAGCCTAGCCTTCAGGGCACTCCTGCCCACATGCCAGATGTTGAAGTAGCCTCCAATTGATTTCTGTTTCCATCCATTTGAGTTACTCCCAGATACTTGAATATTCTCAGCTGTAGCCCAGAAAGTATGTGATATTCTCATTGTGAGAAGTGAGGAGCCCATTCCTGCTGTGCCTTTCCTAAATTAATGACCCAAAGGCAGGAAAACAAATGAGAAAGCCACTTCTTCAAATACAGGCTATTTTTCAAGAAAAAGGTAGGATGACCCAAAGCATGCAACCAAGGCCCCCGAGGACAAAACCAAGAGACACATGAATAGACATGGAATAATGTGTGTTTCTGTTAGGAAAATTTCCACCTGATAAACCAAACAGGTTCCCTGGTAAGTGGCTTTGAGGAGCCAGGGAGGGAGAAAGTAAGATATTTGCTGGCTTCGTGGATTCACCATGTTTCACAGTCTGGATCCTACTTTTCAGAGACTCACAAACCTGATTTTACGGACTTACAGAGAATAATTTCATTTCCCAAATGCAGACTCATGTTGGCCTATCCTATTTGATTGATACATAAAATCAGAATTTTGATTCATTAAATTGTAGTGAGAAATTATTGTCACTATAATTCAAATGCTCAAAGACTGTGATGAGCAGAAAATTCTCTCTGTGCAGGCAAACCTTTTTTAGGCAATAATATAGAGAATAATTTTGAAGTCTCTTTATTAAGCTGGAATCAGGCAAAACATTGTGTGTGGTTGGATGGAATTAGAGGGACTGACTATACACTGGCTTCATCTGAGATGAAGGCTAGATGAGGACTCATCTCATCTAGCAACAGGGGTGGCTTTTCAATGTGCATTGATCCTCCATTCCTTGTCACTATCTCAATATTGGCAACGCCTGCCCAAAGGACTAGGCAATGGAAAATATAAGGTTAAATCTTCATTCTCCTTCATTCTCTCTGTGCTGTCCTTGAGTGAGGGCTAACAGTGTTTTCTGCCTGTAAGTCTCATTTACTTTGCTTCTATGGCGCACTACATTCCCCTACAGATTAAAACATTCTTCTTTTAGATATGCCAATGAAGTCAATCTTGCTACATTGAAATCTTTCATATCTGGGGACCATTCTTTTTTCTTAAGGCATACTGCGTATTTTTTTATTTACATTGTTTGTACTTCCAAAATACTTCAAAACCATTCTCTCTTTGTCCATAGAGTTACACTCAACTAGAAAGATTGATTTATCCATGATCTATTGTGTCCATGAAGTCGTCTGCCCTTTTAAAATATTAATTCAGGGCCGGGCGCGGTGGCTCATGCCTGTAATCCCAGCATTTTGGAAGGCTGAGTTGGGCGAATCATGAGGTCAGGAGTTTGAGACCAGCCTAATAAACATGGTGAAACCCTATCTCTACTAAAAATACAAAAATTAGCTGGGTGTGGTGGCTCGTGCCTGTAATCCCAGCTACTCAGGAGGCTGAGGCAGGAGAATCACTTGAACCCAGGAGGTGGAGGTTGCAGTGAGCCGATATCTCGCCACCGCACTCCAGCCTGGGTGACAGAGTGAGACTCTGTCTCAAAAATGAATAAATAAAATAAATAAATGGATAAATAAATAAATAAAATATTAATTCAGATGCTGCATTATGACATGCTAAAACTTTTTCCTAGTGACTTCGCATTCTGTATTTTTTTTGACAAACCTGTATTCCAAATTACTCGTTATTTTCTTCTTAATCAAGTCGGCCACTGGTGTATTTGTAATAGTGGCATGTCTTACATTTTGAAATTGCCTGAATTCATTGGGATTTTGTCATATTTACAGTAAAATTTTATTTTTCCAAATCCCTTTGTATGAAAGCATTAGAAATCCACTTTCAACTGAAGTAGATTTTTTAAAAGGAGAGTTTATTTTTGCTTTTATAACTGAGGGCATGATCGTGGGCCTGAGTCTGTCATCCCAATGCTAGATGTTTGTTCTGTTATTTGATCTCATTTCATTGATCTCACTCACTGATACTGCAGATGACTTCATTTATGTAGCCTTGGAAGATGACTCTAGAATCCAAATTATATCGTCTTTATGGCTTGACATTTTTAAAAAGAACAAACTTATCTCTTCCAATATCAGTCATCAAATCATTGTAACTTGGCCCCAACCATAAGCGGTTTTTGTGTGTGCATGTGTGTGTGAATGTGTGTGTGCCAGGATCATGAAATACTTAGCTTGGCCTGTGTAGGACACGCATGCAGTAATGGCAGGCAAACTTTGAGAGCCACAGTAGGATGCATGCAATGAGTATGAATGGCTTCCTGAAAGCAAACTGGGAACTTTTACCAGAAAAATGAGAATGTCACTTTGGGAATGATGTAAAGAGACAACAGCGTTTCTTTCTTTTCTTTTCTTTTTTTTCTTTTCTTTTCTTTTTTTTTTTTTTTTTTTGAGATAGAGTATCACTGTGTCACCCAGACTGGAGTACAGTGGTCTTGGCTCACTGCAGCCTCACCTCCTGGGTTCAAGCGATTCTCCTACCTCAGCCTCCTGAGTAGCTGAGACTACAGGTGCATGCCACCACACCCGACTAATTTTTGTATTTTTAGTAGATTTTCTGTGTGTGAGTCTCTGACTGCTGGTGACCCATGGTCAGAAAAATGGAGAGGAGTTTGTTTTAACCATTCAATAAATATATATTAAATATTTCATTGGATTTTGTTTGTTTTTATCTGTCATTATTGTATGTCTCTTGGCCTCAAAACATCCGCAGTAAAACTTGGAATCTTCTAATGCATCTCAGTGCTCTCAAGGAATGATCTATCTATTCCCTAATTAAAACCAGATACTTAGAAGTCATCCTCTACACCATCTTGTTGCTCACTCTCGCCAAGTCCTGTCAGTTATACATCCAAAAATATATCTCCAATCCATCCATTTCTCAGCATCTGCATCACCACCACCCCTAGTCCAAGAAGTCATCTCTTGCCTGTGCTATTGTAGTAGTTTCTGACTGTTCTCTCTTCTCTCATTCTTGTGATTTCCATTAGTTTATCTGCTCTGCAGACAGCATAATTTTCAAAAACATGCCAGACATACCTGATCGTCTCTCTCAACTGCTGGAAATGTCACCGTGGCTTTCCATTGTTCTTCAGTGATGGAGAGTGCTGGGCATGGCCTCTGAGGCCTGTTTTCTGTGGCTTAGGTCACCCTTCTGGTGTCTTCTCACATGTACTCTCCAGCCATGCTAGCCATCTTTTCATTCCTCAAAAAAAGTTATGCTTCTTCCTCACCTCCCTCCATGTTCCTCGTTTATGCACTTCCTTCCACTCACACCGGGCCTTATTTCCAAAGCTCATTCTCAACTGGGAGTTTTTGCCTTTGCAGTTATGTCTGCCTGGAATGCTCAGATCTTCACATGATGAACTCATCATTGACATTCCCATCTTGCTTCAAATATCATCTTCTTGGTCTTCCCCAACTAAAGAATCATTCTCCAACATATTATCTCAGTTTGTTTTCCTAATAGCATTTATCTCTTTCTTTTTTCTTGTTTCTTGTCTGTCTCCCCATTAGAAAGAGCAGTGTGACTGTATCTTCAATGTTTGGCATGATGCAAGAATGAGTAAATGAAGAAAAGCCTTAAAATAGCACTGCCCCCCGCAACCTGGATCTTTCTTTTAAATTTACACCTTGTGGAAAGTAAGTTTAATTGAGTCATTAACACATATTTTGGAGCAAGGGCGCTTGAGTTCAAATCCCATTTCTATACTTACTGACTGTATAAACTTGGATGTACTACTGAGCTACTCTGTGACTTAATTTTCTCATATTTAAATAAAGACAGTAATATCTACCTTACAGAGTTATTACAAGAGCTACATGAGTTATCATAAATAGTGAACTGAGGATACTGCCTGACACACAACCAGTGCCCTGTATTTATCATTACTATTGTGTAAATATTACTGAGTGTATATTAAAATGAATCTAACAAAAGTTTATTGGCAAAATTGATGAGCATTGTTTATAATTTTATGTAACAAACTGGAAAACATTGAAATAATCTTACTTAAATTTCTAAAAAGTAAGATGCAAAGAAGGATCTCAATTCTAACTAAAATATTAAGACCTAACATGTGTTTAATACTATATCATTTAGAAAACTACATCCTTGTAGGAAATCACATTACACTGCCAACATCCCTAGGAGCAGATATTACCATTGGCTTAAAAGTGAGAAAATGGAGGTGCTATGATGTTCGTAGGCTTGTCCAGGGCTCCTTGCACCTGACAAGTAGAGTCATATTTTAAACACAGATGTTTGGACACCATGTTCAGCACATCGCTGTGCTGTTTCACACCTTTTGTTTAATACTCCATATACAGCCTATGCATTTGCTTAGGGCATCCATAAAACAGAAGTTCCCCCACAAATGAGAAAACTATTTGGAAATAATTAGATATTTAATTTTTTTTCAGTTTTCAGTTTTTTATTTTGTTAAACCTTCCTATACTTGCTTATGGTTTTGCCTGTTTTCACCTTCATTGGCATGTGTGTGAGTGGCACTACAATATTTTTCAGACTTTAGACTCTCTAAAGATCCAAATCTGACCTTACATGGACCCACATATTGGCTTGGCAGAAGCAAGTTCTTGAGACTTACATACCAGTGATAACTGTTAACTCTGGTTCTTTTGTACTTAAAGCTATCTCTGAAAGACAAGACCACACATAGAGCAAAACTAATGATATAGTTTTTATCTCAACCATTTCTTGGCTTTGGTGCTGCTGAGGGCAGTGGGAGATGGAGGGGAGAGGGTATGTGATGAAGCACCGATACTAACAATGTTTGACGCACATGGCCCTGCCTCCCTACATGGAAAGTAGTCAATTCCCCTAAACCATCTCATTCTGGCAGGCAGACAGCCATCAGATAATAACTCTGAACTCTTTCTCATTGGAGCCAATTTTGAACTGGTGGTCTGGAGAGAAATTCCATATTGAATTACACTAGTTCCAATAGAATTGTTTCCAACAGTAATTAGGGCCAATGGAATGCTCATTCCTTAAAACAGTACCAAATTCCAGATTTTTCTAAAATAAAAAGCTAGACTCTGGCTCCATTGATTGCATCCATCCCCTCATTGTGGAGTATGGTAGGATCTTCTTCCAAAAAAGTAAGCCATACGCTTATGTGCAGAAAGGATGCCTCCGTGTTCTCTTTTTTGCTACCACAAGCTGCCCACACTATTCTAGAGAGTAATTGGGAGAATGAGACATTCAGAGGTTGACTGCTCTTGATAAGAGGTTTTCTCTAGCTGGGAATTTGTCTTGGATTTAATATACAATGTGACATCTTGGCTTTGTGATTCAGTGGCAGCTACATGTATCAACATTCTCTGAATCCAAATCAAACTCTTTTTAATAGATAGTCATCTTGATCAATAGAGGGGAAAAGCAATGCTATCTACTAGACTAAGATACTTAGCACTATTTTCAACAAAGGATGAGAAAACCTTCTATTTAGAAAAGATGAGGTAATGGCAGTTGTTTTCAATGAGAAGACCCATTCTTAATGGTTAGTATATGGCTGGGAAATGTTTTAAAGCATTGGCTTGGCTTGGTACTGCCTTGAGAACTAATAACCTTTGATGGGAGCCTAGAATGATATATCAAAAGAAGTGGTAATGCACCAATTTTAAAAAATTGATCAGAATCCTTTTTTTAGCTTATACTTTTCTACTATTCATAGCTCTACAATGGTTAACAGTAGCGTCTGGATATACCTTATAGCAATAAGGACCAGATGGGGCCCGGTAAGGCAAGCTGAAAACACATGTGTTTGAGAAGCTGATACTAAGATTATATGCCATTTCTGCTGGCTTGAAAAGACAGAACCACAATTATCATGTTTTTGAGCCAATTTTCACATTAAGTATTTTCTTGAAGAAATTGGATTCCTGCTATTTTTCCCTTTACCAGTTAAGTTCTAAATGAACATCCTATCTCAGATCCTTAAAAATCAGAAATGGCATTGTGATATAGTTCATTTAAATAAGTGTCCCTAAACTTCCTATTTTCTCATTCCAGAAGTAAAAGAACTACTTGATTTAATAGTTTCTGTCACCTAAAGTTGGTATTTCCCCTTTTCTTTTGTGCTCCGTTAGCCCTTTTAAAGAAAGAAGTGATGAGGATTAATTGTAATGATCCCATTCAAAGCAGAAAGAAGAACTGATCATGGGTGTATATAACCTGCTCAGTTATTTGCAAATGCATGTACAAGCATTATATCATGTGCGTAGGAAGGGAAAACTTTAAAAATTCCCAGATTATACAAATCATAAGTTTATTCATAAACATTCCAACCCCAGACTTCAGAAAACTTCATCTGTAGACAGATTCTCACTTTTCACAACTCTGGAAGGCTATGCATCACACCTGTATTGAAGTGGGGAGGAATTGCCAAGGTCTCTAAATTGTTAAGAAATAATAAAGAATTAATAGTTGGAGGCAGTTTGGCAATATGGGATCTGGTGTTATATACTCAGGCTTGAATCCATGCTGGCTGTCTTCCCAGCTGTGTGGCAGACCATTTGCTGGACTTCTCTGGTGCTCCTTCCTTGGAGGAGACTAACGGTGAGCTCGTGAGTGCTGGCTCTGGAAGCCAACTGCATGCCTGCAAAGCCTGTCTCTGCCGTGTACTGTGGCTGACTGCAGCACCTAGGGAAACAGATATTCTGGCTCTGTTTCCTCATGTGTAACCTGGGCATAATAATAATATTTATCTCTGAGGGTCATTGTGAGGATTATCTTCCTAAAAGGAATATTATTTAAAAATGGTTAACACAATGCCTAGCACTTAGTAAATGAGCCATACATGGAAGCTGGTACAGTTACTCAACCTAGCAGACTCTGGCTTATCAAGGAAGAGTGAATAAAAGTAACAATCTGTTCATGCCTGCAGAGTCCTTTTTTTTCTTTTAACTGATCAAACGCATGTGAGGTTTTAAGCACCCAGGAGGTCAGATTTTATAAAACCATCATTGCAATTAGCTAGCTTAGGAGGCAGGAAATGGAAAATTGTTTTGAAAGGCAATTGGCCAGAGGATTTCACAATCTATTTTCTTGTAAAAATTCTAAAGTTCTACAAGGGGAAGTGGTATCTCCCACAAACACCTGAATAGCGATTTTATTGTGCAACTGATTAACTGGGACTTACACTCATACTACAGTGATAACTAACATGTACTGAGTAAAAGATGTTTTTGATTCTGGGCTGAATTGCTTTACCTCTCTCATTTATTTTTCACAATAATGCTTGGAGATCACATCCCTTTTTTGGGGAAGGTAAAGGCCAAATTCCTTAACTCATTCTTTATGGCCTGTATGGTTTGGCCACTGCAGCCTCCAGTGAAAACATTATCCCCTCACCCACAACCCTCCTTTTATTAATTCATTCATTCATCAGCTTTTCATTCATTCATTCCATAAGTATTGACCAAGCGCCCATGATGGGTCAGGTAGTGCTCCAACACTGAATATAGCGAGTCCATGTCCTTTGGAGCTTATGTTCTAGTGGAAGAAACAGACAATGGAAATAAATGCATAACATTATGGAGAAAAAGTATTGAGAATGTGGGAAGTAGAAAGAGGTGCCATTTTAGATAGGGTAGGAGAGATCTGGGAAAAACCAAAGAATGTATAAGAGGGAGTAGACCTTGAATTTCTCTGGATGATGGATATTCCACACTGATGGAACAAAAAAGCAACAGCCCTGAGGCCGGGGGTGCTTGACATGTTCAGGAGTGGGTGAGTGGTGGAAGATGAAGTCACTAGTACCAATATTACCTTCATTTTACTGTCTAGGAGACTGAGACTTAGAGAGACTACAACATAGCCAAGGTCACACAGCTAGAAAGTGGCAGAGGTAGGGTTGGTGCCCACTGAACACTTCTGGAGTCTGTGCTCCTGACTTCTCTGATGCCTACTTCACAATATTCTTCACTTCTTTCATGCTGAGGGCTCTCTGTGTGTCAGCAGGCAGGACAGGGCAGCCCTTTCTTTCTCCCTCAATTCCTTACCCCAGTTAAAAAGCTGATCTAATTTACTCACATGTGTCTTAACTTTTAGAATGTTGCTTATCTGACTTTTTCACTTCCTTCATCATTTTTATGATTCTAAACACCACAGCTTTTCAAATCAATTTGTTGCCTGGGATGGATTTTAGGTACGGATGCATTGCTGTGGATTTCCACTCCCTGTTTATTCTAGTGCAAGAGTGACTTATTCACTAAAGCAAATAATGTTCCCCTCCACTACCTCATTTGGTGGGAGCAGTTGTAGTTCGTGTGACAATGTAGGGCTGATTCTCATGCCTACTCTATGAGCAAATGTAAAATGTACTGTTTTGTGTTATTATCACAAAAAAATTACCTCACGGAACAAAATATAGTTTTTGTTTTCTTGTTCCTCCTCTTCCCACAATTATTTAACCTAATCTACCTATGACTATTGTCATGCTAAAAACATCACATGAGATCAACCAAAACTACATATTGGTATGTACATTTTCCGAAAAATTGCTGCCGTCATTTTGAGTGGACGAGTAAATCAGGTTGGCTGTTTCTCATTTTGCAATACCATTCATGGAGGGTGCATGATTATTATGACCTTCTCACATAGTTATGGTGATATAAATCCAATAGAAAAAGGGGAACAAAAAAGAATATTTTAACAGGAAACATTTATTAGAATAAGAGTACAGTTACTTTATTTAAACATTTTAAAACAGGTAAAATAGGCAAATGATTAGAACAGGAAGTGGGCATATTTAATACCATTTGGTGCCACAAACTGAGATTTTTCTGTACGTTGTCTTATAAAAGGCTTCTTAATGTTTTAGCTAAGCAGATCAATAAGGCCATCCTTATTGTTTCTTCTCTAATTCCTGAAAGACTGGCTGAAGACATAAAAATATTATTATTAATTTTGACTGAAATATGAACATTATAAATATTACTGAATGGCCTAAATCTACCATGCTGGGGTATGGCAGCTCAACTAGTGCAAAATTTTTGTTACAGTAATCTTTCTCTTGTCAACAATCTTGCTTTATTTATTCTGCACCACCTGGCAATGGCAATGTGTCCAAATACTATAGGAGTGTGAACAGCTCTGCTATTTTTTCATAGCATCAAATATCGCCCCCAAATCCCAACAGATCTGTGATTTGTAGAATTTTTTGCAAAGGCTGCAAGTGACTCATATTTTTAAATTGTTCTTTATGTGAGATTCTAGTGAAATTCAAAAGATCCTTGACAGAAAAGTGTAGCATGCGAATTAGAGACGGACAAATGGAGGAAAGCTTTTATGTCTTGTTTTCAGAGTATTTTCACATTCCAGAGGTGATTAAAAGATAAACGATTATAAAGTCTTTAGTAATACGTATTGATTTTTAGTGAACACATCCTTAAAGTAATGGGAAAGATTATGGCTTATTTTCTTACTTTTATTTAGAGTCATTCTGATGTAGGGAGGCAGAAATGGTGTGTTTGTTATTTCGTTGATTTGACTACGTCTAATTAGATATTGATTCTGAACTCTGAACAAAGTCGATCGTGAGACAAGCTGGAGGACAATAATGAGTGAAGGCCCAAGTTTCCTTCATCTTTCCCACAATTAGTTATTTTTTCCCCCACAATGAGTTCTTGAGTTACAACAAAAAATGAATCAATAATGATTTATTTAAGAAATTGGGTCACAGTTATGGATCAATGTCAGCTAATACAATATAAGCTAAGAAACTTATAGTCAGTTTAAAGTAATAAGACATTTGAAGGATAATATATTTCAAAGCATTTCCAATTATTTGCTTCTAGATATAGCTAATAAATTATATCCAGACTACCATATTGCTAAAGGAATACATTTAAATGAATAGATAAGAATGATTTGAAGGAAATATGTTTACCTATAGAGTTTGAGTATTTTCCCTACATATGTTTTGCACTATAAAGTTACTTAATAAAATTATTCCTGATATATGGGAGAGAAGAAACACAAGGCTAATCACTGTCTATTCATCAATTTTAAAAATTATTACAGATCAAACAAACGAGGCTTTGCTATATCAAATATGACTTTTAGCCATTATTCCACTATCCCTAAGACTATGTAATTCTCATCTTTGTAACTGCAGAATGTATCATTCTTACAGTAAAAATGAAAGAAAATGTTTAAGAGAAAAATTATTTCCCCCAGCATTTGAGATTCTGTCTGTGTGGGCAGCAACAGTGTCACTTAAAACTATTTACATAAAGACACGGCACATACTGGGGTAGAATAATATAATGACACTTTCGTAGCATTATTCTAAATCTGATCTTATTTGAAGAACGAATAAAACCCAAAGAAGCCTCAAATTTTGCTTCAGAAATATGCTGCCTCTTTCAGTACATATTCCAGAAGAATATCTTGTTTCATAAAGAAAATCCAATATTAGAGTGATACTTTCTGTAATGCTAAGCTGTATTTTAAATAGCACGTTGGATTTTCATCAGAAATTGGGCCTCGGATACTAAACTTTAGATTCCCTAGAAATAAAGTGGGAAAGTAAACTCCTTAAAATGCCTGCTTAGAGAAATTCTGAAGGGAAATGAGATGGTCTGTGAATGTGTTTTTAATTTCCTTGTGGAAAAGAATGTTCATCTGAAATCAATTTTACGAATGCTTTTTAAAAGCTAGTGGGCCAAGTACATTCTATTTGACTTGCAAAGTTGGCATTGGGCCTACCCACATTTACCTGAACTACCCTTCTTTTTTTAAAAAAATTATTGCAGTATGATTAATATACAAAAAGTTGTACATATTTCATACATTCATGAACAACATGATAAGTATACAACATGATGAGTTTGAAGGTAAGTATACACCTATGAAACTATCACCATAATCCATGCCATAAATCTATCCACCAGCTCCAAAAGGTTCCTCCTGCCCTAGTTATTTGTTATATTTTTGTAATAATGTCACTTAACATAGGATCCACTCTCTTAGCAAAATTTTAAGTGTACAACACAGTATTGTTAACTATAGTTTCTATGATGTACAGTAAATTCCTGGAATGTATTCATCTTGTATAACTGAAACTTTGTGTGCTTTGACTAATACTTCCCCATTTCCATCTCCTCGCTCCAGCCCCTGAAAACCTCCATTCCACTCTCTGCTTCTATGATTTTGACTATTTTAGATTCATCATATAAATAATATTTTATAAAGTATTTGTTCTTCTGTGTCTGGCTTATTTGATGTAGCATAATATACTTCACTTTATCCATGTTGTCACAAATGGCAGGAATTTTTTTTAAAGTCTGAATAATATCATATATTAATATATGATATTATTTATATATTATATACATAACATACAATTATATATTGTAATATATCCTATATATGTGCTATGTTTAGAAGATATAATTATGTGTTATATAATTGTAACATTAACATAATATTTACTATTAATAATAGTATATATGACATGTATATACCACATTTTCTTCATTCATTGACAGTCATTTAGGTTGCTTCCATATCTTGGCTATTATGAATAATACTGCAATGAATATAGGAGTGCAGATGTAGTTTCATATGCTTTTGTGTTTCTGTTTAGCAGTCTTTAGTTTCAACTTGAATAGCTCCCTTTAGGACTTCTAAAGCAGGTCTAATGATGATTAACTCTCTCAGTTTTTGTTTGTCTGGGAATATCTTTAACCTTCATGTTTGAAGTACAGGGATAGTATTCTTGGTTGGCAGTTTTCTCCTTTAGCACTTTGAATTTAGTGTCTCACTCTTTCCTGGACAGTATGATTTCTGCTGAGAAATCTGCTGATATTCTCATGAGGCTTCCTATGCATGTAACAAATTGTTTATCTTTCGCTGCTTTCAAAATTCTTTGTCTTTGACTTTTGATAATTTTATTATAATGTGTCTTACTGTAGACTGCTTTTAGTTCAACCTATTTGGGTTCTTTGGGCTTCATAATTCTGGATGTCCATTTTTTTGTTAGATTTGAGAAGTTTTCATCCACTATTTCTTTAAATATGCTTTCTACCCTTTCTCTTTTTCTTATCCTTCTGAGACTTTCATAATATGTATATTGGTTTATTTGATGGTGTCTCATGGACTTTTTTCACTCTATATTATTCTGTTTTCTTTTTGTTCCTATGACTGGATAAATTCAAATGACTTGTCTTCAAGTTTACTGATTTTTTTTCTGCTTGATTGAGCCTGATGTTGAAGCTTTCTTTTGAATTGATCAACTCAGTTATTGTATTCTTCAGCTCTAGAATTTCTATTTGGTTCTTTTTTGTATTTTATACTTCTTTGTTGAGCTTCTTATTTTGTTCATGTTTTGTTTTTCTGTTATTTTCTTAGAGATTTACTGTCTTCTTTTGTAGCCTACTTAACTTCCTTAAGGGAGTTATTTTGAATTCTTTCTCAGGAAGTTCATAAATCTTCAAAAAACCTTTCACAAAATCAATGAATGCAGGAACTGGTTTTTTGAAAAATCAACAAAATAGACTAATAAAGAAGAAAATAGAGAAGAATCAAACAGACACAATAAAAAATGATAAAGGGGATATCACCACTGATCCCACAGAAATACAAACTACCATCAGAGAATACTATAAGCACATCTACACAAATAAACTAGAAAATCTAGAAGAAATGGATGAATTCCTAGACACATACACCCTCCCAAGATTAAACCAGGAAGAAGTTGAATCCCTGAATAGACCAATAACAAGTTCTGAAATTGAGGCAGTGATTAATAGCCTACCAACCAAAAAAAGCCAAGGACCAGATGGATCCACAGCTGAATTCCACCAGAGGTACAAAGGGGCTGGTACCATTCCTTCTGAAACTATTCCAAACAATAGGAAAAGAAGGACTCCTCCCTAACTGTTTTTATGATGCCAGCATCACCCTGATACCAAAACCTGGCAAAGACACAACAAAAAAAGAAAATTTCAGGCCAATATCCCTGATGAACATTGATGAGAAAATCCTTGATAAACTACTGGCAAACCGAATCGAGCAGCACATCAAAAAGCTTATCCACCACAATCAAGTTAGCTTCATCACTGGGATGCAAGGCTGGTTCAGCACACACAAATCAATAAATGTAATTCATCACATGAACAGAACCAATGACAAAAAACACATGATTATCTCAATAGATGCAGAAAAGGTCTTCAATAAAATTCATCACTCCTTCATGCCAAAAACTCTCAATAAACTAGATATTCATAGAACATATCTCAAAATAATAAGAGCTATTAATGACAAACCCACAGCCAATATCATACTGAATGGGCAAAAACTGGAAGCATTCCCTTTGAAAACCAGCACAAGACAATGATGCCCTCTCTCACCACTCCTATTCAACATAGTATTGGATGTTCTGGCCAGGGCAATCAGGCAATAGAAAGAAATAAAGGGTATTCAAATAGGAAGAGAGAAAGTCAAATTGTCCCTGTTTGCAGATGACATGATTGTATATGTAGAAAACCCCATCGTCTCAGCTCAAAATCTCCTTAAGCTGATAAGCAACTTCAGCAAAGTCTCAGGATACAAAATCAATGTGCAAAAATCACAAGCATTCTTATACACCAATAACAGACAAACAGAGAGCCAAATCGTGAGTGAACTCTCATTCACAATTGCTACAAAGAGAATAAAATACCTAGGAATATAACCTACAAGGGATGTGAAGGACCTCTTCAAGGAGAACTACAAACTACTTCTCAAGGAAATATGGGAGGAACCCCAAAAATGGAAAAACATTTCATGCTCATGGATAGGAAGAATCAATATTGTAAAAATGGTCATGCTGCTCAAAGTAATTTATAGATTCAATATTATCCCCATCAAGCTACCATTGACTTTCTTCAAAGAATTAGAAAAAATACTTTAAATTTCATATGGAAGCAAAAAATAGCTCATATAGCCAATACAATTTTAAGCAGAAAGAACAAAGCTGGAGGCATCACAGTACCTGACTTTAAACTATACTACAAGGCTACAGTAACTAAAACAGCACGGTACTGGGACCAAACCAGATATATAGACCAATGGAACAGAACAGAGGCCTCAGAAATAACACCACACATCTACAACCATCTGATTTTTGACAAACCTGACAAAAACAAGCAATGGGGGAAGGATTCCCTATTTAATAAATGGTGTTAGGAAAATTGGCTAGCCATATGCAGAAAACTGAAACTGGACCCTTCCCTCACACCTTATACAAAAATTAACTCAAGATGGATTAAAGACTTAGATGTAAAACCTAAAACCATAAAAACTTTAGAAGAAAACCTAGGCAATACCATTCAGGACATAGGCATGAGCAAAGACTTCATGACTAAAACACCAAAAGCTATAGGAACAAAAGCCAAAATTGACAAATGGAATCTAATTCAACCAAAGAGCTTCTGCACAGCAAATGAAACTATCTTCAGAGTGAACAGGCAACCTACAGAATGGGAGAACATTTTTGCAATCTATCCATCTGAAAAAGGGCTAATATCCAGAATCTATGTATAACTTAAACAAATTTACAAGAAAAAAACAAACAATCCCACAAAAAAGTATTTGAAGGATATGAACAGACCCTTTTCATAAGAATACATTTATGCAGCCAATAAACCTATGAAAAAATGCTCATCATCACTGGTCACTAGAGAAATGCAAATCAAAACCACAATGAGATACCATCTCACACCCGTTAGAATGGCAATCATTAAAAAGTCAGGAAACAACAGATGCTGGTGAGGATGTGGAGATATAGGAACACTTTTTCACTGTTCGTGGGAGTGTAAATTAGTTCAACCATTGTGGAAGACAGTGTGGCGATTCCTCAAGAATCTAGAACCAGAAATACCATCTGACCCAGCAATACCATTACTGGGTACATACCCAAAGGATTATAAATCATTCTACTATAAAGACACATGCACACGTATGTTTATTGCAGCACTGTTCACAAAAGCAAAGACTTGGAACCAACCCAAATGTCCATCAATGATAGACTGGATAAATAAACTGTGGCACATATATACCATGGAATACTATGCAGCCATAAAAAATGATGAGTTCATGTCTTTTGCAGGGACATGGTTGAAGCTGGAAACCATCATTCTCAGCAAAGTAACACAGGAACAGAAAACCAAACACCACATATTCTCACTCATAAGTGGGAGCTGAACAATGAGAACACATGGACACAGGGAAGGGAACATCATGGAATGGGGGGCTATGGGAGGGATAGCATTAGGAGAAATACCTCATGTAGAATGATGGGTTGATGGGCACAGCAAACCACCATGGCATGTGTATGTACACCTGTGTAACAAACCTGCACGTTCTGCACATGTATCCCAGAACTTAAAGTATAATTAAAAAAAAAAAAAGAAAAACTGTCCTTTGGTTTTCTACTAGATTTCCACTGGGTCTATGCAATTCATTTCTAGACAATAGCATCAAAGAATGCAACAATTTTTGACCATCTGGATAAGCACATTGCTAGTCATAGAAAAAATATATAAAGTATTATTTGGAAGAAAATTCTAGTTTCTGCCACACAGTGATTGACTTAACATAATCCTATCTCTTGCAACATACATATAGAAATTATGGATAAGTTATATCAAAAAATATTTGTAAGTTTTCTTTCAAAGAAATGAATGGAAAGCCAATATTCCATAGATGAAGAGATATGGTAAAGCCAGGATGTTTTAGAGAGAATGTGTAGTCTGGTGATTAGAAATCCTGATCCAAATCCTCAGTGTAATTTGCTGATTCATTCCAATATTAATGACAACACCAACAACAAGCCAAATTTTTGAATAATTCATTGACATAAGTAGATATTTTAATAGAAATTGAAGAGTAAGTAAAAATGAATAAAAATGTATACAGCACAAAGAAAATTAAGTGTCATACAGTCTAAGTGCTACACAAGCAGAGATGTATTGTTTTTAATCTATGTATTTGGAAAGAAGATTAAAGGTTAATAATCTAAAAATCCAAGTCAAAAAATAACAATATAAAACTATAGAATAAAAAAAGTGAAAATTAATTAATTAGAAACAAAAGAACAACAGAGAGGACAGGGTCAACTCCCTATTTTCTGAAAAGATTGATCTAGGAGAAAGAAGAATATTAAGAATGTACAGGGGATGGCAAGATGTAATGTGTCCATGTTTTAATATTGTGTGTTTACACTAAAGAATTCTCTGTCAACATATTTGGAATTTGGAAGTAACAGATAATTTTCTGTAAAAATATGCATTTATATATGCTACCACAAATGATTCAAAAGAACACAGAAAATCTAATACTCTATGACCCTTAAGAAATCAGATTAGTTGTTAATAAATCACCTATCCCTCCTCCCACAAAATGCGCACACACATAACTAATACAACTAAACCAAAAAAATACCTACTAGGTTCAGATTGTTAGCCAAGTTACAGCAGATGTTCGAGGAATAAATAATTCAAACTGGATACAAGCTCTTCAAAAGAATAAAGAGATTTTCCCATCCCATCTTATGCTGCTTTTATTACTTTGTACATTGACAATATAAAAAAGGGAAATTATAGAGCAATCTCACAACTGAATGTAGATACACATGTTTAAATAAAATCCAGCTACCCCAAATCCTGGGTGACATAAAATAAATAACATCAGGATTAGGTAAGGTGTGTTTTGTGATGCAAGAATGGTTTGGCATTGGAAAACCTACATGGGCAATTCACTGCATGTTAGGATGCTTTTGACTTCAAGTAAGATGGAGGATAACAAAAATAGCAGGTATTATTTTACAAAACAAGAAGCCAAGATGTTGGATGAGTTTAGGGCTAACTTAGGAGAACAACTGTGTTACCAGGGACTTAGGTTCCATTTATTTTTACTCTTTGCAATATTTAGTGTGTGATGGTTCCCTGGACAGCTGTGTAGATTAGTTCTTTCCATGTTCTCTTTCTGGAATCCCCAAGCAAGAATACATTTTATGTCTCATTGGCCAGATCATGTCATTCATTTATATTTAAACCAATCACTGAGATAGATAATAGAATTACCATAGTTAATTCAGACTAATCAAAATTCACCCTTGAAATTGAGGAGGAGTCCAGCTTATGAACTACATGACCAATCTATACTTGAACACAATCAATGTTCTCTTAGTAAGGTAGACCTAAAATAATATCTTGGATACAGCCGGCAGTGTTGACATACAAAGAGGAAAATATGAAATCATTTTCATAGTTATAGAAATAACAATGGATGAAATTCAACATTAATTACAGAGTAAAAACCAGTTTAAAAAATAAGAAAGTGAAATAAATTAACATATTAAAGACTATCTTCCAAAACTTTAAAAAGTATTTATTTACATCCATAAGTGATTAAAGATGCCAGCTATTTTCACCTGTATTCAACATTTTAATAGCTGTCATTCCTCCTCAGATATCTGAAATGGAATAGAGAGAACCTGCAATAAAATGTAAGGATTCGCTAGAAAGAGAAAAACTTTGTTGCAGATATTATGATCATCTGCATAAAATGTATTAGAGAATATATTGTCAAATTAATATATGAACTGGCTTAAAGTGTTTCTGGTTACAAAATTATATGTGTATGTATATATCTATATATTCTTTAGTTATGTAGTCAAGTTAAAAATGTACCTAAAGCTTAAAGCACAAAAAATATAATTTATAATAGCAGCAAAAACAGTGAATTAGCTAGCAATAAATTCTTTAGAAATCCTCATGGAGAAAATTATAAAATATGTTAAATTAAAAGTCCTATTTTCCTCAAATTCCTCGGTAAAAAAATAAACATACCAACTTGTTAGGATTGTTTGAAGATTAAATGATGTAATATGTTTAAACCATTTCACACTGTTCCTTGCAAAACAATTGCTAAAAGAAGATGGGTTTTAGTAAATTTTTATAAAAATAGTTCATTATTTTAAGAACTTACGAAATACCTCCTAAGAGCTCTGAATTTCCTCTAAGCAATTATGAACCACACAATGACATTCATATTTTTCAGCTAATTTAAATCCAATACCCCAAATTCTTATCTAAACCAAAGCTGGTTCCACCCTTGGCAATGAGTTGTCTTATTGCTTATGTACACTGTGTGTCCTCTACCCACTATTCAACTTATGTTTTTTACCTTTTAACTGTATATTTGTAAGAATGTTTTATGCTCCCCCAAAGAAAGCAAATTCTCCAAATGTGTGGATAATCCTTCCTCCTTTTCTTTCCCATACAACATGTGGTATTCATTAATTTATTAGTTAAATATTTTTGAGTGACTACTCTGTACCTGGCACTAGTCCAGTTTCATGGAATACATCAATAAACAAAGCCTGCAAAGTCTCTTGCTCTCGTGGAGATTGCATTTTAGTGAGGGAGACAATGGCTAAACAATAAACATGAGAAATCAGGAAGCTATCATGGAAGAGATGTTTATCTATTCTATTTTTACATTTCCTGGGCACATAGCTAGACTATATTTCCCAGGTCATCTTGCAGTTAGATGTGCTCTATGACTACATTCTTGCCAGTGCGACTGGAAGCAGAGAGTGCCATTTTCTGGCCAAGGCTGACATGACCCTGCATGTTCACCTTCATTTGTCTTCTGACTTCATGCATCCCAAGGTCCCAGGAAATGATGGAGCCACAGAATGGAAGGGGCCATGCACTGAATCACTATGTAAAGAAAAGCTGCCCTCTGACCAGAAACACAGCAATGACTGTTTCACCTGTGACAAATAAAATTGTATTGTGTTTGGTTCTTAAGTGGCTTTATTTATACTGCAATCTAGCATTGGCTTTATTTATACTGCAATCTAGCATTCTCTGAGTAAAATAACTATATGATCAGTTTGAAGGTATTCTCTGCAAAGAGAAATACAAAAACAGGCAAGGTAGATGGGCATGGGGTACCAAGGTTTGGTTGATTGCAATTTTAATTAGAATGGTTAGGGTTGCCTCATTGAGAAGGTGAAGGTATTAGTCTTCTAGAGCTGCCATTACAAATATCGCAGACAATGGATGGCTTAAACAGAAATGTATTTTCTCACAATTCTGGAATTGAGAAGTCCAAAGTTAAGGTGTAGGTAAGATTAGTTTCTTCTGAAGCCTCTCAACTTGGTATGTAGATGGGCATTTCCCCCTGTGTCTTCACAGAATTTTTTTTCTGAATGTCCCCAGCTCCCAAAGGCCAGATTGAGTATGGGCTTTATCTAGTGCCTAAGGTACATCTACTCTTGTGAGGGGGTGTATTAGTTTGCCAGGGCTGGTGTAACAAAGTACCACAGACTGGATGCTTAATCAACAAAAATGTATTCTCTCAGAGTTCTGGAGGCCAGAAGTCCTAAATCAAAGTGTTGGCAGGCTTGGTTCCTTCTGAGGACTATGAGGGAAGGATCTGTTTCAGGCCCCTTTCCTTGGCCTGTACATGGCCATCTTTACCTTCATGGTCTTGTCCCTATGTGCATGCCTGTCTCGAAATTCCCCCGTTTTATAAGGACACCAGCCACTTTGAATTGGGACCTACAACAATGACCTACCTTTAACTTAATTACCTCTGTAAAGACTCATATTTCACATTCTGAGGTGCTGGGGATTAGGACTTCAACATATGAATTTGCAGGGGCAACAGTTCAGTCCATAACAGTAGTATTTCACAAAGTCTTGAAATAAGTGTGAAGGATATTCCAGCAGATATCTCAGGGAAGAACATTCTGTTAATCTCAGCATAATGACTATAAGGCAGGAGTTTGCCTGGAATGTTCAAATCATACCAAGGAGACCACCGTTGGTGGAGATTTTATCCTAGCTAAAGTGGGAAACCACTGTAGGATTTTTAGTGGAAGAGTGACATCATCTGATTTATGACTTAAAGGGACTATTCTGGGTGTTTTGATGAGAATAACTGTAAGGGGAGGTAGGAAGACTAGTTAGGATGTATCACAATAAACCAGATGAGAGTTGATATTCAGTTCAGGTTGGTGTTGGGAGTAGTGATAAATGACCAAATTTTGCATATGTTTTGAAAGTAGAGCCAACAGTATTTGCTTATAGTTTGAATGTGGGGTGTAGGCAGAGAAGAGTTAGGGACAACTCCATAATTTTTGCCTGAGCAACTGGAAGGTGTGATGATGCCATAAAACTGAGATGTGAGAGTCAGAAAAGTTGATGGAGGGTTTTGTTTTGGACATGAGATGTCTATTAGTTTTATATTGGTGTTAAAACACGTGAAGTTGCTGATATTTAATTGCATATAACTATAAAATTATCAAGTTAGCATCATTCAACCTAATACAAGTCTGAAGTTTAGAAGAAAGATCTGGGAATCATCAGCGTAAGGTGATATTTCAAACTGTATTGTAAGAGCAGATCACTGTGATGGTCACTGTCCAACCAGGAAGCAGAAACCATACCATTATTTTAACTGGGGGATGCAATTAAAATAGACGTTAGGTATTAGAGCAACAAGAAGACAACAAAGCACTAATAAGGAATCACATATGTAATAACTTCACACCTTGGCTGGGGAAGCAAAACAGAGTTTGGGATTAATCAAATTTAAAGGCTTGGAAGAGAGGTCCATGGGGCTAGGGTTCAGACCTCTGAGGAGGTGACACCATGTGCCTGGTGTTTCTGAGAGGGCATAAGGAGACTGATTGTGGTAATGTAGGGTGCGAGGACCCTACAATCTCCCCAAGGAAAGTGAAAAACTGCCACTACTGGAATTAGCTGTGTCTTCCAGTGTGATGGGCCATTGTGGTTCAAGTTTCTTCTCCCTCTCCCAATCTTTTGATTTACCTGTCGCACCTCCAAATGGCAGAACATAAATGGGACCAGCAGACAAAAGAGAAGTGTGATTTGCAGAGTTCCTGTCCCAGCTTCACCAAACAGAATGTGGACCAGGTGTCATTACAGTCTCATGGCTGTAATGTCAGCACTTTGGGATGCCAAGGCAAGTGGATTGCCTGAGGCTAGGAGTTTGAGACCAGCCTGGGCAACACAGCAGGGCCCTGTCTCTACAACATATTTAATATATTAGCCAGGTATGGCGGCAAGGGCCTGTAGTCCTAACTACTTGGGAGGCTGAGGAGGAAGTATTGCTTGAGCCCAAGAGTTCAAGGTTGCCCTCAGCTATGATCATGCCTCTGTACTCCTGCATTTAGGCTGGAACAACAACAACAAAAAGCAGAATCACCAAGAGTGACCCAAAGAGTGAATGTAGACAGTGCTTCAAGTCCTGGAATACTCCCTTGAGGCATCAAGCAGAATAGGAGCAAAGGAGACATAGAAGGAACAATCAGTGAGGTTGGAGGAAAGCTAAAAGAATCCTTGATAGCCCAGTGAATAAAGCGCTTTAAAGAAGAACTGTTTATCAGTTGTATACAATGTTAAAAAAAAAAACTAGTAAATTGTGAATCAAGAATTAATTAATGTATTTCACTATATATAGTCATTGGTGACTTGATCATTTGGTGAAGTGGTGGGAACAAAAGGCCTTTTGGGATTTTAAGAAGGAAATGGAGTAGAGAAATTAAAGACTTCAGTATACAGAGCATTTTGGGGATGGCATACATAGCATTCAATATACATAGCATTTTGCTGTAGTAGGAAGCAGAGAAATTAGGCAATATTTAGAAGTCAAGATGAGATTTCCTTTTAAACAATGGGAGAATGGAAGCAGGTTTGTGTATTGATGGGAATGATGCAGTAGAGAGGGAAATATGGATTGTGTAGGAAACTGACTGAACAATTTCTGAAACAATGCCCTTGGGATGGCAAGAAGAGGTGGAATCAAGTGCACACATTAAGAGATTTTCTTTAGGTTGGAGCATGGATAGTGCATCTCTGATCATAGAAAGGATGGTGAGTTTGTGAGGACAGATGCTGGAAAGCATGCAGATGTGGTAGAGGAATTTGTTGACATTCTTTCCTGGTTCCTTAAAACCTTGCTTAAATTTTCCATGTCATCGACTGAGAGTGAGGAGAGCTGAGAAAAATGTACGTAATAGCGAAGAGAGCAAGTCAGTCAATAGATAAGCGCAGGAAATTAGACTCTAACTCTTACAGCCGCAGTTTTTTCACCTTCAAAATACAGCTAAATCCTAATGCTTTGTGCAAAATAAGAGTTCTACAATTCCCTCACAAAATGAAGAATATGATATGATGTTAGATATATATTTAATGCTGAGATCTACACAAAATAAAAGCTAAATAATTTCATAGAAAAATATCCAGGGAGATTAATTATATATATATTCATATACATATAATTAATAATAATAATAATCATATATATGAAACTTAAAATTTTTCAAAAAATCTTTTAACACAAAAAGTTATCTTTCACTTTCGGTATTAGTCCCTTCTCATGCTGCTATGAAGAAATAACCAAGACTGTGTAATTTATAAAGGAAAGAAGTTTAATTGATTCACAGCTCTGCATGGCTGGGAAGGCTTCAGGAAACTTCCAATCATGGCAGAAGGGGAAGCAAACACGTCCTTCTTCACAAGGTGGCAGGAGAGAGAAGTGCTGAGCAAATGGGGAAAAGCCCCTTATAAAACCATCAGATTTCCTGAGAACTCACTCACTATCTTGAGAACAGCATGAAAGTAACCGCACCCATGATTCAATTACCTCCCACCAGATCTCTCCCAGGACACATGGGGATTGTGGGAACTACCATTCAAGATGAGATTTGGATGGAGACATAGCTGAACCATATCACTTTCCAATGAAAATGCATTTTAAATTGATCTATTACATATGCATGATCATAAAAAAAATTGGGTTAAAAATCATTAAACTGAACGCTTCTTGAAGTTGGAGATAATGTCATGTTAAGTCTTCAGCATTAAATGCCAGCACTCATTTGTAGTAGCAGTCCAGTAAATATTTTTGAGCTAATTAATAGAGCAATGCTAATATGTCAAATATTTATGAGAGAGGAAGAGAGAGAAAGAGAGAGAATGTATCAGACAAAACAGCATTATAGGTAATATAAACCATGGTACTGGTCCGTGGCCTGTTAGGAACCGGGCCTCACAGCAGGAGGTGAGCCACTGTGGGCGAGTGAGCATTACTGCCTGAGCTCTACTTTCTGTCAGATCAGCAGTGACATTAGATTCTCATAGAAGCTCAAACCCAATTGTGAACTGTGCATGTGAGGGATCTTGCATAGGGTTGCAAACTCCTTTTGAGAATCTAATGATAAGTGTAATGCACTTGAATCATCCTGAAACTATTCTCCCCAACCCCCGGCCTGATCCATGGAAAAACTGTCTTCCATGAAACTGCTTCCTGGTGCCAAAAAGGTGAGGACCACTGGTATAAATCCTTCTTTTCTGAAGCGATAAAATGTATCCTCAGTCTTGTTAAGATATTTCTGAGTCTAGTAACAAAGTATCTGATAACTAAATATATAAGAATATTCTCTTTTTCAGCTATTATTGGATTTATAACTTTGGGAACGCAAGCAGTCCTGAATAATTATTACTGGGACAAATTAATACTTCAGGTTTAATATTTTCTTTTAAAAACTCCTCATGGGAGGACAGATTCTTTGTACTGGTAGGTCTTAAATGAGATGCTAAAAGAAATGGCAGCAGAGATTAATGGACAAATAATAGTATCTGTCCAAGAACTAATCTGGGAAGACAGCATGACGATTTTTACGGTTAGGACCATGTAAAGAATATATTTTCTGCTAATTGAGAATTAGCTGTCTGTAAATTACATGCCCAATTTTGAGGTTAAAGTTCTTTTTACATTTAACTTATAATTCATGCTATTTTTCTTCTCAAATATCCTAGGCCATGGCTATGTCAGATCATTCTTTAGAAGAAATAAGTTTTTCCTCTTGCGGTTTTGAGGACTAATGAAGTTACAGAAATCATTTGTAATCTAGTGCATGGAATTAAAGAAAAAATGTCAAATGTCTTTTATTTTTAACAGTTTTCTTGAGGTATAATTTATATATCATAATATTCAACCATTTAAAAGTGTACAATTATTTAATAAATTTTAGTAAATTTACAGAGTTGTGCAACCATAACTACAATTTTATAACATTGTCATCATCCTCTTAGGATTCTACATCCCATTTGCAGTCAAGCCCAGTTTCCACTGCCAGCTTTGGTGACCACTAATCTACTTTTTTTTGTGGATATTTCATATAAATGGATTAGGCACTATGTGGTCTTTTGTGTTAGGCTTCTTTCTTTTCACAATTTTGAGAATTATCTGTGCTGTAGTAGTTTGTTATTTTTTATTCCCAATAGTATTTCATTGCTTAGATATAGTATATTTCATTCATCTGTTCACAAGTTGGTGGGCTTTGGGTTGTTTCCACTTTTGGGCTATGATTAAATTTTATATTTACTCAGCAAGTTCAATATTTCCACCTGGACATCCTCCTCCACATCAGGTTGCATTCCAAGGAGGAACATGGTGTTTGGGTGCCTGGTAGTCTATTCTGACTTCCACACCCAAATGAAGAGCACTCTAGCGTATGGTCCATCCACTCCTGGGATGCCCTGACTTTGGGCTCAGGTGTTGGAAACTGCTTCTTCCATCTTCATCAGATGGAGCTGGTCTGGTCTTGGATCATGCTTCAATTATGGTTCACTTTTCCAGCTATCCTCCTAGCCTGTTGCAGTTTGTCAGTGAGAATGGTTTCATCCCCTAATTGCCAGGATCCATATATTGACCTTCACCTTGGGTGTTCAGCCTCTGTTTTCTAGAACATAGGCAATAAGTCTGGGTGTCTGCATCTAAAGGGGTCTCCATCCTTGCTCTCTTATGTTAGTTAGGGTCTTTCTGGTTTGCACCATCATATCTTTTTAATCATATTCCTTGGGAACAAGAATTAGAAATGTAGGTTTTGTACTTTCCACTATGCTGTGGGCTCCTTTTTCACAAACCGATTTGGTAGTCAGTTTTTGCATGCTAGGTGTCCTTAAATAAATTTCAAAAGATTACCTGCTTGCCCTGTAGTTTTCTAATAAAAACACAAGAAAAACAAGCCAATTAAAACACAAAAAGGCAAAATTATGCCCCTATATACTGGCCACAAAAGGACTTCATAAAGACTTCAGGAGCCAAAATCAGTTCCTTTTTGGCAAAGGCATAAATGTCTAGTTCTAAATAATGATAGTTTATTTAACCATGATTGCCACCCTCATCAACTCAAAACCTATTGGAACTTCTATTGATATCAAAATGATAGTTCTGTCACTGGTGAATAAGGGAGACTATTTATACAGTGCATTATTCAAATGCATTGGAACAGGGTATACCTTCTTTAACAAATGCCCTAGTGTTGTCTTGGAATCTAAATAAGGGTGGGCACCATTTCCTAAGTTCAACCCAAAATGCCTGCTTATCTAACCAGAGTCAACACAAATCCAGGGTTTTTTTTTTTTTTCTCTTTCTTTGCTTGATTTCCTGGGCAAGGAAGTTCATTCCTTCTCTGTTATTCTGTAGGGGGCTTTTCATATCTACTTTCTAGGACTTATCCTCTTTTACTGCAATTTACAGTTTCATTGCAATTTATAATCTTCAATAGATTATAAAGTTCTTTGATGTATAAATGCTTTTTCTTTCCTGCAAATTCTCACAATTTAATTTACTTTACAATTGGCACTAAATTAGTGCTTGTTGAATTGATAAATGAATGAGGAAATGGTGAAATAGTTGATACTTAACTTCTGCTATTTGCTCTTTATTGCAAATTGTTTGCGAAGTGGACTATGAGATGAAGTTTAGTTTGCAGAATGTTTATTAGAGTGCCCTTGAAAAATAAGGGGAGTGTATTCGTGCATTCTTGCACTGCTATAAAGAAATACCTGAGACTGGGTAATTTATAAAGAAAAGAGGTTTAATTGGCTCATGGTTCCACAGGCTGTACAGGTAGCATGGCTGGGGAGGCCTTAGAAAACTTTTAATCATGGCGGAAGGCGAAGAGGAAGCAGGCATGTAGTATGTGGCCAGAGCAGGAAGAAAGAGAGGGAAGTGGGAGGTGCTGCACACTTAGAAACAACCAGATTTAGTGAGAACTCACTCACTATCATGAGAACAGCAAGGGGGAAGTCTGCTCCCGTGATCCAATCACCTCTTACCAGGTCCCTCCTCCAACACTGGGGATTACAACTGGACATGAGGTTTGTGTGGGGACATAGATACAAATCGTACCAGGGAGGAAGTGGGATTGGGCCCAGAAATTGTTGAGCTGTGTGAAATTCCCTATGATGACCCCAGCTAACCATGCACAAAGCTCTGAAGCCAAAATGACCAGTAGGAGTTGCCCATATTGCATTGAAATGGCAACGCCATCATATCCCTCTTCCATTAGTCAATCATTCAATGTGGGTCATCATGGACAGGGTGTGGTCTGGGCCCAGTTGCTTTCTGCTACAAAGAAATCCCTGAAGGTGCTGACAAGGGGTCCTTCCCTGTAGCAGATCTGGGTTGTGCATCTCTGTGTCCATCAAGTCTCTCTTTTTCTTTCAACCAAAATGTTAGTTAAGGCAATATCATAGTCACATTCTGCTGTTTTCTTTTCCCAAATTTTCCGTTTCTATTACAAAAGACTATGTTGAATTCTGCTATGTTGCCAAAATAGCATTTTGTGTACCATAAGTATTTTTTAAACGTTGCATCAAATTTTTGGCATAAATGACCAATAATTTTAGTTTAAAATTAAGAGCAGAGACTTAGAAGACAAATGGATTTTCTAATCATTTCAGAAGTGTCCTAAAATTATTCTGTTTCATCGTTTTTGGTAGATAGTTCTTCCTCTGTCAACATATGTGGGAGAAGTTGTTTTACATTAGTGAGACTCTTGGATGAATAATTTATCAAATTGTCAGCAGCTGTTTTTTTCTAACAATATATTTTAATGGACTAGTCCTATTTCATTTTTCAAACTTAAAAAATTTAAATTTTCTAAAAATATATTGACAAGCTTTTTTTCACAACTTCTTCTGTAATATCAAAGTTGGCAGTGATTTTCTGTCTCCCTATGTATAGTATCAGAACTGAGATAATTTTTTGTAGATATGTAATACTTTATTTTTCAATATTAAGATTTCTTTTTGCTGACAGCCTACTGACCTATTCATTTTGGTTTCTAATAATCTCTCTTTTTCTTATACACCATTCTTAACTGTAAGGTTAATTGTAAGCCAAGAAGAGTTAAACCCTTTGTTATGTTCCATGTTCTGCATCACCAGGGGATAATTGGTGGATCTCTTGTTTCTGCTGATGTTCCCATCCAAAAGATTAATTTTACTTACACAGGGCTTTGCACATGACAATGACAATTCTTTATTAGATGGTTCCCGGGAGGTGTAGCTAAGCCAATAAAGATAACTTTTACTTGCATTACCAGGTGATGTTGGCCATTTCCTATTTATAATTCTACTTGTTGAGTGACTGGTCTTACAGAAAGTTTCATATGCATTATCTTATATTAATTATCATATTGGCTTTGTAAAACAAGTACTATCACCTGCTCTTTAAATAAGATAAACCTGAGGTTCACAGAGAGTTGAAATGATTTTGTCCAGAGTCCTATAGTAAGGAAACACCAGACCTCATATTCAGGTCTTCTGAAGTCAAATTTCTAGTTTTCAAGTCCTCCAAATTAGGGGTGTACTAGCAGAGTCCATTTAGAAAAGGTGTAACTATTGTACTTATCACACGTGCAGTGTAGGTCATAGAACTGGCACTGGTTAATTCAATAATTGACTATGAATTAGATTTTAGAGAGTTATAGAAATTGTAGAAGTAAATATAAAGAAGTACATTTTGGTACTTATCTCAGTCCTGAATTCCCATAAGATCAATTCTCCTGTAAAATGATAGGGTGTTATGCTTAAACAGGGCAGATTGAAGACATACTTTTCTTTTCCCCTCTGAAAAGTTCAGTGAAAAGAGAGTGAAGGAATCAAAAGGCATTTACCCAACTGGTCAAAGAGAATGGGGTAGCATCCCTGCCTGCTACATGTACTGCAAGTACTATTCCATCTGCTAGGTCATATGGTGTAAGTGAATGAGCAGCTTGCACAGTACACTGTACACATTACAGAGATGTATTTTACTCTGCGCCCCACTCAAACATTCTAAACTGGAAGCCTAACAGAGGTCTTTGTAAATTATTTGTTTCATACACGATTTATGTGAGTATATCTTGCCTCCAGTATTCAGATAGGTTGCTAGCTATTATATGCCTTTCTTAGTGGTAGAAGATATCAGATACAAGATTTAGCCCTTAATTTTGGAGAATAGATCTCAACGTGCTTCAGAACTCTCAAGTTCCTGGAATTTCACTGAAGTAGCAGATTGCTGAAATTTTGTTGGATTTATTTCCTACTCTCTGGTATGCATGTATTTTGCCAGAATATTTCTACTTCCTTTTCACCACATTCAATCAGCATGCTATCACCAGTATGATGGACTAGCATAGTATCTTGTGGAATGCAGGATGATAAGAGTGTCTCTGGACTAGATTATGACACAGGACTGTACATTTCATATATCCCTGAAGTAGGAGAGTGAATAAGTATTTCTGTGTTTGTCTAGTAGTTATAGAGGAAAAAACACTCATTAGACTATTCGCTGCATGCCTGGTCAGAGGGACTGTATTATTTCCAGCAAAGAACCTCATACAGAACATGATCTACAATTGAAGTTGCCACTTGATTAAATTTATAGTAATCCATTGTCACTCTTTGAGAGCTGTCTCTCTTCCACATAGGCTGAATAGGGTAATTGAATGAGGATGTGTCTGGTATCTCTGCAATTCTCCCAGGAAGGCAGTATTGATTCTGATTTACTATTTTGGCACACAGTGGCAATTCTAGAGGCTTCCTCTTGGCTTTTCCTACTACAATAGTCCTCACTTTATGGGTCAGGAGAACAACATGGGGATTCTGCCAGTTGCTGGTTATGTCTCTTCCAACTGTAATTTCCAAGACTATTAAAATAACCACACAGTGGATTAGGAACTCAAGAGACCCATCGTTAGATGGATCAAAGGCAAATCCCATTAATCACCTGGTTTTTGTAAACCCCTACTCTGTCTGGTAAACCTTAATCATGTTTGAGTTCCTAGGAATTATTGTCAATTAAAAGACGGTGTCTAGTAATCCCCCCAACATCCGAGTATTTTCCTTTCTTCAATTTACTGCTTTGGTAAGTGATCCCACGTAAGGTCTCATTGGAGAAAACTAAGAAGAAAATATACAGTGCAAAATGTTGGCATTGTATCAGATTTCTTTAAAAGAATTCAGCCTTCCATTCAACTGGCTCTAAATCAGTGAACTGCATCAAGTCTTGAAGTTTACTGGGGAGTCTTGATCCTCTTGTGATGATTCAAGTCAGATTTCTCTTCACAAAACTTAAATTTCCTCACTTGCAGAAGTTAAGTAAAACTTTGAAAGAGTGTTCATATATTTCAGTCCTGGGGACAAAACCAATAATCTCATGAGACAAACCATTATTGCTTTAGCTGTGCTATCCATTACAGTAATTTTGTCCATGTCCACCTTGTCTCTATGTGTTAAATTATACCACGTAGACACCATCATTCTGAAATGCCATCAACCTCACGGGATTCAAAAACCCCATTTTTATAGTAGCAACTCCCATTCTTATTCCTGGCTTAAAGATATCATCCACTAGAAGAGTTTTCATGGATTCTGATGCTTCCATCAAAAATGTGTTTTTTGAAACTCTGGTAAGGGTAATATCCTGAATGTTCTAGGGTACCTGGGTAAAGTACGACTGAGTAGGTACATAATATTACTACATGTTGTATCTCTCTAATCCTTTAGATTCCGTCCTAAAGTATTACATGCTTTCCTCTAGACTGAGCATACCAAGGGATTTCTTGCATTCCAACTTTATTTGGCATAGGCCACTGTTGTCTTCAAGAAAATTATGAGAGCTACTCTCTGCCACTCAAGCTATGGCACAGAATCCAGAATATTTGGAGTGTGTACTACATCAATAAATTCAACCCAATCCAATATCCTAACATTTTCTGCCATAGTCTATTATCTCTAGAATTCATTCCCATATATATTATTCAGGTTTGTACTAGCATACATTGGCAAAATTTTAAAATTATTCTCATGCATATGGGGCTTCAGCTAGCTTATGCATTGTTCTTATCCTTCTGGGACTTGCTGAGATTTGAGTCTGTTATAAGTCTAGAAGCTATGAGAGGTGATAAGAGTGGGTCTTGAGAAGGATCATTATTCCCTTTATAACTCAGTTACCTCAGAAGAGTTTAATACAAGTCATTAAGACAAGCAGAGGCGAATGCTCTCAAATAAGAGAGAAAGTACCACTTCTATTTAAAAAATGGCATGGTGGATTTGAGTGTTCACAGTTTTTATTTTCATCAGAATCTGCCCATATACCCCATACCAATTTTCAGAATTTTACTCCTTCCTAATCAAAACTTTAACCTCATCATAAGGGGCTTCACAAGATTTTGAATTTAATTTGTTCACCTGTAGCATCACACTTTGAGCTTGGTTTTCAGAAACGTTGACCCTATCATTAGAGAAGATAAATAATTTATTTAGGATAGTCACAGAAAAGTTCCATGTTTTTTGTTTTTTTACCTGAAAGTTGACCTGGAAATTTGTGGTCCTGATATCATTTTTTTTTACTCCACATTTACTGGCTTACTCAGAAGTAATAAACCAACCTTATAGTATTTACACTCCTTATTTCCACTATAGTATTCTATTGAGTTGGCTATATGATTTTTCAAAGATGTATCTTCAATTAGGCATTTTATTCCAGGTGACTACTGGTAAGTAGCCCCTGAAGACCATAGAATTTCCCATTTGCCACTTGATGTGGCCTGGCTCTGTGTCCCAACCAAATCTCATCTTGAATTGTTATCCCCATGTGTTGAGGGAGCGACCTCATGGGAGGTGATAAGATCATGAGGGCAGTTCTCCCATGCTGTTCTCAGGATAATGAGTGAGTTCTCACAAGATCTGATGGTTTTATAAGGAGCTTTCCCCACTTCACTTTGCACTTCTCTCTCTTGCCACTATGTGAAGAAGGAAGTGTTTGCTTCCCCTTCTGCTATAATTATAAGTTTCCTGAGGCCTCCCAAGTCATATGAAACTGTGAGTCGATTAAACCTCTTCCCTTTATAAATTACCCAGTCTTGAGTATGTCTTTATTAGCAGTGTGAGAACGAACTAATATGCCACTGGACAGAGGACAGTATTATCTTTATATCTAGTCATATCACAGAACAAAATTTAGATTTTTATATTCAAAACTCTCTATTTTTGGAATTAATTCCAGTATCAATAACTGTATCAGTCTAGGTTTGGTCAAAGAAACAAACTAAGCTCTGAATTCTGAACAAAAAATATTTACATAGAACTGGGAGATGGTGGTACTTTTGGAAGAGCTGGGTTGAGTGGGAAAGAGCAAGCATTGGTAAAGATGCTACCAAAAGTTGGCGAGCAGCTGCAGGAAGGTGGAGAAGGTGACAGTGAAAATCTCTTCTGAAGCAGTGGAGTGAGTGCCTTCTACAGGCATGTCAGGAAGCCACTATGAAGCTCATGTCTGCACACACAACTAATCACTCTTGCCTCCCCCCATTTACCATATTCTGGTACATTTACATTTTCCAAGTTTTATGTGATGACAACTTCTAACCTGGACCACATAGGAAACAGGACTCAGGAAACCTAGTTTTGGCTCCAAATGTGTGTGATAATGGTGGTAATGAATTAGCAACAGAAAATCCTGCATAATATAAAAAACTGAAAAACAGAAAATATATTAGAAGTATAAATACGTTATTTGGAAGCAATAGCTAGATGCTGTATATGATTTTCTCAGCAGAGTACAAATGGGAAGTAGAATGGGATGTGGTGAGATGCTACTATATGCCTTATTAGTCTTAACGTTATTTTATCTTTAAAACAATAGGCAAGTATTACTTTAATGTTTAGGGCAATGATGCTAAGGGAATATCATTTTTTTCAGGTAAATTAGAAATTTTTACTATGCAGATTTAAAACATTCCTATGTAGATTTAAAATAATTCTATAACTCTTTAAAATAAATGCAGCATTCTGGTTGGAGCATTCTAGTTTATTTGCTCAAGCTACCTGTTATTCTCAACTAGGCCACAAAGAATCATAATGTTTTCCAATGGCTTGTGGGCTAATACAGGACACATTGTATATTGGGGACGTTATTCTTCTTCTGGTGAAGTCATGACCAGGACGGACAACTCTGACTCCAGGGGTAAAATATCCAGTGCCAGTTTCACCTCTAACATGATATTGCCTGCCTGTTCAGTTGGCTGGATAAAGAAGGATAATTTCTGTTTTCCATGGCAAGTTCTGGACCTTGTTTCACTGAATGTTCCAGCAGGGCTTACACTGTTTGGATGAAGATGAAGTGTTAAATACAACTGTCAGCCTGAGGTTTTGTTGGAAATCATAGCAGTGAGGCCTTGACTTTATATGTAGAAGACACAGAAAGAACTATACGTGAATTTAGTTTAGATTCTTAAATGATAATTGTCACAATTTGAAAAAAAACTTGTGTAAACATTCTTTTGGAAGCGGTAATTTTGGAAAGGAATTTGTTGAGTTTTATTGTTGTTGAAGGCTTGTTTCTACTTATTAACCTAAAGTGGTTCAGTACAGAAATCAGTAGCTTTCCAAAGAAGCAGGATTGCATAATTTATTAAGCATATATGCTGTAAAAGTGCATAGATGCTCTGGGTTCAGGTCCCTGTTCTTTTGCCAGCAAAATTTCCCTCGAATTGTTTGAGTGAATGATTGGTTTCTCCTGCTGTAAAATGAAGTTGATGACACTCCTACCTCATGGTATTGTGGGGAGGATTCAAAGAACTGATAATGCATGTAAATTGCTTAATAAAGTTTCTAGTACATAAAATATTAGCTACGATTATGAATGCGTACAGATTATTTTTCAAAATATATTACACAAAAGCATATTTATACAATGTGAGGGAGTATGTATGTGTGTATCCATGAGACCTTAGGAAATTTAAAATCATGAAATAACAATATTGAGACTCATCTTTTGGAATGCTCTGAGGAGTAGATGAGTAAGGGCACTGTATGTTTGTTGAAAGGAATAAATGAAATCATGTAAATAAAATCTGTTGGTAATCTTTCAGAGATTCTAATACAATGTAAACAGACGTTGCAGAGTTGCAGTTGATAGAATCAATGCAATAGCATTCTATCCTCCTCTGCATGCTTGCAACACCATGAAGAATAGTATTGCAGTCTTGCCCTTGGATGCCTGGGAGAGCTATAGCCTGCAATGGTTTCAGCATCCTTGTGCCAGAATGCACTAATAGAAGAATGCCAGATGCATAGAGAACCTCAAATGCAAGTTACCTCTTATTATTATTATTGTCATTATAATGGGACAAAATATATGAGAACAAGAGCAAATATCAGAGTTCTCTCAGATAAGTTTGTTTTTAATTGTACTAATAAGAATGTGAGACTTGCTCAAGGTGAGAAAAGAGATATTCCCTGAGTCTGTACTAGAATGAAAGACTCCAGGTTCCAAGTTTGTTTCTGCACTCCAAGTTGATATTAACCTACTATATTCATTTACCAGAGTTGCCATAACAAAATATCGTAGACTGGGTGGCTTAAAGAACGGAAATTTATTTTCTCACATTTCTGGAAGCTAGAAGTCCAAGATCAGGGTGCCAGCAGGACTGGTTTCTCCTGAACCTCTCTCCTGGCTTGCAGATTGGCTGTCTTCTTGCTGTGTCCTCACATGACCCCTCCTCTGTGAGCACATCCTTGGTGTCTCAGTCATGTTGACTTAGGCCCCCACCTGTATGACATTATTTAACCTTAATTACCTCTTTAGAAAGCCAAATACAATCACATTGGGGGTTAGTGTTTCAACATATGAATTTTGAGCGAACACAATGCAGTCCATAACCCCTACTTATTACATTATTGTTCTTCCAATATTGTTCTAATGTTGTTCTTTTAGGTTTAAACTTCTGATGGTCATGTTTATATCCAGAACTATGCCTATAGGCACATATATTAAATTTAATCATCTAATCTTGGTACTTAGCATAAGGGGACCAGGCCAATCTGCCAAACAGAATAAACAAAAAATGTTATTTTTAGAACAGTTCAAAATTTTAGTTCTATTGTAAATTATCAGCCTTTTGATTTTTTTAATTGACAGAACTGTGCATATTTATGGTGTACAATGTGTTTTTTTAATACTTATGCATTGTGGAATGGCTAAATCAAATTAATTAGCTAGCATGTTAATTACCTCACATACCATATTAGTTAGTTTTCATGCTGCTGTTAAAGACATACTCTAGACTGGGCAATTTACAAAAGAAACAGGTTTATTGGACTTAACAGTTCCACATGGCTGGGGAGGACTCACAATCATAGTGGAAGGCAAATTGGAACAAGTTACATTTTACATGGATGGTGGAGGGCAAAGAGAGAGAGCTTGTGCAGAGAAACGTCTGTTTTAAAACCATCAGATCTCGTGAGACTCATTCACTATCATGAGAAAAGCATGGGAAAGACCCATGCCCATGATTCAATCATCTCCCACTGGGTCCCTCCCAAAACACATGGGAATTATGGGAGTTACAAGATGAGATTTGGGTGGGGACACAGAGCCAAACCATACCACATATTTATCTTTTTTTTGTGATGAGAACATTTAAATTTTACTCTGTCAGCAAATTTTAAGTATAGAATACATTGCTATTAACTACAGTCATCATAGCAATTGTGAATGGGAATTCATTCATGATTTGGCTCTCTGCATGCCTATTGTTTGTGTATAGAAATGTTTGTGATTTTTGCATATTGATTTTGTATCCTGAGACTGCTGAAGTTGCTTATCAGCTTAAGAAACTTGTGGGCTGAAAAGATGGGATTTTCTACATATAGGGTCATGTCATCTGCAAATAAAGACAATTTGACTTCCTCTCTTCCTATTTGAATACACTTATTACTTTCTCTTGCCTGATTGCCCTGGTCAGAATGTCCAATACTATGCTGAATAGGAGTGGTGAGAGCACTCCTATCGTCTTGTGCCAGTTTTCAAGGGGATTGCTTCCAGCTTTTGCCCATTCAGTATGATATTGGCTGTGAGTCTGTCATAAATGACTCTTGTTATTTTGAGGTATGTTCCTTTAATACCTATTTTATTGAGAGTTTTTAACATGAAGAGATGTTGAATTTTATCAAAGGCCTTTTCCGCGTCTATTGAGATAATCATGTACTTTTTGTCTTTAGTTCTGTTTATGTAATGAATTACGTTTATTTTCAGTATGTTGAACCAGCCTTGAATCCCAGGAATGAAGCTGAGTTGATCATGGTGGAATACAGCTGACAAGGGAAGTGAAGGACCTCTCCAAGGAGATCTGCAAACCACTGCTCAAGGAAATCAGAGAATACACAAGTGAATGGAAAAATATACCATGTTTATGGACAGGAAGAATCAATATTGTGAAAATGGCCATATTGCCCAAAATAATTTATAGATTCAATGCTATTCCCCTTAATTGACATTCCATTGACAGTCTTCACAGAATTAGAAAAAAACTCTTTTAAAATTCATATGGAACCAGAAAAGAGCCTGTATAGCCAAGACAATCCCAAGCAAAAAGAACAAAGCTGGAGGCATCATGCTATCTGACTTCAAACTATACTACAAGGCTAAAGTAACCAAAACAACATAGCACTGGTACAAAAACAGACACATAGACCAATGGAACAGAATAGAACTCAGAAATAAGATCACACATCTACAACCACATGATCTTCTACAAATCTGACATAAACAAGCAATGAGGAAAGGATTCCCTATTTAACAAATGGTGCTGGGAGAACTGGCTAGCCATATTCAGAAAAATTAAAACTGGACCCCTTCCTTACACCTTATATAAAAATTAACTCAAGATGAATTAACAACTTAAATATAAAACCCAAAACTATAAAAACCCTAGAAGGAAACTTAGGCAATACCATTCAGGACATAGGCACAAGCAAAGATTTCATTATGAAAATGCTGAAATCTTGTTGCAATTGCAACAAAACAAAAATTGACAAATGGGATATAATTAAATGAGCTTCTGCACAGCAAAAGAAACTGTCACTAGAGTGAGCAACAACCTACAGAATGGGGGAAACTTTTTGCAATCTATCCATCTGACAAAGGTCTAATATCCAGAATCTACAAGAAATTTAAACAAATTTACAAGAAAAAAGCAAACAACCTCATTAAAAAGTGGGCAAAGGACATGAACAGACATTTCTCAAAAGAAGATATTCATGCAGCCAACAAACATATGCAGAAAAGCTCAACATCACTGAGCATTAGAGAAATTCAAATCAAAACCACAATGAGATACCATCTCACGCCAGTTAGAATGGCAATCATTAAAAAGTCAGGAGACAACAAATGCTGGTGAGGCTGCGGAGAAAAAGGAACACTTTTACACTGTTGGTGGGAATGTAAATTAGATCAACCATTGTGGGAGACAGTGTGGTGATTCCTCAAAAACCTAGAGGCAGAAATACCATTTGTCCCAGCAATGCCATTACTATAATACCCAAAGGAATATAAATCATTCTATATAAAGATACCTGCATGTGTATATGTTCATTGCAGCACTATTCACAATAGCAAAAACATGTAATCAACCCGAATGCCCGTCAATGATAGACTGGGTAAAGAAAATGTGGTAAATATACACCATGGAAAACCATGAAACCATAAAAAGGAACGAGATGATGTCCTTTGCAGGGACATGAGTGGAGCTGGAAGCCATTATCCTCAGCAAACTAATGCAGGAATAGAAAACCAAACACCGCATGTTCTCACTTACAAGTGGGAGCTGAACAATGTGAACACATAGACACAGGGAGGGGAACAACACACACTGGGGCCTGTTGGGAGTAGGGGGTGCAGGGACAGGAAGAGCATCAGGAAAAATAGCTAATGCATGCTGGGCTTAATACCTACGCGATAGGTTGATAAGTGCAGCAAAACATCACAGCACATGTCTACCTATGTAACAAACCTGCACATCCTCCACATGTGCCCTGGAACTTAAAATTAAAAAACAAAACCAAAAAATCCTAGAGTTACTATGGTATACAATAGAGCTCTTGAACTTCTTCCTGCTAACTGAAATTTTGTATCCCTTGACCAGTATCTCCCCAATCCTCCTATCCTCCACCCTCTGGTAACCATCATTCTATTTTCTGCTGCCATGAGCTTGACTTTTTAAGATTTCACATATAAGCGATTTCATGCAGTATTTGTCTTTTTGATTATGTTA
Organism: Homo sapiens; assembly: GCF_000001405.40. Taxonomy (NCBI): domain Eukaryota; kingdom Metazoa; phylum Chordata; class Mammalia; order Primates; family Hominidae; genus Homo; species Homo sapiens. The sequence continues at coordinate 228,908,453 of NC_000002.12, read as the reverse complement.
CTTTAAGTTATGGGATACATGTGCAGAACATGCAGGTTTCTTATATAAGTATAGATGTGCCATGGTGGCTTGCTGCACCTATCAACCTGTAATCTAGGTTTTAAACCCCTTATTCATTAGGTATTTATCCTAATGCTCTCTCTCCCCTTGACCCCATTCCCCAACAGGCCCCAGTGTGTGATGTTCCTCTCTCTGTGTCTATGTGTTCTCATTGTTCAACTCCCACTTATAAGGGAGAACATGCAGTGTTTGGTTTTCTGTTCCTGTGTTAGTTTGCTGAGAATGATGGCTTCCAGCTTCATCCATGTCCCTGAAAGGACAGTATTTGTCTTTTTTTTTTTTTTTTGTCTGGCTTTCACCTAACATTATGTCCACCGGTTTCCTCCATGTTGTTGTAAATGACAGGATTTCCCTCTTTTTTATAGAGCTGAATAGTATTTTATCATGTCTATGCTCCGTGATTTCTTTTTTTTTTTTCTTGAGATGAAGTTTTGCTCTTGTTTCCCAGGCTAGAGCACAATGGCATGATCTCAGCTCACTGTAATCTCCACCTCCTGGGTTCAAGCGATTCTCCTGCCTCAGTCTCCTGAGTAGCTGGGATTACAGGTGCCCACCATCATGCCTGGCTAATTTTCATATATTTAGTAGAGACGGGGTTTCACCATGTTGACCAGGCAGGTCTTGAACTTCTGACCTCAGGTGATCCACCCTCCTCGGCCTCCCAAAGTGCTCGGATTACAGGTGTGAGCCACTGTGCCCGGCCCCACCATAATTTATTTATCTATTTATTCCTTGATAGACACTTAGGTTGATTCCATAGGTTGGCTATTGCAAATACTACTGCAATGAACATGCGAGTGCAGATATCTTTCACACACTAATTTCCTTTGGACATATACCTAGAAATGGAATTGCTAGATCGTATGGTAGTTCTATTTTTAATTTTTAATGAAGCTACATAATGTTTTCCATAATGACTCTACTAATGTATATTCTCACCAAGAGCATACAAGAGTTCCCTTTCCTCCACATCCTCACCAACACCTGTTATTTTATTGTCTTTTTCATAACAGTCACCTTCATAGGCATGACATGCTATCTCATTGTGGTTTTAATTTGCATTTTTCTGATGATTAGAAATGTTGAGAATATTTTCATATATATGTTGGCCATTTTTATGCCTTTCGTTAGGAAAATGTCCATTCAGGTCCTTTGTGCATTTTTTCATTGGGTTATTCTTTTTTTCCTATTGAGATGTTTGAATTCCTTATATATTTTGGATAGTAACTTCTTGTCAGATGCATGTTTTGCAAATATATTCTCCCATACTGTAGATTGTCTCTTCATTCTGTTGAGTGTTTCCTTTGTGGTGCAGAAGCTTTTTAGTCTGATATTACTCCATTTATCTCTTTTCTCTTTTGTTGCATGTGCTTTTGGAGTCAAATCAAAAGTAGCGATCTTTTTGGTACTCAAGTTAGTATACATTACAGGCTAAATGGAAAAAGTCATTAATTATATTCCTTATTATAGAAAGAAGCCTTTATCTGTAGGACAAGGTGGCTCACACCTGTAAATCTCAGCACCTTGGGAGGCTGAGACATGAGGATTGCTTGAGCCCAGGAGTTTGAAATCAGCCTGGGCGATATAGTGAGACCCTGTCTCTACAAATAATTTAAAAATTAGTTGGGCATGGTGACACCCACCCACAGTCCCAGCTACTCAGGAGGCTGAGGAGGGAGAATCCCTTGAGCCCAGGAGTTTGAGGCTTTGGTGACCTATGATCACACCACTGCACTCCAGCCTGGGTGACAGAGCAAAACCCTGTCTCTAAAAAATAAAAAATAAACATGAAAATAAAAAAGTTTTATCTATTCACTAGCAGAGAAAAATGCTTCTACTTGTTTTCTACATTATTCAAGGTTGACTTTTCAAGTAGAGCCTTTATTGCAAAGGGAAAAATCCAGATGACAACACGATCTGCATGCCTCTAGAAGATATAATTGTGCGTAGATATACTGATCATAGAGATAGAGATAAGAATAGAAACAGGGATAGACATGTATATATATATATCTGTGTATAGTATAGATTTATAATTTTTCATGTACAACAAAATATTTTATTCTCATTCATGAACTTACATGAAAGTAAGTCCATCTCTGTTTACAAACTTTTATTCATAATGTAAGATAAGCTACCTACAGAGCCTGCCAAGAGCACAAAAATTGCAAGCTCCCTTAGAAAGAAATACACATGAATGATCTAATTGCTGAGAACCACTTCTGAGAATGAAAGAACCCAGTAAGCATTTTACATATAAATTTAACCTAATCATTTTATATCATTATAAAACATAAACATTTTATGTTACAGGTGAAACGTGTAGAGCTTTTGTGATTTGACCAGAGCTCGTGCTTTTTGGCAGCTAAGCCAGGAACCAGAGGAGGTATCTGGCTCCAAAGGCAGGTGGAGTTCCTTCTTCCACAATGCTTGGCTCTTTTTTGCAGAAATAGAAAATGGAAACCCAGAGGGATGAGTGATTTCATTTAAATTAAACTAATAAGGAAGTGCCAGAATGCTTGACATTCACTGAATGAGATAGAATTAATTCTCCATACAGACTGCTCAGCTCTCAGCACGGCTGTTGATGGTTAACTACTATGATGAAAATGATAAGATATTTTCTAATAAAATAAAAATTGTTTGCATTTACCATATACACATCTCTAGCAAGCTCATGGCCACTCCTTGGAGGGTGGGAATATCTGAGGACCCCCCTTGGGGGTTTGGAACTATCAGGGAGAGAGCCTAGTGGATCAGTGTGAACCTAGTGAAGGCCACAGTAAAATGTTAGGTCTGGGAATCAATTGTTCTTGATGAACTGTAAATTGTAAAGGTTGCAGTCATTGTGTAGCCAGCAAGCAAGTGGCCACTCAGGTAAGTGGGGGAACACATGTGACCATTGCTTATAATGAGCTTCTTTATGTTGGCTCGAGTTGGATTCCATCTAAGCTATAAATCAACCCTTCTCTTTCACATCATCCAAATCCATTCCATTGAAAATGAGACTCTGGCAGTGATTAGTAATTTCTGAAGCTGGAAATGCTGTCTTGATTTGGCTATGGTTGGAAACTCTGAACATTTTCTTTTCTTATATAGAGCTGCCAGTTGGTACAGTTTTCCATTTCTCCTTAGATTCATCTCATGCCACTATAGTGTAAAATCAAAACCATAATTAAGTTCTGAAATCCCATACAATTTAGTGCCATTGATGCTGATTTCTTTAAATCAGAGAAGACAGATCTCTATTGCCTCCATGGACAATGAGAGGGAAGGAAGAACACTCGAGAAATGTTGATCATTTAAAGATACGTTTCAGCCCTTGGGTTTAACTTTCCACAGTAAAACATTACTCAAAAATGCAGTTTCTGTTTTCTTCCCCCCCGGTCCCCCTGCCACCATCTCTCTAAGCCACTAGCTCTCTGGTGAAAGTGCTTTGAGATTGTCTCAAGACTGTTAATAGCTGGAAGAAGAGTTCTAGATCAGCTGAAGATGAGGAGAAGTGCGCATCCACACAGCACCAGTCAGGCTCAAAACGGATGCAACTTCACCAACTCTACTGCTGTTTACTCCTCTGTACAAGCCAAGTAGTGTTTAAATATAAATGTAATGCCACCATTTTATTTATTATTTAGACAAAAGAAACCCTGATGAGATACTTCTAAGCCTGCACAGGAGTTTGATAGCAATCCTTGCTTCAGAATAAAATTAGGATAAAAAACTTCCTAGAATAACTTAAAAGTCTCAACTAACCTCCAGCAACAGGTTTCTACCACAAGACAGATGTTTCTATGAGGAACACTGATTTGATTAAGTGTTCCACAATAGAGAACCTTATTTAGCAGTACCATCTGCAGCCATAATTAGTTTGAACTCATGAAGAGTTTGACAGGAGATACATTAATTTCTGGGAAAAGAGGACTTCCTTATTTTGCATGGATGAAGGCACAGAAATTTAATGAAAAGGCATTCACAGAAATTCTGAGGGAGCTTGTTGAGAGCTTTTAAAGGTCAACATAAGAAGGGGAAAAAACTGGAACATTAACTTTGGGCTGAGAGTCGAGTTAGTGAGGCAGCTGACTGACTTAACACTTCTTCTAACATAATTTCTTTTCCAATTGGAACAAAAATGGATGTTGTCCATGCAAGCCCAGAAACTAGAGCTGCCCTCCTTCTTGGACACTGACACCTGGGTCCCCAAGATGCAGACAGCTGAGCAGTGCTTCAGAGAACAGCTGACACAGACTGGCTGGGTATCCAGCACTTCTCAGATATTAATCACCCAGGATCTTGTAAAAAGGGAGATTCTGATTGTTCGGCAGTGAGGTGGGGCTAGAGTATGCATTTCTAACAAGGTGATGCTGGTCCCTACTTCGGTTAGGAATCTAGACTCTTAGAGGTAGAAGAACCTGGAGTCTCATCCACACTTCTCCTACCCAGCTCCCACATCAACAAAAAGTAGGCAAGAGGGCACTTTTCCCTTTCGTCACCATCCTTCTCCCCATTGTGCCTTTCCTGCCTTGGCCTCACTGGATGTCTGTGCTATCCTGGGATGGAAGAGGCAGGGCAACATGAAAGGATCACAGTGGTGATTTGTCCAAGGCCTAAAACAATCCTCTGTTGGAATTGTCACAGCCCATCTCTTATTCCTTAGAAAGCAGAAAACAAAATGTGGCTTTTATGTGTCTGGAGACATTAAATTTTGGTTCTTGGGTTGAATCTCACATGACAGAAATCACTAGGACAACACTGGCAACCACTCCTAGGAGAAATGTTTGTTCTTCTTTCAATATAAGGCAATGAATTTGATATCTGTTGTTAAAGTAAATAATTGCATTACGGGGGACATAACTTCCTTTGTTTTTCTTTAAATAATGGCTGAACTTATTATCTAAGATGTTTATGTACTACAAACTGTTTATGTAGTTGACTTTCTATTGAACTGAAATTCACAAGATCTGGCTTTTGTTCTTTGCTCAGTCTAGCATTTACTATGTGAACTGGGGGCAAAACATTGAAATTTCTGGGGCCCTGTTTCCCTGTTTTACAGTGTGGAGATTCATTACTTAGGTGCCTTCTGAAGATACAATTCTAGAGTCTTAAGCTAATAGTGATTGAGGAGTTAATTAATATTGAGTAAATTTTAATTCTGCTAGTATTGTATATTTTGGAAAATTACTTAGCTTTTGGCTCATTTGGTTTCCACATCCATGCCAAAAGCTTAATTAGCAGCGTATGTAGCTCAATGTAAGGACAGTTAATTCTAGTCTTATTTCTTGACAATTTCATTCTTAGTATGTCAGAATTCTTCATTTTGGGGAGAAATGTGCAAAGGTAGAAATTACATAGTGCAGTCATCTCTGTTAAGAACTTTTATCTTTTTAAAAAACATCAGCTTTATTGAGATATAATTTACATACCATACCATCATACTATTTGCCTTTTTAAAGTATATCATTCAATATTTTAAAGTATATTTACAGGGTTGTACAACTATCATCACACTCAATATGAGAATATTCCATCACCTCCAAGCCCTCTACCCATTAGCAGTCACTTCCCCTGAATTCTCCCCATCTCTACCCCTAGAAAACCACTAATCTCCTTTCTGTGTCTATAGATTTGCCTGCTCTAGACATTTCATGTAAATGGTGTTATACAGTATTTGATCTTTCATGACTGCCTTCTTTCCCTTACCATGATGTTTTTAATGTTCATCCATGTTGTAGCATCTACCCGTACTTCATTCCTTTTTATTGCAAAATAACATTTCATTATATGAACGTATCACGTTTTAGTTATCCATTTATCCATTGATGGACAATGAGGTTGTTTCCACTTTTGATTATTATAAATAGTGCTGTTATGAACTGAATATAAATGTTTTTGTGTGGACATGTTTTTAGTTCTCTTGGATAGATACCTAGGAGTGAAATTTCTGAGTCATATCTTAACTCTATGTTTAATCGTTCAAGAAACTCTCAGATTGTTTGCCAAAGCAGCTGCCCTACATCATACACTCAGTGTATGATGGATTCACGTTCACTGCATCCCTGCCAACACTTGTTATTGTGTCTTTCTAGTAATATCATTCTAGTGAGTACGAAGTGTTATCTCACTGTACTTTTGATGAGCACTTCCCTGATGGCTAATGATGTTGAGAATATTCTCATGTGGTTATTGGCCATTTTTATATCTTGTTTAGAGTGATGTTTATTCAAATTTGTACCCATTTTCAAATCAGTAAACATTTGCCTGTCTATGATTGAGTTGTAAGGATTCTTTGTATTTTCTAGATATGTTATCAGATACACAAATTGCAAATAATTTCTCCTGGATTGGATTTTTTTTTCACTTTCTTGATGATGTCCTTTGAAACACAAAAGTTTTTAATTTTGAAGTCCAAGTTATCTATTTTTCCTTTTGTTGCTTGTGCTTTTGATGCCATATCTAAGAAACTACCTCAACAAGATTTATACCTATGATGAACTCCTACTCTTGATAGAAACACTTAAAAAATCTAAAGAGTTCAGAGTTCCAGACACTGGTATACCAAGCACACAGTTGATAAACAGTGTAGTGCAATTTTGACGGTGGGACAGCAGCACTCACTTGGGGAATTTTCATATCCATAGGCCATATGACACTTGGTCCATTCCTGTGGTCACATCATTATGCTAGATTGCAAAAAGACATTAAAGACATAAGGGCTTAATTATTTGGGGAAAATCTTGTCTCTAAAGGAGTATAAGTCAGCTGGAAAACATGCTGAGCTCAAATTCATAAAGTAGGGACCTTGTGTGTTATTTCTTTGTGACTGTTCCATACAGAACAACTTTATAACAGTCCTTAATACTTACTGAATATTTTAAAGAAGTCAATTAACTGTTGAACAGCTTGGTGTTCATTTAATCCTGTACCCCCTCTTGAAATCTCTTAGACTTCTGTAAAGTGATACCTATTAATTCAGATTACCAGCATTCTGTCTTATGGTGGTTTCTATTACCTGGCTCAAATGAAAACTTAAAATAAAAATCAAAGTTACTTTCTATCTTTTAAGCATTTAAAGCTCTTCTGCCTGGTTGCAAATGTATGCTTTCGTACCCTCTGAGCCAAAAATGGATTTTCTTTACTATAAAAATGTTATCATAATAACCTTAGAGAAGAAAATGAAATATTCCCTTATTTACTACCTTAATGAAATGTTTCATTTTGCACATTCCTTTCCACATTTTGCTTCATACATATGTAGCTTTACACATAACCTCAATATTATTTTCAAACAGTATTTTAGAATATGCCTTTCCAACATTCTAGTGCATGGAAAGGCTTACATCTACATGTATAAGAGGATTCCAGATTTGCAAAGTAACTTTGCTCAAGGCAACAATATCCTATATTTAAAAAATCTAAAGTGTTCAGAGTTCCAGACACTGGAATACCAAGCACACAGTTGATAAATAGTGTAGCGCAATTTTGTGCTTTTTTTTTTTTTTGAGATAGATTCAAAGTGGAAAATGCATCTGATGACTGCATTTTCCCTTGGGGTTGCATGATTTTACACACCTTTAGGCTGTTAACTCTGCCTTCACACTCATCTTTCTGCCCTCCTGCCCATTCACAAACAGAGAGTGTCCTGGCCACATCCTTTTGGGCTATGTGATTTGGCTTCTGGGTACTTCTTAGGTTTCTTCCCATACCCCTCTCCACCTGCTAGATCTGATCTGGACACAATGGCCTTGATTGTTCTCTTAGAGCTTTCCATTCACTGACCCTTCCATTAGGGACACTCTGTGCCTGGACCTTGCACATTTGGCTTCTTCTTAAACTTAATGGCTCAGCCAAATGCCACTTCAGGGAGAACTTCGCTGATCACCCTGATTGAAATTTCCTCTCCCTCCTCCTGCCACATCACATTACTCCATCTTATTTTCTTCTTAGAGCTGACTATAGTCTATGAGAATCTGTAGTGTAAAATTGATATGTTCACAGATTATTTGTTCGTTTTCTGTTTCCCCTCTGCTGACAAATGGATACCTCATGAAGCAGGAATTCTGTCTTTTTCTCCATTATAAACTGGACTTATTACCACACATGGCACAATAGGCATTCCATAAATGTTTACTGAATAAATGAAGAAATAAAATTTTATAAATAAGCAAAGCATTTTTTTTCCACACTAGTGTCCTTTCTTCCTCGCTTTCTATTCTGAGCTGAATGGGAGCAGAATATTTCTATTTTTACATTTTTGATAGTTATGAGAAAACATCAAAAAAATAAAGCACTGAAAATACATAGATGGCAAAAATTATTATAGATAAGATTACATGCATAATTTCTTTGCAGAAAAGCTCTGGTATTAAACAAAACTGAAGAACATTTCCCTGACAAACATTTTTTCAATGACTTTAATCATTCAATACTACAGCATAATAACAACTTCCTTGATTGATGGATAGTGTGCCCCAATACTGCTTGTGATAAATATAATATAATATAATTAATGTAATATCATATTCTGTTTTGATATCACTTGGTGCATTTCTGACTGTATTTAAGCTTAGAGAAAATTTGCTAGTGGTAAGGAGGAAAAAGAAGAGTCTCTTGTACTTTGATTGTAAACTGGACAACATAAATGGATGAAGATGAATTCTGACTGGGTTTATAAGAAACTGAAGTTCTAAGGGTAAAGTTAGATGGCTATTGTCTCTGAAAACTTTAGGTGAAGAACCTCTTTTTTTTGAGGTTGGGTATCCTGAAAAACTGAATTGTCACTTCTGTGCTTAATTAAACCTGAAACTGCAAAGATAAAAATGTGTTGTCATCCTAGATCAACTAAATCTGTCAGAAAAAAAGTACAAAATAAATAAAAAATGGAAGAAAATGTCTGGCCTGATCAAATAAACTGAAAAAAGAAGAGCTGGAAGTAAAATGATTTTTCTTCAAAGAATGGGCTCCCTTTTTTTCTCCAATGGGGACACAATTGCCCTTTGAACAAAGTAATCATCTGGGCATTCACCTCAGGCGTCTCTTCTAGCACAGAATATTATTCCCTTATGCTCCTCTAAAGCATTTCCCCCTGTTCTATTCAGTTTCTTACCTGGGATGAGGAACACATTCTGCAAGTGTCCGTTTCATCTATAATATCAAAGCAGGGAAACCTTTGCAACAGGAAACACCCTGCTGAGATCGAATAATAAAGTTGCAAATTATAGGTTTGGATGCTAGGCCCTGTCTCTCAGCCTTTGTGAATCTCCACCTTTATCAAGGTGGCAGCTGGGGATCATGTAACAATTTAACTGGATGTGAGAGGGCTGGAGAGAGCTGTGAAAGGCCAGAGGAGAGAAAGGTGTACCATCATGAGGACACATAGAGTAGAGAAGGTATAACACTGGGAGACAGCATAGAGGGGAGAAGGGTGTGCCAACAGGAGGCGACAAAAAGGGGAGAAGATGTATCATTAAGAGGCAACATGGAGAGGCGAAGGTTTACAATCAAGAGGCAACACAGAGGAAAGAAGGTGTGACATCAAGAGCCAACATAAAGGGGAGAGGGTGTGTCAAGAAGAGGCAATATAGAGGGGAAGAAGGTATGTCATAAAGAGGCAATATGGAGGGGAGAATTTGTGCCATCAAGATAAAACATGGTGGGGAGAGGATGTGACAATCAAGAAGAAGCACAGAGAGGAGAGGGTGTGCCATCAAGACTCAACACAGAGGAGAAAGTGTGGACCACCAAGAGGTAACATGGAGGGCAGAAGGGTGTGCCATCGAGAGACAACCTGGAGTGGAGAGGGTGTAACATCAAGAAGCAACATTTAAAAAAAAAGAAAAGTGTACCATCAAGAAACAACAGGGAAAGAAGTAGTGCATACCTTAAAGAGGCAACATAAAGGCAAAAGAGTGTGTCAACAAGAGACAACATAGAAAAGAAAAGGGTGTACCGTCAAGAGGCAACATGAAGGGGAGAATGGTGTGCCAACAAGAGGGAACATGGAGGGGAGAGAGTAGATCGTCACGAGGTAATTAGGAAGGGAGAAGTGTGTGCCATTAACAGGCAACATGGAGGTGAGGGTGAGTACCATCCAGAGGCAACATAGAGAAGTGTGTACCACTAGAGGCAACTTAGAGGAGAGCTGGTGTACCACGAGAGACAAGATGAAAGGGAGAAGTTTGTACCATCAAGAGGAAACATGGAGAGAGGAGAGCATACCATCAGGAGGCAACATGGAAAAGAGTGACTGTACCATCACGAGGAACATGGATGGGAAAAGATGCACCATCAAGAGGCAAGATGGAAGGGAAAAGGATCTACCATTGAGAGATAACACGGAGGGGACATTGTGTACCATCAAGAGATAACATGGAGCAGAGCAGATGTGCCATCATCAAGAGGCATAATGGAGGAGAAAAGGATGTTCCATCAAGAGGCAACATAGAAGGGAGAAGGCTGTATCATCAATAGGCACCATAGAAGGCAGAAGAGGGTACCATCAAGAGGCAACACCAAGAATAGAAGGGTGTTTCATCGACATGAAGGGGAAAAGGTGCAACATTAAGAGACAATACAGAGGGGAGAGGGTGTACCATCGAGAGGCAACATGGGAAGAGAAGTTGTGCCATCAAGAGGCAACAGGGAGGGAAAAAGGTGTACCATCAAGAGGCAACACGGAGGAGATAGGGTGTATCATTAAGAAGAACGTGGAGAGAGGAACATGTAACATCAAGATGCAACACAGAGGGAAGAAAGATGTACCATAAAGAGGCAACACGGAGGGGAGAAAAGTGTTGCATTAAGAGATAACATGGACTGCAGAGGGTGTGCCATCCTGTGGCAACATAGTGAGAAGAAGGGTTTATCATCAACAGGCAAGACGGAGAGGAGAAGGGTATGCCATCAAGAGGCAACAAAGCAAAGAGAACATGGCTTAAATAGGCAACTGGCAAGGGAGAGGGTATACCAACAAGAGGCAACACAGAGAAAAGTATACCACCAAGAGACAACAGGGAGGGGATAGTGTGTGCCGTGAAGAGGCAACATGGAGTGGGGGATGTTGTGGCATCATTAATAGGAAACATGGTGGAGAGAGGTTGTGTAATCAAGAGGAAATATGGTGGGGAGAGATTGCGTTATCAAGAGGCAATGAGGAAGGGAAAAGTGTGTACCATTAGGAGGTGTATTCATCCATTCTCACACTGCTATAAAGACATATCCAAGACTGGGTAATTTATAAAGGAAAGGGTTTTAATTGACTTAGTTCTGCATGGCTGGGGAGGCCTCAGGAAACTTACAATCATGGTGGAGGGTGAGAGAGAAGCAAAGGCCTGTCTTACATGGTGGCAGGCGAGAGAGAGTGGTGAGCAAAGCAGGGAGAGCCCCTTATAAAGTGCCATCAGATCTCATGAGAACTCACTCAGTATCATGAGAACAGCATGGGGGAAACTGCCCCCATGATCCAATCACCTCCTACCAGGCCTCTCCCTTGACAAGTGGGGATTACAATTCTAGAAGAGATTTGGATAGGGACACAAAGCCAAACCATATCAGGAGGCAACATAGACGGGAAAGGGTTGCACATCTAGAGGCAACAAAAGGGGAGATTGTATAACATAAAGAGAGGCAACATAGTAGAAGAGTGTATCATAAACAGGCAACATGGAGGAAAGAAGGATGTGCTATTAAGAGGCCGCCTGGAGGGGAGAAGGGTGTCCATCAGGAGCCAATATGAAGGAGGGGGTGTATGATCAAGAGTCAGCATGGAGGCAAGAGATTGTGCCATTAGAGACAACATGGAGGTGAGAAGGGCCTACCACGAGTAGGCAACATGAAAGAGACAAAGTTGTATCATCAAGAGGCAACATGGAGAGGATAAGGTGTACCATCAAGGAGGCAAAAAAGAGAGGAAAGCATTTACTATCAAGAGGCAATATGGAGGTTAGAGGGCGTACCAACAAGAGGCAACATGGAGAAGAGAAGGGTGTGCCATCAAGAGGCAACTGGGAAATGAAGGAATGGCGTAATCAGGCAACAGGCAAAGAGATTGTACCATTAAGAGGCAACATGGAGAAGAGAAGGTTATACCACCAAGAGGCAACCAAGAGGGAATAGTGTGTGCCACAAAGAGGTGACACAGAGCGGGGAATGTTGTGGCATCAACAGGCAACATGAAGAGGAGAGTTGATGTCATTATGAGGCAATATAGAGGGAAGAGGTGTGTACCCTCAAGAGGCTACATGAAGATGAGAGGGTTGTATCAAGAGAGGCTACAAGAAAGAGAGAAGGGTGTTCCAAGAAGAGTTAACATATAGGAGTGAGGGTGTGCCATCAAGAGGAACCATGGAGGGGAGAATTTATACCACCAAAAGGCAACACAGAGGGGAGTAGGTGTACCACCAAAAGGGAACACAAAAGGAAGAGAGTATGCCACAAGAGGCAACATGGAGCAGAGAGGGTGTGCCACGAAGAGGCAATGTGGAGGGGAGAATCGTGTGCCATCAAGAGGAAAAATGGAAGGGGGAAGATATGCCATCAGGAAGCAAAAGGGAGAAGGAAGATTGTACCGTTAGAGACAACATAAAGATGAGAAGAGTGTACCATGAATAGGCAACATGGAAGGGAGAAGGGCATATCATCAAGAGGCAAGATGGAGGAGATGATGTGTACAATCAAGAGACAACATAGACAGAAGAGGTTTTGACATCAAAAGGCAACATGAGATAGAGCGTGTGCCATCAAGAAGCAACCTGGAAGGGAGAAAGGTGTCCCAATTAAAAAAAAAAAAGAAACATAGAAGGAAGAAGAGTGTGCCATCAAGAGGTAACATGTGGGGGAGAGGGCATGTCATAAAGAGGCAACAAGGAAAGGAAAGGGTTCCCACCTGGAAACAACACAGAAAAGCGAGGGGGTGTGAGATAAAGAGGAAACATGGAAAGGAAAAGGCCATGCAGAGGCAAGAAAGAGATGAGAGGGTGTTCCATGACAAGGCAAGGCAAAGGGTAGAATGTGTACCCTCAAGAAGCAATACGGATGAAAGAGGGCATGCCAATGAGAGACAACATGGAGGGGAGAAGTTTTACCATGAAGAAGCAACATGGAGGGTGAACCATCAAGAGACAACAGGAAGAAAACAGTATGTGCCAACAAGAGGTAATGGGAGGGGAAGAGTGTGTGCCATCAAGAGGCAACATGAAATACAGAGGGTGTGCCACTGAGGGGCAACATGGAGGGTAGAGGGTGTGACATCAATAGGAAACATGAAGGAGAAAAGGGTGTACCATCAGAAGGCACCAAGGAGGAGAGATTCTGTGCCATCAGAGGCAACACACAAGGGAAAAGGGTGTAGTATCAAAAGAAAACATTGAGGGGAGAAGGGTACACCTCAATGTACCCTTAGCAATAGGAAGCGAAGAGAGTCTACCATCAGGAGGCAACATGGAGAAGACAGGCTGTGCCATGAAGAGTCAACACGGAGCAGAGAGGGTGTATCATTAAAAGACCACACAAAAGGTAGAAGTATGTATCATGAAGAGGCAACAGGAGGGGAAAGATGAAGGGTGTATCACCAAGAGGCAACATGGTGAGAAGAAGGGTGAGAAACCAGGAGGCAATACGGAAGAAAGAATGGTTTGCATCCACATGGAGAGTGTACCATTTAGAGGTAACAGGGAGAGGAGAGGGTGTGCCATCAAGAGGCAACATGGAGGTGTTTCAAACCTATGCATCTTGTTATAAATATATCTTTGCTCACATGAATTTTACTTGTAAATTAGCATGCATGGTAGGAATGTAACAAGAGAGAAAATGGAAGAAGAATAAGGGAGAGGCCGGGCGCGGTGGCTCACGCCTGTAATCCCAGCACTTTGGGAGGCCGAGGCGGGCGGATCACGAGGTCAGGAGATCGAGACCATCCCGGCTAAAACGGTGAAACCCCGTCTCTACTAAAAATACAAAAAATTAGCCGGGCGTAGTGGCGGGCGCCTGTAGTCCCAGCTACTCGGGAGGCTGAGGCAGGAGAATGGCGTGAACCCGGGAGGCGGAGCTTGCAGTGAGCCGAGATCCCGCCACTGCACTCCAGCCTGGGCGACAGAGCGAGACTCCGTCTCAAAAAAAAAAAAAAAAAAAAAAAAAGAAGAATAAGGGAGAATAAGAAAGAGCTATGATGTGGGCATTGGAAGACTGAAATATTCCATTTTTATAAGAGTCATTTATTTACAAACCTGTGTATGATCACAGGGGCATAGTTATGAAATAGCATAGTTATGTCACAGTTATGACCCTAAAATTCTGTATATTAGCGTAAATCTTAAAATACAATAATAATAATTAACTTTATGAATTGTTCATTATATAACAAATACTATTTTAATTGATTAACTTGTATCATGCAATTTTTTCCTCAAAATCTCCTTATCAAGTATGACTTACTATTATCTTCATTTTCTAGATGAGTACAGTGAGTCTGGAGTAGATGATGAATTTACTCAAAGAAGTCTCTGGAAAGAGACTGTTGCAGCTATGAGTCTATTAGAAGATATAAAACATTTTTATATGCAAGAAATTTAACATTGATGAAGTAATACTATATAGTATACAGGCCATCTAGACAAGAGGTGAATTCTGGGGACTGAGTAAAATAATCCTTTAAATTGGTTAGGCATTACATTTCTTTTTCTGTCTTGTTTGGCTATATTATAAAGGGTTGTTTCTTAAAATGCATCTAAATGGAAAAAGTACTTATCTAGTTTTTTTTTTCTTTCTTTATTGGTCGGGGGAAGAATTATGCTTGTTAAAAAAAAAATAGGCACTAAGAATAACCAGTGCCTGGTCACATTCATTCAAGAGAAAATTGAATAGCTCTTCCTTGTAGGGAGAAAAACATCAGCACCATCAGCAGAATTTTCCTAGTGGTCCTAATCCAGTGACCTTGAGGAATAAGTGATTCATACATTCATTTATTCATCAAATAATGTTTGGACAACTATTATTTATTAGACCCTCTGCTAAGTAGTAGGAATAAAGTGATGAATAAGATAATAGATATTGTCATAGTCCATTTCCTTAAAGAGCTCCGTTCCCTGAGGTGGTAGACTTGAAAGGAGAGAATAACACTATATGCTGGCAGGTGTTGTCAAGGATATGCTATGGGAAATTGAAAGGAGATTGATGAACATTTGACTTTACCAAGAGAGTCAGGGTGGGAGTGAGAGGCAGAGGGCATTTCAGACAGTCAACACGGGGTGGGGAAAAAGTTTGAAGATAAACCAAGTAAAATGACTAAATGTTGATTAGAAAGAGCTCAGGGTGGGTTTGGAGGTGACTCATCCATTCCTGACATTAAAGATGACATTATGGAGCCTCATCTATAAATACGTTTTTATATCACAAACTCTATTTAAGACATATTTCCTTCCAATATTCTCTATCACACAAAGAAACCCTAAAACAAAAAACAAAAACAAAAACAGAAACTAGAAACAACCTGTAACAGCTCCTTCTCTTCCCCATATACCCTTTGGCTATTATATGCTGCATTCAGCAAGGGCTTACTATGAATCAGGCACAGTGCTAGACACTCTCATTCATTATTGTATGTATCTTTGGAAAACCTCTTTGGGGTGGTTTCATTGTGATGACTGTCTCACCAATGATGAGAAGATAAATGTTCAAAGATGCCTAGTTAATAAATGGGACAACTGGCACTCACAACTACATCTCTTTTATGCTGAAGCCTGTGTTCTAAAATCCACGCTTTTCTGCCCCCATTAAGAGGATAAGCCTTTTGTGATGTCTTCCTCTTTCAGTCTATCTTTGTGAAAATGCAAATAGCTGATTATTATAGGTGAACAATTTCACAGCTGAATGGACAGCCTGAGTGTTGATGCCTGAGGAGAGCAACAGATTCTCTTCTTTTAATAATAAACATGGTGATTATTTGCACCCAATTTTACCTGGCTAAAATATGAGAAGGTGATCCACAGTGTAAATATCTTTGCACAGCACACTCCCATTGAGGAAGAAGGGTCTTAGTGCCCACCAGTCCTCTTCTCCAACAAGCAGACACAACATGACAATTCTCGTCTTATGTTACATGCCCAGTGTTCTTCATTATCTGATAGATATCTTCTATTATTCTTTTATGGAAAAATATAGATAGGTAGATGCAGATATATTTTCTATTATTTTATAGTATCTTCTATTAATTGATAGATTTATGTCAGAGATTCAAATAGGAATGATTCTCTTACTTTTTGCAATTCAAAACCTCAAAAAATATTAAGGGTTTGAGGTCAGAAAATTAGCACAGAAAAAAAAATCTATTATAAAGATACATGCAGACGTATGTTCATTGCAGCACTATTCACAATAGCAAAGACATGGAATCAACCTAAATGCCCATCAGTGATAGACTGGATAAAGAAAATGTGGTACATATGCACCATAGAATACTATGTAGCCATAAAAAACAATGAGGTCATGTCCTTTGCAGGGACATGGATGGAGCTGGAGGCCATTATCCTTAGCAAACTAACACAAGAACAGAAAACCAAATACCACATGTTCTCACTTATAAGTGGGAGCTAAATGATGAGAACACATGGACACAAAGAGGGGAACAACATAAACTGGGGTATTTTGGAGGGTGGGAAGTGGGAGGAGTGAGAGGATCAGGAAAAACAACTAATGAGTACTAGGCTTAATACCTGGGTGATGAAATAATCTGTACGACAAACCCTCATGACACATGTTTATCCATGTAACAAACCTGCACTTGTACCTCTGAACTTAAACAAGCTAAAAGAAAAAGGATATTTGATGTCTGGTTCCAGATCTTCAATTAACTAGCTCTGTAATACTACGTGATCTTTTAGAACATCCGTCTCCAAATCTATGATGTGGAAAATGCACAATTTCAAAAATCTTTTCCATGTCCAGAATACTGTAACTCTGAGGATTAGGTGGTTTCCATTCCCATGCTGGGGAAATGTAACTCATAAGCTTTTTTGTATAATAGTTCTAGTCAACCAGCTGTTCACTCCCTTCTTCAAGCTTGGCCAGAGTGGAATGAGTTGCTAGTCTCATAAATGCCCGAAAGAAGGAGAAACAAGACAGATGAGTTTTGATGAGTAAGAACTGAGCTAAATAATCCACAGTCTAAGTGGGTTCTGGAGCAAGTGTTCTGGTGGTCAAGAGGCAGAATGAGGACAATGGGGAAATAATTAATTTCTGCATTTAATGACTCTGTGTCAGGCTGATCCTAAAGTGTCTATGGAGAAAATTGCAGTGCTTCCTTGAATAGCCAGATAGGCAATAACTGGATGTATTTATGCACCTATGGAGATATAAGAAAATAAAAGGAAAATTCAATTTATTTGAAATAGTTAAGGCTCTCATTTTATGAAAGGGAGGAAAAGAAGGTATCCTTAGGTGTCCCAGTCATATCCCAAAGAGAGGGGTATTTATTATGAGTCAAGGCAGAATTTTCTATGTTTAGACTTTGGGGGGAAAAAGCAATGTATAGATGAGCCTACTTTCTGTCATGGTGATATATATTACAAATTGCAAAAGTTGATGGGAGCAGTTATATAGAAGTTATAATTGACTTGAGCCAGTCAACATAAAGCTCCAGCTTCTACTTCCACCTATATAATTACTTGATAAATTTCAGGCTCCTTGCACAGTCTTAGGGCCATAAACAAGTATTGAATGCAGTCTCATTCACAGCAGAGCCCACAAACTGGGTTTATCTCCCCTGCGTAAAAAATGTTAAGTGTGTTTTCTTGGTACATACAAAGGCATAATTTAGCAGCCGGAGAATGCATAAAACTCATGCTACTGGCAGATGCTTAAGCAATTCACAAATAGTATCACAAATCCTTCATTACACTTCAGCCTTTGCATTAAGACAGGATCTTGTTATTTTGCAATGTTTTTAGAAAGAGATTACCATTTCCAAGTTAAGCTTTAAGGAGTATATTGGTCGATCATTTGGATTAGAGTTCACATTCAGGGAAATGAGAATTACTATGTTACAGACACTAGAGAAAAACAAAAAGCATTGGTAAAACTAGCAAATTGCACATTACCATAGGTAAATGATTTCACTCAGTTGAATGGACAGCCTGAGTGTCGATGCTTTGTGAGAGCAATAAATTCTCCCTTTCCATTTTATAGAACGCCTTGGTAAACAGGCATTTAAAATTGTGTATTTGTATATGCCAGCTATAAGTATTTAATCTCTTTCTTCGATATTATTTGAGGTTTACAGCATAGGAAATAACATCAAAATGAATATTATAGAGACAGAAAGTGATAATGGAAAAGGAAACTTCAAATGTGTCAACCTAAGAATTAAAGGAATTAGTGTGATCAATTTCCAGTTGGTCACTGAGATTTTTGGTTGGGCACAAGTGTTTACTCACTGTCTACTCTAGACCCAGCTCTGTGTGGGCTGTGTCTGGAGGGCGCTGGGGAAAAGGAAAGTTACAATGCTGCTAACAGTCTTTTGGCTGAAGCTTTCTTGTGTTGCCTATGTACAAAGAGTCAGCCATTTCACTCTTTATAAGCACTTCCATTACAAAGTGAGTGAGTGTTTACAGTAAACCATATACTGCACTAAGCACTAAACGTGTTATTCTGGAAAGAAGATTAATTCATTTTCCTCATTAGGTAATATATGACATGGCACAACATTCAAAAGACACAAAGTGGTATGCAGTGAAATTTCTCCCTTGCTACCATGTGCCTCAGCTACCCAGTTATTTCCACAAGTACCAGTTTCTTAAGTACACTTTCAGGGATAATCTATGTATATGCAAATATATACAAATGTGTGTATATCATCCTTTAATTAGTAAATTACTGTTTAGTTATTATTGGTGGGATTCTGTACACTTATTCCTCACCTTGCCTTTTTCATTGAATTTACATCCTGAAAGTGTCCCATATCAGTACCTGGAAAACTGCTTCATTCTCATTATGATGCTCATTATTATACTATGGTGAGACAGCACCGTATCGTGGTCAATTCTATGATCTTGGAATCAGATTCCCCTGGGTTTTAATACTAATCTTGGCATTTACTATCTGTTTCATCTTCAACATGCTGCTGAACTTTGTGACTCATATGTACATGGGATAATAGTACTATCGTTGGGAAACTGTGTGAGATAATACATGTAAAGCACTTAGGATGCTGTATGGTATGACCAACCACTAGATATGTGTTTGCTGTCTTCATGGTAATTTTTATATTAAATTGATGCAATGAAATTAATTCAACTATGTTCCCACTATTAGATGTATAAGATTTTCAACTCCATTGCAATTACTATATTGTAATCAATATCCTTGTATGTCCATTACCACTGGCACTTGCATGTGGATATCTGTGGAATGGATTTGACTTGGATTTACACACTCAAAAATGTAAAATTTTAGTTTTAATAAGAAATTTTATACTTCACACAACTAGGTACCAATGGTTCATAATAATTCACCTCCACTAACAGTATACGAAAGTACCTACTCCTTCGATTGCAGCCAACATACAGTTTTATCTTTTTTTTATCTATTACATACACTTTTATCTTTCAAAACCACTATCTCATTGTAATCTTAATATCCTCTTAAAAAATTAAAAGGGATCCTGGTAGAGTTCCATTTCCACTAGTAGTAGCATAGCTCATATCAGACCAAGCTTTCCATAGATGGCAATAATAAACTCTGGGCAAAATAATTAGACAATCTGTAGAAACATTGTTACTATCTGTATGTCCTGGAGTGTAACAAAAGCAGGAAGAAACTGGAAGTGAGTGGACACTCAGAAGAAAAGAATGACACAGCTAAAAAGGCGAGGAGAAAAACCCTGGAAAGCAGAGATTCAAAATTGGAAAGCCCTAAATTTTGGATGTAAGTTATTCTTACATCTTTGAATATAAGAATGTATCTTTGAATTACACAATCGTGGGGAAGACTCCAAGCACACCAATTAAGGCTAAAAGAAGTGAAAAAAGATGTTTGACTGAACTCCAACACAAGGAAAACAGAGTGTGGAACTTGAGTTTAAACAAATTAACTTCCTACTTGTCCACAAAATCAGCTCTCTTAAGAGGAACACAACAGAATTCATAGTCTCTACAATCTTTACTTTAAAATGTATAGGAGTGAATGCAAAATTACTAGACATATGAAGAAAAAGGAGGGTGTGACACATACTGAAGAGGAAATCAGCTGAGATCAACTCCAGGATGATCCAGATATTGAAATAAGCAGATAAGATTGTAAAATAGCTGTTATAATGATGTTCAAGGACCTGTAAGAAAATATATTCATAATAAATAAGCAAATGGGATCAGGAAAATTTAAACTATGTGGTCATAAAGCACTTACATTTTACTTGAAGTGTTGTGATATTCACTCTAAATAGATTGTGAAAAGTTAACACAGTACTGTAATCTCCCAATTAACTACCAAAAATAAGCAAAAAATCTAATAGAGATATTAATACAGAATTTTAAGAGATACTCAACCCAAAAGAAGGCTAAAAAGAGACAGAACTAAAAAAGGACATATAGGATAAACAGAAAGTGAATAATAAAATGGCATACCTTTATTCAATGATAATTAACATTACATGCAAATGAACTTCATACTCCAATTAGAAGGCAGTTTATCAGACTCAATAAAAATAAAAAATCAAGATGCAGGTATATGTGATCCAGAGGAAATACACTTTATCATGACACAGATAGATTCACTTTAAATAGGGAGAGAAAAATATATCCTGAAAATACTTATAAGAAAGCTGGAATGTCTGTATTAATGTTAGATAAAGTAGACTTACTGATAAAGAGTTTTATCAAAACCAAGAAGGAACATTTTATACTAATAAATGGTAGATCCTCAGTAATACATAGCAATTATGAATATGTGTGTGTCTGATAATAGAGTTTCAACATTTATGAAGTATGTATTGACAGAATTTAAATGAATTAAAATCTCCGTGTCTCTTTGTATAAATCTGCTGCTATAGTTGAAGCTTTCAACAACTCTCTCTTAGTAATTGATGAAACAGCCAGGTAAAACATTAGCAAGAACATAAGCCATCTTAAAAACCCTATAAATCAACTCGAAGTAAGTAGAAGAAAGAAAATAATAAAGACAAGAGCAATAATTAATGAAATAAAAAAGTGAGGTTGAGCATTTTTTCAACATGTGTAAGAGTCATTTGCACTTTGTTTTTAATGCTAACCACCAAAATAACCACCATTTTTTGATTACCAAAAATAAGCAAAAATCTAATAGAGAGATTAAAACAGAATTTTAAGAGATACTCAACCCAAAAGAAGGCTAAAAAGAGACAGAAGAACAAAAAAGGATGTATGGAATAAACAGAAAATGAATAACAAAATGGCATACCTTTATTCAATCATAGTCATTTGAATTTCTTATTGATTTGTAATGATGTGTTCTAAAGACTGTGGTTTATGTGCTTTTTAAAATATTTTTAAATATTTGCCTCTGTTTATGATTATTTTTGTTCATGCATGCATTATGGAGTTTATATACTCAAAATAATTAGCTTTTCCATAAATAGTTTCTGGATTTAGTGATTGATTGAGAAAGTCTTTTTCTGCACTGTATACACATTCGTGATTCTATGGCTTTACTTGTTGAAATTAATTTTTTTACCCATTTGACTTTTATTGGAGAGGGATATAGTGATTTAGTATTTGTTATCTCTAGATGGCTACCCGATTGCCTCATTACCATTTATTGAGTAATCCAGATCCAGATTTTATTTTAGGATATTCATCATAATATGAATATGAATGATGTGAATATCCTAAAATAAAATCCCTGTTGTATTTGGGTCTATTTACATACTCTTTCTTTGATCTATCTATCCATGCACAGTAAGACTCTATAGTAATTAATTAGCCTTTATACCAGGGCTGGTGTCACCTCATTACCCTCTTCTTTCAGGTGTTGATTCCTCTTGCTTGTGATTTTTCTATATTAACTTCAGAATCTGCTTGATTATTTTTTAAAATCCCCAGTCACTCTATTTGGAAGGTTGTAACTTTGTGAAGTAACTTAGGAAAAAATTATCGAATAATGTCATTGAGTTTTAGCTAAGATTATGGTGTATTTTCAATGGTTTTTCAGTCTTTTGGGTACCTCACTAATGCTTTAAAGTTTTTCTTAATATGGATTTTGCACATTTCTGATAATACTTGGCTTTGGTAATTTATTTTATCTTTTGTAGCTGTTCTATTAAACTACCTGATTCTTATTACATATGACATATATGTAAGTTCAGATACTGATATAGTTTGGATCTGTGCCCCCATCCAAATCTCATGTAAAATTGTAACCCCAACACTGGGGGATTTCAACACTGGGGGCCAGATGGGAGAGGATTGGATCAAGGGAGTGTATCCTTCATGAATAGTTAGGACCATCCCTTTGGTACTCTTCTCCTGATAGAGTTCTAACGAGATCTGGTTATTTAAAAGTATATGTTATGGCCAGGCACGGTGGCTCATGCCTGTAATCCCACCACTTTGGGAGGCCAAGGTGGGCGGATCACCTGAGGTCGGGAGTTTGAGACCAGCCTGACCACCATGGAGAAACCCCGTCTCTACTAAAAATACAAAATAAGCCGGGCTAGGTGGCACACGCCTGTAATCCCAGCTACTTGGGGGGCTGAGGCAGGAGAATCGCTTGTACCCAGGAAGTGGAGGTTGTGGTGAGTCGAAATGGCACCATTGCACTCCAGCCTGGGCAACAGGAGTGAAACTCAGTCTCAAAAAAAAAAAAAAACAAGGAAAAAGAAAAACGTATACAGCACCTTCTTCCTGTTCTGGCCATATAAGATGTGCCTGCTTCCCCTTCACCTTCTGCCATGATTGGAAGTTTCCTGAGGCCTTCCCAGAAGCACAAGCTGCTATGCTTCCTGTACAGCCTACAGGACATGAGCCAATTAAACCTCTATTCTTTATAAATTTCCTAGTTTCAGGTATTTCCTTATAGCAATGTGAGAATGGACTAATATAGATACAGATACATAGATACAGATATAGAAAGTACCAGGGCATTTTACTGATTCCTTTTATTATTTGTAATTGTTTCCTAATGGAGTCTCTTGAGTTTTCTGGGTAAACCAATAATATCATCTGCACATAATGACACATGTATTTCCATCCTTTACAATTTTCATACCTCATTTATTTTTCTTTTGATAATGGACATTTTATTTTTTAAAAATAAATCTTTCACTGCTTCCTATTTAGCATAATTCTGGGCCAGTTTGATAAAGACATATTAAAGATTTATATTTCTATTACTATGTTTTAAACACTTTTTTCATAAATAATGGATGTTAAAATTTTCACTATTGAACCATTAATATACTGAATTATGCTAATGGATTTCTAACATTGAGCCATACTTACATTACTGAATAAAGACCACCAGGTTATTGTGTATTATTCTCTTAAAGTGCTGCTGAATTTTGATTACTAATTCTGTTGTGGATTTTTGTGTAGATTTTCATAAGAAAGAACTAGGATTATTGTGATGCCTTACTGTATTTTGTTATCAATGTTACATTATATTTATAAAAATAATTTTTTAAATGTTCCCCCTTATATTCTAGAACAGAGGTTGACAAACTGCTGCCTGCTGCCAAAATATAATAAATAAATAAAAATAAAGTTTTAATAAATAAAATTTTATTGGAACACAACACACCACATCCATTAATTTATATATTATCTGTGGCTGTTTTCATTGCATGGACATAGAGTTGAGTAGATTCAATAGAGACCGGGTAGCCCACAAAGCCCTTTAGAGAAAAGGTTTGCAGACTCCCACTTGGAATAATTTAAGTAGCATTGGAATTGTTGGTTAATTAAGGTTTGGTAAGATTCCATGTGAAACAATCTCAGGCTCGTTATTAATTCCCCATGTAGGCTTTTCTTTCTGTTCATGAGTTTATTGCAAACATTATTTTACAATTTCATATTCATTGCAGTTCTCTTTGTGATCTAATATATTCTGAATGTTCCAAGGGTCTTTGAAAAAATATGTGTATTTTCTATTTGTGAAGTATAGTTTTTTTATATGCATATTAGCTTGATTTATATTATTGTTAATTAAATCTCCTTTATCTTTACTTGTGTTTTTCCACTGATAATCTTTCACAGAAAAGAAGAGATGAAATATAACCTGTCAGTTTTCTTTGTATTTTCTTTCAACTTTATTTTTAAGTATTGGTTATATATTATTTGGTTGATATATGTTGTACAGTCGTTTGGCAATAAAGTGTTCACATTTTATTTATTAATTCCCTTTATCCTAAATTCAGTCTTGTCTGATATGAAAGTTACTTCTCTTGCTTTCATTGGTCTTGTATTTTCAGGAGTTATTTTGAATACTCTTTTACTTTCAATTTTTTTGTTGTAATTTTGTTTCAGTATGCGTCCTACATATAACAAAATGTTGAATGTAACATTGATTCTTTGATTCTTGAATATAAAATAGTTTTATCTTGTGATTCAATGAGATGTTTTATTTATTTAAATATGTGATTTTAATTAGCTTACAATTATGATATGAGAGGTTTGTTTAGTTGTAGAAGCATATTTTATTCTAAGCTTTCTGATTTGATTGCATTTGGAGTTCTTGTATCAGTCTTTTTGTAGTGTGCATAGTCTTTGATTTGGTTTGCGTGCATGTATTCCTTCCAATAATTTGGAGAGCTTGACTTTTTACATTAGCAATAATTTTCATAATTCTACTATTATATAATAAAAGTCATCTTTTATTATAATCAATCATTAAAATAATTATATTTCTGATTCATCCTCATTCTTTCAACCAATTGATTTTAATAATTACTGTTATTTACCTTAGTGATTACTTTTATACTTTTAATTAGAGTTATGTTAGTTTATCAATTTAAAATCATGTCATTTCCCTATCACTATAGAAGGTGAAGACATTAGTGATGTCTTTTCCTTTATTTTTAATCTTTTCAGTTATCTTATTTGTATATTATTAAAGTAGATATTTGTATTCTGTTACTAAACCTCTGAGTGCACATATGTTTATTTATTGTTTAATAAGTGTCAGGCACTGTTCTAAGTCCTCATAAAATTTCTGTGAAGTGGGTATTATTATTATCCCACTATACAATTCACAGAAATTTTATAAGGACTTAGAACAGTGCCTGACACTTATTAAACACTGACTAAATATTAGCTTTTTGTTATTATTTTATCGTTAATCACATTCCTTACATTTATTTTAGTCTTATTCATAGTGCTAAATGAGTTCAATGGCATTCCATTTATCTTTAGGTTGGATAAAGGAAGTTCTTTAGTTTCTTTAGAAGGACTCATAGAAATCATATTTTTTGATGTGTTGCATATCTAAAGCATATTAGTCTGTTGCTTTTATACTTGAGTGGTGCCTTGGATAGACATCAGCTTCCTTAAGGACTCTGTGAATGCTGTTTACTGCCTTGTCTGATTTAATGTTGCTGAGAGGAAATTTTAAGTCAGCGTGATATTTTTCATCTGAGAGGTAACTTGATCACTTAGCCTTTATGCTCCACAAAATCTGAATTTGTTACATAAATTTAGTCTAATTGATGTATGTTTTTAAGTAAATTGGAATGTTTTCTTGAATTTTATCTTTCTTAAATATATTTGGTTTTATTATTTTGGTCCTCTCTGTTAAGGATACCAATTAACTATCTGTCAGATTATCTTTGCATTACTTTTACAGCTACCATTTTTCTCTTTACTTTCAGCTTTCTTCATTTCAATTTTATTTTGCTTATTGCTTTTCATAATCCATGCTATCAAATTATTCATTAAGTGTTTAGCAGTGTTTATTTTCCTCTGTTGCTTTCAATGACATTTGTTTCTGAGATGGCTTTCTGTTTCATATGTCTGCTTTAAGCTCTTGTTCTAAGACAGCATTTAGTTCATGACTTTCGTTTATTAAGTTTTTATAGGTTGGGGTGATATCTTTGTAACAATTTAGATTATTTCCATTTTTACATTGTTTAGAATTTTCTATTTGTCACTTTCCATTCTTTTATTCCCTTGGTTGAGGGCATGTAATATCTTCTGTTTAGGTGAGGGTAATTTTTTGATCATTGCACATATCTGAATAAGTTAAATTCCTTCTAGACTTACTATTTTTAGGAGGCTGTGGCTATGTGAGAGTGAATTTATCTTAGCACTATTTTTTCTAATCAAACTGGTAGCAACAGCGTTACTCATAATGCAGAGTGTGTCTCCTCCCACTTCCTCATTGGCAGATTGCATCCTGCAAGCATGGCGTATGAGCAGTGTTTCTTACTGCCTCACGTTTTTTTCATCATTGTTGTATCAGCAAGGGTTTGGGACAGCTTCACTACAACCCTGCTCTCCTTTCATTCAGAGTGGAGACTTGTTGGTTTTGCCTTGTGAGCTGTCTCCAAATGTGCACTTGATGCCCTCTTGGCTTCTTCCTGCAACCTGTGTGACCTTTACTTCATCTGACTGCCTTTTCCTCATTTTGTTATTTGGTATAAAAGATGTTTCTTGGTGTCTTAGGACTTGAGTCTATGTACTGATTTTGTTCTCCTGGACATCTGGTCAATGCCATCTTTACCACCATGGTAAAATCACAAGAGTAATATTTTTGTTGTTACTCATCAGTAATTCTGGAAACCAATTTTGATGTTGGCAAATGACACTTTTGAAAGCAATATTTTCTTTTTTTCTATCAGTATAAGCAGCCAAGTCCCATCAGTTTCCCTAGTCACGTAATACATGGAATAAAAGAATTGTCTCATTAATCATTAAACAATCAGCTCTAGTTCCATATTCTGTTTCTTCCTGTCACTGGGCCTCTGCCAGAGGAGATACCACCTCCTCTGTCCTTTTCCTTACTGAACCAGCTATTTATATCCTACATGCAATATTTATAAGATAAAATGTCAGTGGATCTTGATCTAGCTCATCCTTTAAGGAAATGTGACCAAAGACTGGACAAATAGCTTCTCAGGCCCAATCATGCCTGGAGGTCAGCCTTGTCTGGGATGCACGTCCACCCTCCTCCTTCTCCAGAGCTTCCCTAGCTCTCATAGCTCAGCAAACATCCTGTCTTTTTATAAAGACTTCTCTAACTTCCAAGCACACAGAGCACTCTCTCTTTTCTGAATTCCTGAATTCCTTCTTACCGTCCTTCTTTATGGTGGTATGTTGTGGGGGTTAAAAATATGTCTCTGGAGACAGATGGCTTTCATAGGAGCCTCAGTTCTGTGAGACACCAACTGGGTAACCTTTACAGCTCAGCTTCTCTCAGTGCTTCAATGTCCTAATCTAGATAGAAGACACTTATGCCTAATTTTTCTTATTTTTAAAATGGGTAACACTAGTAGAATTTACTTCATAGTGCTTTAAAATTATATTTTAAATAATATATTTCAATTAATTTTATAAAATAACATATATAAATTAATTTTAAATAATTGAATTAATTTAAATATATTGACAAATGATGCTAGAACATTATAAGCATTATATGTGTTTACTGTCATTCACAAATACATATAATTCAACAAGGATGTATTTAGTACTTAATATACACTAAATATTTTGCTATGTGCTTCAGCCACTGCTTTGTCTTAGGGTGACAGGAGGTGCCAATTTTTTTTTTAACAAATTGTACCATGTATTTTTTTACAAAGTTTTTTAGGTACTTTTTTTATACAAAAAACTGGACATATATAAGGAGTTCAATTTGATTTGTACTGGCAGATGAATACTCTCATAAACAGTCACCATGATCAACATGACAAATATTCCCATCACCCTAAAACATTTCCTTGAGTCCTTTTGCCATCTGTCCTTTTCTCCACATGCATCTCTCTGCAATGACTTATCTGCTTTCTGTCCTTGTGGATTAGTTTGCATTTTCTAGAAACTATATAAATTTGCATTTTCTAGAAACCATATAAATAGAATTATGCAGTTCATTTTTGTGTCTTTTATTTTTACAACAACTAGGAGATCCATCAAAATTGTTGTGTGCATCAATAGTTTGTCCTTCTTATTACTTATTAATATCCAGTTGTTTGGTTTTATCACAGTTTGCTTGTCCAGTGAATTGCTGATGAACATCGGATCATTTTCAGTGTTTGGATATTACTGATTTAGCTATTAATGAGATTCCTTGTACAAGACATTTCTACTGCTGTGAACCCCCCGGTCATATGGTTAAGTATATATTTAATTTTTTATGAAATAGCCTGTCTTTTGCCTCCCCAGTTTTCCTGTGCCCATATTCCTCTTCCTCATATAGCTTATAATTGCAAAAATATTTTGAATGGAATTCCAGGTATAAGAAAAAGCATGTTTCTGTGGAGCACAGTCATGAAAATAGTTAGCAGTTTCTCAACATATGTCAGGTCAAAATTCAAGTAAATGATGATAAACTCTATAAGTGCCAGTGACCTGTCTCTACTTATCCACAATTAGAGCCTACCTCCTTTAGGTAGTATCTGGAACAGGAGAGGCTCATTGTTATAGACTGAATGTTTGCATCTCCCCAAAATTCATATGTTGAAATCCTAACCCCCAGTGTGAAGATTTAGGAGGTAAGAACCTCGGGAGGTAACTGGATCATAAGAGTAGAGCCCTTATAATTAAACTGGATTCATGCCCACTGAAGGAATTCTATGAGGAGACCCCAGAGACCTCTCTTGCTCTCTTTCCACCATCTGAGGACACGATGAGAAGCCATCAGTCTGCAACACGAAGAGAGCCCTCCAGAATCCCACCAATGCTAGCACCCTGATCCCCAACTTTTAGCTTCCAGAACTGTGGGAAATTAGTTTCGGTTCTTTTGTTTGTTTGTCTGGTTGGTTTTGTTTTGTTTTTGAGACAGTCTTGCTCTGTCACCCAGGCTGGAGTGCAGTGGCACGATCTCAGCTTACTGCAACCTCTGCCCTGTAGGTTCAAGCTATTCTCCTGCCTCAGCCTCCTGAGTAGCTGGGATTACAGGTGCATGCCCCAATGCCTGGCTAATTTTTGTATTTTTAGAAGAGACAAGGTTAGACCATGTTGGTTAGGCTGGTCTCATACTCCTGATCTCAAGTGATCTACCTGCCTCGGCCTCCCAAAGTGCTGGGACTACGGGCATAAGCCACCTCACCCAGCCCTGTTCTTTATAAGCCACCCAGTCTATGATACTTTGTTATCACATCCCGAACTAAGACATTCACTGTAAGCATTTTTTGAATGAATGTTTGAAAGAATGGATGTTTGAATGTTTAAATGAATATTTATTTTGAAATCAACCTGTGTTACCATGAAATTTTTCAATAAATAAATAGACCTGAAACTTGCTTTAAAAAAATAAATTTAATAATGATGTATTTGTATGTCTTGTCTCAGCAGATGGCAGTGGCCTAAGTAAATGTGGTTCTTATTTGATTTGCCATAGTTCTGTGTTGTATTTGATTATTTGGGTTCTATGTACATGTTTCTCAAACTCCACAACTAGAATATAATTTTCTTATTTTTGTCCACGATGCACTAAACATACATCCATGAATGTTGTAGGTCTATGTTGTACGTTTGCCAACCGATTGACTGATACTATCTATGACTGGAGGGACTATTTGACATTCATTTACTCAACACTTATTTATTGAGTGTTTACTATATTCCAGGTACTATTTTAGGGAATGTAGACTATCAGTGAAAAATTCAGACAAAAATTTCTGCCTTTAGGGAGTTTAAAGTTTATTTGACGGTAGCAGGCAATAAATGAAACATCAAGTATGTGACTGGACAACAAGGGTGACGGCAAAAAATAAAGTAGGAGCCCATGGTTCCTAGGAAGCAAGCCACCTAGATACTGGAAGAGCACTGCAGAGAAGCAGCATGTGCAAAGGGGTTGAGGTGAGAGACTCTCTGGCAGGAAGAATCTTGAGTAAACCAAGGAGGCCAGTGTGACTGAAGTTGAATGAGTGGCAAGGTAGTAGGAGCTGAGGTCAGCAAAATCCTAGGGGATGAAGTCAGGTCTTCTTGGTCAGTGCAAATAGATTGAGCTTCATTCTATGTGAGCTGGAAAGACTTTGGAAGATGCTGAATAGACCAGTGACATAATCTATCATGTTTTATAAGAATCACTCTGACTGGCAGGTCTATGGTACACTGTAGGAGGGAAAGGGGCTGCCTGGAGAATCTGTTGGGATTCTTATTGCAGTGGTCCAAGGGGGAAATATTGGTAGCTTGGATGTGGGTGGTATCAGTAGAGGAGGTGAGAAGTGTGAGCAATCAGGTGAAATTTAGAGTACGTACTGCTTGAGAGGCCTTCTAGACATTGGGATGGTGATGCTGAATGGCTGTTGGATATACAAATCTGGAGTTCAAGAGGAAAGTACAGTATGGAGGTCTAAGTTTTAGAGTCAGCATGTAAAGATGGTATTTGGGCTTGGGTGATGCTATCAAAGAAATGCAAAGAGAATACCAAAGTAATTCTATTTAATCTCCCAGTGTTGTATTCTCCCTGAGGTGCCACAATGATCACATATGCACTGTCCTAGCTGGATAAAAATAAAGATGCTGTGCACATCCTTATAAGCAATTAGGAAGCATTAAGGTTGATTGTCACAAGGAATTAAAGAGGAGAAGGTAATGGCAGTGACTGGCTTAAAGGTCATGCCACATGCTCCCATGGACCAGGTTTGGCCTGCATGCCATGAGTTACAGCTGGTACTTACCAATTGTGAGCCCTTGCAACATATAATTTAAATTCTGTGTGCCTCAGTTTCCTCAAAAGTAAATGGAGAAAATACCCAATTGGCAGTATTCTTCTAAG
This sequence comes from Homo sapiens, assembly GCF_000001405.40. Lineage (NCBI taxonomy): Eukaryota > Metazoa > Chordata > Mammalia > Primates > Hominidae > Homo > Homo sapiens. The sequence continues at coordinate 228,877,502 of NC_000002.12, read as the reverse complement.
TATTAAACATAACCTGGGGCACACACCGAATATCTTTTCTCATTTTCTTTGTCTAAAACAAATCTATAATTTTTTTGGCAAGTGAGAGTTCCTAACCCTGGTGAGATACTCATTGTCCCTGGCTCCCTTGCAGCTAGGAGTATCTATGCCATCTGTTTCAGCCAATGAGAAAAAAAAATAGGCATCTACTGGAGGCTTAAGGAAGGCTCTTTTTGTTTTTCCTGATAATAGAGAGAATAGGGCTGGTGTTCCCTCTTTCTTCTCTCTCCTTTTTCTCCTCACAAGAACATGGAAATTGTGTTTCAAACTAGAGGAGTTCCATTGTTACCATGAGATGAGGATAAAAGCCAATACATAAAACAGTTTTGAGAGGAAAGATGAAAAGATCCTGAGTTCCCAATGCTAGATTTTTGCATGCCTCTGGCTTTCTTATTTTATTAAGTAAACTAGACTTCTCTTTGTTTAAGCTACCATAATTTGGGTTTTCTATTTTTTGCAATGAAACATATTCCAAATTGTATAAATACAATTTATCAACTATCTGAGGATGCTTGGCCTATAGTGAAGTGCTCAATAATTCATTAATTCATATTTTTTACTTGGACATGTGTCTCAAATTGAATTAATTATAGTTTTTATTATACATGATAATCATTGGTCCATGTACATACCTCTTTTATCTTGGTTAATTAATGTTAAAAATTATTCAGTAACATGGAACTTCTTTACTCTTTGTATTCCTTCTTCATGGGACACATAATTTCTTTGAGGTTCAAATCAATTCAAGTAGCAAGATCATTGTTCCTTTGATTGGTCAAAGTTTTGATGGCATCAGTGAGGACTTGATTTTTAGTTGCAAATTACTCCTACTAGAACTGGCTTAGTCAAATCAAGGTTGTGTCTTATCAGCTCCTGCCTATGACGGTGCTAGGGGAGTCAGCAGTGGTTGCTGGGGCTATACATGTATTTTGATTTAAAGGGTACAACTGAAAAAAAGCAAAGTGTGCTCCCAATTACAAATATACAGATAAGTTATGAGTGCCTGGAGAACATGTTTAAAAGGAGAAGTACTGCTTGGCTTTCCAGGATTAAGTCTTATCTGTGTGGTCTCAGACTCAACGTGACCTCTGTCATCCTGTCAGTTCATCTAAGTTGCAGAAACAAACCCAATGTGGGAATGAGGGGAGGCTTAGAACTAAGCCTTTCAGTATTTTAAAAATATTTTAAAAATTATTATTGAATAGTCCTGGGAGTTTGGTAGTTTAAGGATTTCATGTCAATTTTAAAAGATTATTTTTGGAATCATAATGAATTTAACTGTGGCCTTTCTTTTAAAAAAATATTATTGTGTTCTAGATGATGTATTCATCTGAAGAGTATAAGAAGCTCATTATTTCTTTGTTTTAATATCACTCATTAGCACAGAAATGAAAATGTCATATAATTCAATGTTTTGATAAGGAATCTCTGTTTCACTTTAATTAACTTTTTGAGAAGCTTATGCATGTCAACTGTAATATGTTACCTACATTTATATAAAATATATTTCCTGTTTCTAAATTCCTTCTTCTTTACACACAAAATTTAGTTGTGAAAACTCCAAATCTCTATCAGCATTCACAATAAACAGATGTAATCCTGTACTTACAATAATATTGTTTTTAAGTGTATCTTCCAGAATTTTCTACTTAAAATGAGGGGAAAAAAAAGCAAGGAAAAAACTTAAGGAATTCCCAGAAATTGCAACAGGGTCTGCTTCTGTGCTGATGAGTGGCTCCTTGAGGAACATCAGCCCTCTTATTAATATAACATCTGGCTTGCATCTTGCACAAATAAAAACATAAGAGTGAGACTGAAGTAACAGAAGAGGGAAGTGGGAGGATGGGATGTGGGTTTTCCAGCATAATAATTTTTAACAGCCAAGAAATCTAATTAGAAGAAATGTCATTTAATGAGGCTCTGGTCAAGGTAATTCCACAGAAGAAGGCAAAGCCTCATGGGACCACAACAAAAACATTGAATCTGTTAGATAATTTACAAAATAGGTAAATGGTATGCATTGCTGAAGGACCTCATTCAATCAAAACCGTGATTATCAGTGGCTTCTCTGGGGACCATTTATGACTTTAACCACAGAAATTCCATTCCTTGGTTAATATGTTTTGAGAAGGCCTGTACTGTTCTCATCTGCACGATCAGATTTCTGTCATTTCCTTTGTGCATTGTCAGCCTGGAAGACGAGCGCATACCTAATTAACAACAGAAACAGAAGCCAATTCTCATGCTGTTACATAGATGAGTGGAATGGTTCCTCCTCTATACGAAACATCATTTCTAACAATTTTGTTGGAGGTCAACTTGATATTAAAGGTGAATGTCATTGATTCTACAACTCAATCTTGTTTTTTGTTTTTCCAGATATAGAAACAGAAGCAGTGAATTGAGATTAGGTAACATTGACTAGTATTGAATAGAAATAAGAGGTCATATAGTAAATAAATAAATACATACATAAATAAAAACTAGACTGAAGGCTTTAGCTGATGTTTTGTTGCTGTTTTTTTAAGAACCAGTTGTCTACTTTGAGCAAGGTATACCTGATGTTATCTTTTATGTATCTGTGCTCCACATAATCTCCACATAAACCACTTCCTGTGCTGCTTGGTGAAATTTCCAAGGTTCTAGAGACACCAATCAGCCACATAGTAGAGTCACACAAACTAGTTTATGCCAGAAAAATAGACATGTAAAAGGAAATATTGGAAAAATGGGATTCTTATTAAAATAAAAATACAATCTACTATGAAATATATTTATTTAAGTAGGTTTGTAGGTTTCCTAAATCTAGATTCATCTCTGTTTATGCTGATTACATTTTTTTCTTTGCCCTTCTCCTATTGAATATTTTTAATTATGACTCAATAAGACCTGGGTTACATAAAAACCAGTTAACATTTTCAATGATATTTTGGCAATAAGTATGACATTTTTCCAATTAAAAATACCAATTAAGTTAATATGCCTTTAAAAATGCATAACTTTCAACCTACCATCTCTAAGAATTTATCCTAGTTGAATAAGTATGCAGGAACACATACAGAAGCATGTTTAAGCTAGCATTTTTGAAAACAACCAAATACTTTCCTAAGAAACAATGGGCAGCATAAACAGGCCATTGAGTCTAATTTGGCCAATACGAAGGAGATGCAGAGATGTCTGCCAACTCCAGTCTTTAATAGGCTCCTTGCTCATGTGACTCAGGCACTCCCAAAAAAGTATTGTACCGTGGCTGGCCGCTGTGGCTCACGCCTGTAATCCCAGCACTTTGGGAGGCCGAGGTGGGCAGATCATGAAGTCAAGAGATGGAGACCATTCTGGCCAACATGGTGAAACCCTGTCTGTACTAAAAATACAAAAATTAGCTGGGCATAGTGGCGCATGCCTGTAATCCCAGCTACTCGGGAGGCTGAGGCAGGAGAATCACTTGAACCCAGAAGGTGGAGGTTGCAGTGAGCAGAGATGGCGCCATTGCACTCCAGCCTGGGCAACAGAGCGAGACTCCATCTCAAAAAAAATAAATAAATAAATAAAAGAAAGAAAGGAAAAAAAAAAAAAGTATCGTACCGTAAGGTATAGTTTAAGACACGCTCTAGAAAGGAATGTTTAAAGGACATTAGCAGGCATAAAGAGAAATCTTGGTAATGTATTTATCTTGGTAATATAGTTCCACATCGTAATTAAAGCACTCTCTGAGTTGATCATACCCCACTTTGCAGATACTTACATGTATGATCCACCCAACTCTAGATTCCCAGTTCTTGACTCCCTTAGCTCCACTGGCCTCTCCCTTCTCCATCCCTTAGACACCCATACAAATTGTTGTGTCCTGGAAATTATGTCATCATTCAATCTCTACATCTGCCATTCTCCTTCTGTCACTTCCTATGCAGCTTACTTACTCTACAGCTCCTACTTCAGAAATTTCCAGACATCATGGAGTACGGCTCATCACCACCTCACTGGCCTTCTTTCTCAGGCAGTGAAAGAAATCTGTTGTGAATTCTTCTAACTTTCTAGTCTTTTCCTCTTTAACTTGGAGAAACAGAAGCCCCAGTCACTCAGCTTGAGATCTGAATGTAAAGATCTGCCCCTGTTATATAGTCTGAAGTTTTGCTTTTTCATTTTTATCATAGATATGACAAAATTTATATGAAATACCCTTTCTGTAAAATGAGGTTTCTTCCCTTTTCTGGAATATCTGTAAAATGAGATTAGTGGGGTGGGAGGGGGGCTATAGATGTATATTGGAGTTAACTGGTTTGTACATATCATTAAACATATTTTTCCCATGTAAATATGATTCTAAAAAACAACTCTGAATGTAGTCTGAAACACACACACACACACACACACACACACACACACAAGCAAATAAGTGATTATGGTAATGCTGTTAGGAACCGTAATATTCAATACAAAAGAGACATATTACAAGACAAAAAAAGTGAAGCAAAAACCAGTTAATCCCAAATTTGAATTGAAAATAACAGTATAAACTCACGATATATTTTCTAGCTCTTGTATTTTCATTTTTTCTTAGCTCTGTCTCTGGAAAAAACATGAAAGTAATGATCCATCTGTAGCAATGAGCACCCTGTAGAACCCAGATTGTGATTGCTAAATATCATTTCTCGCCACAAAAAGCCAGCCTGTCTTGCAGAAGTGGCTGATTCCAGGTATGGGATGAGAAAAGGACAAGATAGTTCAGGAATATTTCTTCACGCCAGATGCAAAGGACTTTGTTAAAGACTCTGGGTTGTGTTAGGAGTAGTTGGAAGTCAATCTGAAAGAGTTCTCCCAGGCAAAATAGGGGCAATCAGACATCATCAATAAAGATAGCTTGAAATGCAATACCTATGCTAAAATGTACAGGAGTTTGTAAAAATATTTTTAAAATAAAACAAAATGCCTTCTAGACAACCCCTGGAGGAAGTGAGAAGTCATACTTAATTTGAGAAACTAGTAAGTAAATAGAAAGAATCAAGCATTTATTTTCTTTCTATGTTAACTTTTCACAGGGTAATCATTATGAGAACAAATACTTATTATTTTAAAAAATTCATTATTGATATTAGATTTCAATAACAAAAAGATAATTAGAAATTCCCTAAATATTTTGAAGTTTTAAAAATTCAATGAGTAAATGCAGAAGTAATAAGGAATTCGAATATAACCATTTTGTTCCCCCAATGCAATAATGGATGCAGATAATGAGTATGAGTGACTGCCAAAACTATTAGGTAGAAAGTGGGTAGAAATCTTGATGATGGATTAATAGTGCTGACAATACCTGAACAATTAATCTTCATGTTAAAAATAAACAAAGGGTGTGGTGTAGTGAGACATAAAAAAATTATCTGAATTGCTCAAGCACAGTATCTCACAACGATTTAGAGGAAATTAAGGGTTGAAGGAACATTTCTTAAAACCACGTGCATCCTAATAGTAAAATCTAGAATATGGAAATTCTATGAGACAAAAAAAATTTTCTTCAAAAAAAAAAAAATGGCAAGCAGGAAAACGCAGGGGGAAATAATAGATTTGAAGAGACTTATGAGGCCTATCAATCAAATGCCATGAATGAAATTTTTTGGATCAGCAGAGGAGGATAAAATAGGGCTGCTCACCCAGTAGATGGAGTTTAATTTTATTTGAATGAGTGCATTATAAACTATAGGACAGTTTTGACTTGTGCTGCGCAAATACATGCTGTCTTTAGCTTGTGGAAATAATGGTAGAAGCATAAAGCCATGCTCAATCCTATTTGTCCTGTCACTACTAATTTCATTTCCAAGAGAGTGATGCCTTAACATTCTCAGCTCTGAAGTCAGCAAAAATTATGCTCCGTGTGATTAAAAGGCAATGACAGCTATGCTTCCCCTGGACTTGGGGCCACCTTGTCTGGGATATAAGTGTAAGATATTCTCATGAACATTTTCCCATTACCAACAGACTATATCTTCTCAGGAGAAGAATGGACATTAGTCTCCCCAGCATGTTAAAGGACAATGACAAATTCCAGTACTTTGTAAAATTTAAATAGCCTTGAACTTTTAATTAGATGATACCTATGGTTTTAGACTGAAACAAGAAGTGATAGTTTTGATTCTTGGTTGGTATATTCGTTTGCTAGAGTTGCCATAGCAAATACCACAAACCGAGTGGCTTAAACAACAAAAATTTATTTTGCCACAGTTCTGGAGGCTAGAAACAAGATGAAGCTGTCCTCAGTCTCGGTTTCCTCTGATGCTTCTCTCCTTAGCTTGCAGATGCTCGTCTTGTTATTGTGTCCTCATGTGGTCTTTTCTCTGTGTGCACCCACCCCTGGTGTCTCTCTCTGTGTTTAAGTTCCTCCTCCTGTAAGGACATTAGTCAGATCTGATTAAGGCCACCAGAGACCTCTCATTTTAACTTAATTACCTCATTAAAGATCTCTCCTCATATAGTCATATTCTGAGGTACTGGAGGTTAAAACTTCAACATATGAATTTTGGGAAAACATAATCCAGCCAATAGCAGTTGGAATGCACATTTTTCAAGTCATGTAAAAGATATTGAAATAAATTATCTTTTTGACAGAATATTAGCAATTCCACTGAAGTTTAGTTGGTAAAACTCTTTCTATGTATTTATTTAGGTGTTCCTATTAATATTCAGGTATCTATTTTCTCACCTATTCTTCTGTAGATTTACTATCTTAAAAAGCTTGTTAGTTTTAAATCTACACTCATGCTAAATTCTTTCTTCATTCCAGTCCACCATTTTGTTAATACCTGATGATTTATTTTCATTGCACAATTCATGTCTTATATCTCTTTCCATAATGAAAATAACACAGTGGATTTCACTTTCATTGAAGATGGAATGACCATCAGTTCCATTATAACAGTGAGGAAACACTGGATAAACTAAACCTCATATGAGTTTTATATATATACACTAAACTAAAACTCATATGAGTTTTATATATATATACTAAACTAAAACTCATATGAGTTTTATATATGTATACTAAAGTAAAACTCAAGAGTTTTATATATATATACTAAACTAAAACTCATATGAGTTTTATATATATAAACTAAAACACTCATGAGTTTATATATATATACTTATTTTATATATATATATATATATATATATATATATATATATATTTGAGTGGTTTTAAATATATGTTGTTTTTTTTTTCAGTAACCCAGGCTCATTTATTTAACCAGCTAATCATTTATCCAAAGCCTTTCCATTCTTCTCCCAATATTTTTTTACTTTAATATGTATATTTTTAAGCCACACAGTGTGATGGATGCATAGAAGTCTAAGTGAACTAAATTCCAGGCAGAGATAAGGCCTTCATAGGTGGGTAAAGAACAGCAGCCACTTTCATACAGGGCACCTTTTTCTAGTCTTTGCCTTGGCAGAGGCTGTTCAGTCTGCCTCCCTTAAGCAGACAGATTTTGGTGGGAAAAGAGAAATGAGCCAAAATTTGATGGAGAGAATGATCTGACATGACAAAAAGAAGTCTGGGGAAGCATAAATGCAAAAACAAATCCCTCATTCTGAAAATCCTCATGTCCTGGGAATCTCAGTGATTGAATAGTAGTGGGGAAATAGCAGGAGAGCAGCAGGAGATCTTGCATCACAAACAAGACTAAAGTTTAGTCTGGAGGTAAACTAAAACTAACCCAACCTCCCTCTCACTCAAATTCTGATAAGATTAAGTAAATGGGCTCCTCAGAGGGCAATAAGGGCAACTTAGAAGTAGGGCTGTAAGGCAGAGAGAGATTTTATATAATCTTGTTGGAAAACAGATAGAAACTGAAACTAATTAAAGTTGTGGCCCATGAGGGTATCTTAGTGATCAGCCTTCACCCAAGTTGTGTGGAGAAGAAAAGTGTGTGTTCTTTCTGGGAAAAACAAAATGAAAGAAAACAAAATACATACATATACGTATTATCTACTTTAGTTTCTACTGTTCCTTTATAAAAAATGCACAATATAATTTTTTAAAATATGAGATTTACAACTAAACAAAAAATATGAGCCATAATCAAGAGAAAAGGCAATCAATTAAGGCAGACTAATAGACCACCTTGATTTTACACTAAGCAGATAAGGAATTTAAAAATAATTGTTATGAAGAATTTAAAACATTTAGTGGCAAGATGGATAAAATACATAAATAGAGAATTTTAGCAGAGAAACTAACTCTAGCAGCGAACTAAATGAAAATTCTAGAACTGAAAATTCTAGAAAATTCTAGAATTCTACAATATATGAAACAAAGAATTCATTGGATTGGTCTAATATAATTCTGGACACCAGAAGATAGAACCAGGAACTCAAGAAATAGGTCAATAGCATATCAGTTTAAATATAAAGACAACTAGACACATCAAAATAAAACTTGTGAAAAAAGAAGAAACCTATGCAAAAAATCCCCAAACAATAAAAATCATTAAATCAGTTAGAATATTCATATTCAGATGAACAACAGTAAGAATGACATTTGGTTTCTCAACAGAAACAATTAGCCAGAAGACAGTACAAAAGAAACAAAACAAAACAAAAACATTAACCCATAGTTCAGTGTCTAGCAAAAGTATTCATCAAAAATGAAGGTAAAATAGAAACTGTTTTAGATTAGCAAAAATTAAGAGCATTTCTTGTCAGCTGTTCTGCATTAGAATAGAAACTCTTTTAGATTGGCAAAAATTAAGAGAATTTCTTGTCAGCTGATCTGCATTAGAAGAAATGCTCATGAAAGATGATCAGAATAGCACCATAGGAGAACGTGGATCTCCAGGAGAAATGCAGAGCACTGGAAATGGTGAATAGGTTGTAAAGTAGTAAAATTTCAAGAGAGACCATCGATTGTCTAAAGGTAAAATAATAACAAAGTGCTGTGGACTTTTAAAAAGATATAGAAGTATAATATATGATGGTGATAACAGAAGGAATGAGAGGAGCAAAGGAAAAGACATTATTCTAAAGTTTTTATATTTAAGGTGGAATGCATTAACTTAAAATGTATGCTGTAATGTTTATTCTAGAAAACTGTTAAAATGAGCAAAAAACAGTAAAGCTAAAAAGCCAATAATAAAAAGCCAATGAAAAATACATGACTAATCTAACAAAAAGGAGGAAAGGAAGAAAGGAGCACAGAATAAGTGTGAAAGGTAGTAACCAAATGTAAAATGGTAAATTTAAACTCAACTGTACAGGTAAACACATTAGGTGTAAATGAACTAAGCACTCCAATTACAAGGCAGAGATTTAGGGAGTGGATTAAAATATACCCAACTATATGCTCTGTATAACAGAGACATTTGAAATATAAAAACATTTACATCAAATGTAAAATTATAGAAAAAGATATGACATGCAGTCTGTACCAAAATACCTCATGTACACTATAAATATATACACCTATTATGTACCCGCAAAAATTAAAAATATTTTTAAAAGATGTAAAATGCAAACACTAATTGTAAGAAATATCCAGAATCTATTTTAGTATCAACCAAAATAGACTCTAAGACAAGAAAAATTATCATAAATAGGTAACTTTTATAATGATAAAAGGGAAATTCACCATGACTATTTAAAAATTCTCACTGTAGATGTACCTAATAACACATATTCATAAAAAATAATCAATATTTGACAGAACTAAAGGAGAAATACACAAATCTACAGTCCTACCTGGACTGATTTTATCTTAGTCATTGCTAAGCAAAAACAGCTAGCTGGGTGCAGTGGCTTGCGCCTGTAGTCCCAGCACTTTTGGAGGCCGAGGCAGGTGGGTCATCTGAGGTCAGGAGTCTGAGACTAGCCTGGCCAACATGACGAAATCCCATCTCTACTAAAAATTTAAAAATTAGCCAGGCATGGTGGTAGGCACCTGTAATCCCAGCCACTTGGGAAGCTGAGACAGAAGAATCATTTGAACCCGGGAGGCAGAGGTTGTGGTGAGCTGAGATCATGCCACTGTATTCCAGCCTGGGTGACAGAAAAAAAAAAAAAGCTGCAAAAATTTGAAGATTTTTAAGCAAATTGAGCTAATTGACATTAATTTAACACTTCATATTCAGATGGAACATTCACCAAAGTAAACATATACTGAATCCTAGAGCACGTCTAAGTAAATTTCCAAGAATTAAAAACTTGCAGATTTGTGTTCTGGGACAAATGAAACTAGATTAGATATCAGTAAGAAAAAGATAACTAGAAAATCCCCAACTATTTGGAAATTTAAAAACATAATTCTAAATAATCTTCTTGGGTAAAGAAAAAATCCTAAGAAATGGAAAACATGAGAAGTCAGAAGAATGGTTGCCTGGAGGGAAAATTTTATGGAAAAAAAAAAAAAAAAAACAAGAAGGAGCAGTGTGGGATGAATCACATCAATTTTCAGTCTTGTTTAACTAAAACGGACCAATATGATTTAAGGGTATTGCTACATACAGGCATAGGCCAGACGTAAAAGTCTTAGGAATCTTTGGAGTGTTGCTTTTCTGTCTGGAAACCTCTGTGGCCTGTGGTGCCTTTGCCCAAGTTCATGTCCTGCACCCAGGAAGGATGAGGTACACACACAAGTGGAGGGTGAGTAAGATGAAGAAGAGCTTTATTGAGTGTTAGAACAGCTCAGAGGAGACCTGCACTGGGCAGCTCCTCTCTGTAGGCAAGTCGTCCCATCCAGCATTCAGCTCTCAGCAGAGGGGGTAGCTCCTCTCTGCAGCTGGTTGTCCCATAGTCTGCAGCTCTCAGCAGAGAGGAGGCCCTGGAGAGGGTAGCTCCTCTCTGCAGCTGGTTGTCCTGATGTCTCCTCTGCTCTGTCTGAGTCTGGAATTTTTATGGTCTTCAGATGGAAGGAGTGCTTGCTGATTGGTCCATGAGCCACCATGGATGGGCTCAGGAAAAAGTATCATGAGCTCCCCCCTCCAGCTGGCAGGACTGGCAGCCTGGCTGCCAGGCTTCAGGAATTCCCCTGCCTGAAAGTGGGGCTTCACTGGGGACCTGCCTGTTTCTGCCCAGGAGCCTGTTTTCCTCTCAGCCTTGCCATTCATGGTGCCTAAGCTGTTCATACCAAGGGGCACCTGCAGACCAGTGCCAAGCTGCCATCAGGACCTCCTCAGCTTTCCTCCCATGCTCATTGTGCCCAAAGTCCAAAGGGGGCCGAGGCAGCAGGGGGCTGGTGTGTCAGCCCTTCCCTGATTGTATGCACACCCAGCCAGGCTGTGATGGCACCCAGGCTCAGCCCAACTTTGCTCCATGACAGGAGTGGGCACTGGTAGCAGGGAGAGGTCAGGCAGCAGGAGCAGGCACTTCCGAGCCTGTTGGGGGAAGGGGAGCCTTTCCAGGGCCCCAGGAGCACAGGGACACTCAGTTCTGGAGCCATGGCAGGGCAGGTGCAGTGGCACTTGGGGAGGATGAGGTTCCTGCCTGTTCTGTGGAGTGGGAGGCTCAGGAAGTCTCCCCACTGCAGCCAGCATTGTGGCAGCAGCCACTCTAGATGGGCTGCTGCTGCCATCAAAAGTAACGATGGAGATGTTCCTGTCTTGGATTAATCCAATAATTTTTAAATGAGGCACAGTCAGCCCTTCCTATTTGTATGTTCCACATCTGGGGATTCAACAAGACAATATTCTAACAAAAGACAGACAATATTCTAAAATAATGATAGTGAATAATGCAAAATTTGAAAATCAGTATAATTATTTATATAGCATTAACATTATATTAAGTATTGTCAGTAACTAGAGATGTTTTAAAGTATATGGGAGGATGTGTTCAGGCTTATGCAAATACTACACCATTTTATAGAAGGGATTTGAGCATCCTCAGATTTTGGTATCTGCAGAAGGTCCTAGAACTAATCTCCCACATCCCCATACCCTCCTCCCTAATAAATAGTGAACACAATGGAAGGCATAATTATGTAAACAAATTTTGGGTGGAATTTTTATTGTATTTGAAGCATATTCCTAGATTACTTTTTCTGTGCTCATTTGGCCCCTTTTAATCAACTTTGCTTCAATATGAATAAGAAAAGAAGTTTCTCTACCTTTCAGAACCACTTTTTCAGTCCTGCAGCTTCCAAAGCAATGTAGACATCTGTGAATTTCCAGATGAAAGCTCAACTAAAGGTGAATTTCACTGATAGCAGGCTGCTACTAGCAACCAACTTCTGCTGAATACAGTATTTAAAATAGTTATTGCTCAATGATCCCTCAAACAACGGACTAATTTACTAATGCTCATGCATAGCTGGATGCGCCTCTTTCAACATTTAGTGAAACCAGGTGTGAGGGCTGACTGGAAGAGAAGACACAGTTTTAAGGTAAAGAGGACACTGAGGAATTACAGGTTGGAGCATTAGACTTAAATTAAGAGTGAGAATAGGGACATATTTTGAGCAAAAATTATATTTGAAATTGACAGCTAACCAAAATTATGGAGTGCATTGAGGTTTTTTTTAAAATGTATATTTTGCTTTATTTTTAGAAAAAAGTTTAGCAGAGTTAAAAATTTATGTTGGCCTGCAGCTGTAAAAAACTTTATTGGTATCCTTTCACTATTTAATGCATGTCATTGGTGATGGTCAGATACTATACATCACTACCAAAACTGTTATGCCTGGCCTATGCTATTTGTGGCAATACCGTTATATCATGGTAATTGGGTCCTTGAGGTTTTCCATCACAAGTTTTGCATAGGGAGCACAATTTCCTTACTTCTACCCACAATTTCCTTTGCGTCATTCTTAGCCCAGATTAGACTAGATAACTGTCTCAAAGGCATCTTTTGGAAATTTTACAATCCCTCCCTTTTTAAAAATTTTTTTTTGCCAGGAAATATTTTCTTGGGTCATAGGTAATTTGTTTTATCCTTGTTGCTCTTATTTTTTCCACAAAGGCTATCCAAGCCTACATTTTAAATTAAGGATCACGTCTACACAGTATGATCAGCTCTATGCTGAACTTTTTAGTGTAGAATTAACATTGCTGATATGGAATTCTAGTGATGAAGTTAAAGGAAATGACTAAAAGAAAAGCCTAAAATACTTCCTATCTTGAATTCCGAATAATGGGATCACTTCACAAATCCTATGCAATAAATCCGTGTCCTGATTCTGTGCTCAGTGAATTCCAGGAAGTATAATCCATTATAATGATGAGTGCTAGAGAGGGTATGTGCTGTACTGTGATTTCAGTTTTGCATTCAAAATATCTCCCAATTTATGTTCCCTGAGGGTATGCTGTTTTCTCTCTCTGAACCCTATGTACCATAGAAAAGTCAATCAGACAGGAGGCAAAGGGAGAAAGTTCACTCCCTTTCTTAGGGATATTGTAAGTGGGACAGAAGTAGGGCATAAAGTTCAGATTATAAAACTACACACTAATTAATGCCTTGTGAGAAGCCCTCACATGGCCATGTGCAGCATGGCATGGAAATATTAATGCAGGGTTAGCAGCAGGAGATGATTGACTATCAGGCTGAGATGGGGCTGCTGACTTTTCCATGGCGTATGCAGGAAAATCATGGAATTTAAAATGTAGTGATTGCTCAGTGGGGAAGTGCAGAAAGCTAGAGAGAAGCTCTAGGTTTCTAGGAAGTGAGGCTTTCAAGAAGCTCTAGGTTTCTAGGAAGTGAGGCTTCCTAGAAGCCTAGGAAGTGAGGCTCAGGACAAAGAAGGTTCAATTTGTGGGAATTTGCAAGCGGAAAATCAATTGGCCAAGACCACAGAATCTAGCATTGGAAGCCCAAACAAACAAACTTTAAGGCCAGCTCAGAGCAGTTACCCCGAAGTGTTTACCATTCAAGAGAGCAAACTAGACTAAGCTACTGCACATCACCCACCAGTAAGGCTCCAGAGAAGGCTGAAGGGAACAGGAGTCATTTCTACCTCCCATTCTCCACTGCATGTAATGTCAGACCCACCTCCCCCACAGAGCCAACATTATCTGGAAAAGACAGGAAAAGAAGATAGAGACAAATAAGACTGCTTTAGACTGAACAGAATTGGAAAGACTGGTTATGCTAGAAGATTGAGATAGTACCTATTGGCAAGTATGACTGTTTTTATTATTCAGTGAATGGGGACTTGTGAAAAAGGTAGGGTAAATTATATGAAATAAACAAAGCTACATTTTCTTTTAAATGCTAAATGTTTCATGGGTGAATTTGTGACCTGACCATATACAAATAGAAAAAAAAAACAGTTCCCCAAAATGAAAGGCAATTGTTTATATTATTAACACGAGGAGTATTTGGTCTGCACATTAGTAGGGTTTTTCTTAATTTTTTTTTCCAGCAAGAGGGAGTGAAGCATGTAGTGGCCGACAGTGTTGGGTCTGGAGCCAGTTTCCCCATTTGCAAAATAAAGATAATAGTGATATCTACCTCATAGAGTGGTTATAAGGATGAGAACAGTTAACGCATGTAGAATATAAAATAAAATACCTCATAGCCAGCATTCAATAGACATTACTGTCATTTTGAAAAATAAAAGAAAATCTCTAAGAGTTTAGGTGAGCATGAGATCACTACAGAATGCAATCATCTACCAGAAATTGAAGTTTATGTTGTTCTTTTAAAAAAGAAAACAGCCATGGGATTGGGAGGGAATCATTCAAGTCCGTTGAAGAGCTAAGTCCTATGGGCAGGGGTCAACAAATGCTCTTCAAGAAAAAGAAAAATACCACAGGTGTCTATGTCTTCAACTACTGAAGTACACATTAGTTTCTGGGAGAATGTCCTGCATTATGCTTTTTCCCACACATTTCTCCCCAGGGGCTCAGAAAACATGACAACTCCAGATGTATTTCATCATGTCAATAAGGCTTCAGGAGGCTACACTTTTGAAATGGTAAGTCAGCTAGGATTTGTCCTAGATTGTCCTAGGACTTGGGGGCTACAGCATAAGTTTCTCTGTCCCTAGATTTTGTGGTTCTCACTGCACCTCATACCTGGAATCCTATCCTTATAAATAAGCCAGCAGGGCATGTCCACAGGCAACCGCAAGATCATCTTTTTTGACAACTCAAGGCATGCATAAAAATTAGAAACAGAAATGTAATAAATCCCTTAAAAATAAGGTTAGGAAGAAAGGAATCTCTGTTGCCTCATGTTTCACCCCCACTATTTTTAGTCCTTCAAATGATATGCTGGAACAACATAATGAATGCTTATTGAATGCATGAATAAAGGAATGGAAAAAAGGCAGTAGCAGCTTAGAAAGCAGAGCTCTCATGAATCCAATATACCAAGTAGTTCTCATATTTAGCTCAACTTACCTTTGTGAATACATACTGTGGGCAAGGTTAACAAGATACACAGAGCTCCTACCTTAAAAAATTTTCCATTTGCTCAGCTTTGGCCTTGGCCATTTAAGTGGAGGTTATCCATACTTGCAATGCGCTCTCTTTCTCTGGAATTCAGCAGGTGACCCTCCCATTTACCCTCCTGCCCCGCCACTTCATGAGTCCATCATTCTATCTGTCTGGTCATCTCTGGGTTGTACTCTAACTCTGGATTCACATCTGTTTAATGATCTATTTTGACATATTTATCCAAATTTTTTACCTTAATCCCTTTGCACTCGGCTGCTGGTATTAAATGGTCACCACCATTGAACTAATGGAGGAGGTGTGAAGGAAGTTATCAAAGAAAATTTTGACTGGATAAATTGCAGGACTTAACTTACAACCTGTAATTTAAACTATAAAGGTAAAAAAACATTTATGGCACTAATGCAGTTTTGGATCCTGACTGAAGAGAGGATTTGGGTAAATATAGAGAATAGTCTTGGTGGCAGGAAGAAATGATGAGAGAGACAGGAGAGAGAGAGAGAATAACTAATAACCTTATATAAAAATGAATAAAATCTGCCTTTCCTATTGTATTTTAGTCAATGTTTGGTTTTTCCATACACTAACCATTTCACAACATTAAGCACTTTTATAACTACTTTATAAACGCATAAACTACTTTATAAGGGAATATACTGAGATTCAGCAAGCTTAAATGATTGTCTAAGATTCCAGGCTATGGCCAACTGACTCTAAGTCTGTTACTCTCCTAGACAGATAAAATGAGTGAACAACTTATATTCCTGTTCCAACATAATTTGAATATGATTTACATCAATGCAAGGAGGCACAAGAATGTATTTGGAAAGAACAAAACTCCAAGTGTTAGGGAACTTGGTTTTCCCTTCAGACGCTGACTCTACAATAATGTGATCAGTTTGCTTCTTGCTTTTGAGTATGAGAATTCTAAATGCAGTCTGTGACGTGACTGTCCTGGACTCCCTTATCTCCAAACTTTTCCTTATCTTCCTGTTCTAACAGTTCAAGATTCATTAAACTGGGTGTCCAATAAAAGTCATGTATGGAACGGCCAACATGTAAGACAGGAGAAGGGCTCATCTGCAAGGCTGTGAAAAACTTTCCTGTCGTTCTAACATTGTCAAGACACTAATGAACATCAGAAATCCTTAAATAATAAGAAAACTCATGAGAGATGACCGACTTGTCTGGAATGGTGCCACAAGGCAAAGGAAGGACTTGATAGACAATACAAATCAGATTTCAGAATCTTAGTTGTAACCCCCACCACTCACTACTATTGAGATGTTAGCCATCAACATAAAAACAGCTGGAATAGATTGATATTTGGACTCTCTTTGGAATTTCTTTGTTTCTAATGTATTTTAAAAGTATTTTTTGAAAGTTCTGTTACTAATTCTGACCACTAAGAATGCTTTCTGTGAATTGTTTCTGTGGACTGTTTGTATGTGATACACATCTGAGATACATGATAAAGTATTTGGTATTTTATGCTCTATATTTATCATCTTCTCAATCTGATGTTTTGGAAAAAAGATTGTGTACTAAGGTCTTGTGTGTTTGCTGGTGATGGTTAGCTCTTTTAAATTATCAGACTTTTTTTTACCAAATTATAATGATCTATTATTAAGGCCAAACACAATTTGGCTTGCAGCAAGCCTCATCTGGCTGGTTAATCATGAGGACCTGATCTTGATTCATCAACAGATTACAGAGAAGGCACTCATGTATGGTTATGGTAACCAACATTTTTGGTATTCCTCAATAAATCAAAATTCTAAATATCTGAGGAGATGCCTATTTAACCAAACTTTATATAGAAGGCTTGCTCTAACACTACATTGTATTTGTTTTAAAAATATATAATGGCTTTTGAGGTTCTAGAGGAAAATGAATCTACTCATATGTTCAACTTCAGAACAGTTAGGAGAAGTAATCTTCGTTGTTGTTGATGTTGTTATTGAGGAGCAGTGTTCTGTGTACATAAATAGTGTAGTGAGGAAGAGAGACAAAAATCTCTTCAGTCAGTTCAACTATCCAAGTCCTGGCAGTGAATGGAAACATGAATCCCAGGCTTTGAATCAATTCTTGTATAAACATGTACTTTGGAGAAGACTTTCTACTCTTGTTATATAGTCTTTTTCTCATGCATTTAGTAGATAGATACATGTTGGGAACAAGCCATCTGTAAGGCATTGCAATAAGCACAGAGTGTGAAAAAAAATATAAGGCCTTATCCTGTTTTCAGGAGGTAAAACGACACTAACCCCAGTAAGAAGCAATCATGGAAAGGGCCAAATGAGAATGGGGGAAAAGTCACAGGATTAAAGCACAGCCATGAGTCAGAAGTGTGTAGGAATAAACTTTTTTTTTTTTTGCTCATAAATCTCAATTCCTTTACAAGCACTTATTCTTGTTCAGCAGTGGAAAACCTTTAGAACATAGTCTCATGTAAAAATTCAATTTCAAGTACATATTTTTTTCTAGTCTACTTTAGTCTGCATTCAACTGCCAGCTCTGTGCGACCCGTGCTGGCATGGTGCAGCTGCCTGTGCTTATGGTAGTCTCTCTGGCTTGATCTGGGACACATCTGATTTTCAGTCTTGATGAGGGCATATTTCCCAAAAGATCAAGGGAGATTCCCTCAGTTGCCTCCCCACAATCCGTTCATCATCAAGTAGAGGACCAGCGTGGTGGTCTCACTCTTCTTCACATGTTCTTCTAGTCCTCTCTTGCAGTCCGTCTTATAGCAACTATTCCAGTGGTGAGAGAGAAATTACTGTTTGCTGATTTCACGTGGCCAGATGGGTCTTTACCAGATGTAGTGGTTTTCATTCTTACTTGTGAATGGTCTACATAGCAATCCATGCGTGTGTACTTTGTCTGCCAGAATAAAGGTGAAGTTGAGTAGAGAGATAGGATGAATGGGAGAGAGAGGGAAACAACTTGTAATATAGGGAGCAGAAAGGGAATTCACCACTGACGTTATACATGATTGTGTTACAATTATAATTTCTTGGTGTTCAGAGGTTGGATGATCTTATATTCTCATTTGCTTGTGAGAGCCCTGATTCATTCCTTTTGTTCTAGTATATTCTTAATAGTGTCACATTTCATTTTTGCAATGTCCTAGATTGAATGACAAATTATATGAAGACACTACTCAGGGGATAACTTTATGAGGCAAATGGAGTTTGACTATAGATCAAGTTTGGCAAATGATTTTCAATTATCTACCAGCTCTAAACAGAGGGTGCCTCTGGAGGGCTGGCTGGAGAAGAATCTGAGGCTCTGTTAGGGCTTAGCAGAGATAATGAGAGCTGTCTTCTATGGGTGTAGTATAGGTAAGGATTCAAATTATTCCAGTTATTCAACTTAAAGCTGATTTTCCAGGTCATTCATGGAGCATACACAATTTGTAATTCACAATACTTTGATCCTTTGATGCCAAAAACCTAGACAGACTGACTCAAATAATATCACAGTCAAGTAGGGATTAATCCAAAAATACCCTAAGCTCAAAATATGCACAGCTAAACTTTTAGTGTCTCTTCATTATATCTGACTATCAATATCTGTCTATTCAGCCATCCATTTATCTTGTATGTATGTACGATCTATCTATCTATCTATCTATCTATCTATCTATCTATCTATCTATCATCTATCTATCTATCTGTCTGTCTATCTATCTGTCTGTCTATCTATTCATCCATCTATCTATATCATCAGTTACTTTATCTCTTCTGGTTAAGGGTGATAGAATTCACCCAGACATGGGAACCTAGAAAACTGGGGTTATTTTCCACTTCATTCTTTCTCTCACTGTCATGTCAAGATGATCATCATGGCCTCCATAGCTGTATTCCCTCCCATATGTATCAAAAACATATCCTCTGTTATACCCCCACTAAAGAACAGACCCAGTTCAGATCCTAATTATTTCTCATTTGGACCATTGTCAAAAGCATTGAAATTCTTCTCTTTACTTACTACAATTATTGCATCCTTCACACAATCTACCACAAGAGTGACCTTTCAAAAACCCAAGTCTTTCTGTCTTACCCCCTGGAGTACCATTTTTTAGAGCATTGCAAATGCATACAGCAGTAGTTCTCAAAATGAGGTCCCAGACCAGGAGCATCAGCATCTCTTTGGAAATGCAATTTCTCAGGCCCTACACCAGACCTAGTCTGGATCTATATATTAGGACCCAGAAAATCTGTATTTTAACAAGTTATTCAGATGATTCTCATGCATATTCCAACTTGAGAGCTACTTGTCTAGAGGCTAAACTATTCCCTAGACAACTTGACCTGGATTGTTCTTTTCAGTACCTTTGGAAGCCATGCAAATTCTCTCTTAATTCTTTATCTCACAACCTTGGGTCACATCTCTTGATACTTCTCTATGTTTTTGTACATTCTATTTCATATGCTTGGGATGGCTTTTCCTTCTGTGCCATTCTTGACTATCCTTAAAGTCAACTATAATTGAGCTCTTCTGTAATTGTGAAGATTGTTCCACTTGCTTCACTCAACCAGCTCCTTCAAGTTCAGTGGAGTTAATTTCTCCCTCCCCTGTGCTTCTAGAATTCCTTGTATGCACTTATTTTACAGACATTCATTGTGTATTGCTAGTTTTATATATGTTTTCCTCTTCTGCTGGAATATGACCTTCTAAAAACGCAGTGATGCTGTCCTAGTAAATGCATGAATTGATGAGTCAAGAAACCAGGCACATTCACTATTAACTCCAAAAGTGGCTCTTATAATGCCATTACAGCCGTTGAAAGAGGTTCTCAGAGAAGGGGGAGAACAATGTTTCTCATATTCCTCTAATTCATTATTGTCATGGGGCATTATGCATTATTTTAAAAGTCTGCATAGTTAGGTACTGTTAGACAATACTATTTTAAGTGCAGATAAACAGGCTGTTATGAGGCAAGTTGTCAAATGTGCTACTGTGAATTTCCAAAGAGAAGATATGAAATTTTCTCAGAACTTTTATCTCATAAACATTCTCCTTGTGGAACACTTTAGAAGCCTCATATTTGGGGGCAACATACTCTGCGAAGTGCTGCTCCAAACAATGGGTTTGTGCGTGAACACTGTGCTTGTATCTCTAAAATCCCTTCCCACTCTTGTTTTACAGCAGGTGTATTGTAGGATGGGTGCTGGAGACGGGAGGATCGATCTGACTTTGTCACTGACAATAGCTTAACCAGCAGCAGAAGAAGCTACGTCCATTACCGTTACTCATGTATACCTGTTCTGCCCAAATTTTGGCCATTCTGTTATTTAATGATTTTTTTTTAAAGTTGCACAGATGATGACACATATTAGTGCTGGAAGAAAAGGTGGCAAGTGTGAAAGTATCCAACAAAATGGGTGGAATGGAAGGTGGTATGATGTGAGGCTGGAGTGCTGTGCGAGCCAGAGCTTGTGATTTTCCACAAGAAAAATCACAGACCCTGCAAGGAGAATTGGATTGAGGATCAAGAAGACACTAGAGTGTTTCAAGCATTTTTTAAGAAGCAACTTCATAGAAATCAACCTTATTGGTATAGTATTTACATATTACATATTCACCCATTTTAAGCAGCTGCTATGTGGAGACATTATTTCCCTCTATCCTTTGCCATTCTTAATTTTAGTAAAAAATTTAAATCTGGGCCAGGCACAGTAGCACATGCCTGTAATCCCAGCACTTTAGAAGGCCAAGGCTGGAGGATCTCTTGAAGCGAGGAAGTCATCCTGAGCAAGACCACATCTCTACTAAAAAAAAAAAAAAAATCTAATTTTAACCTGCATTTCTTGAATTAGAAGATATCATTTTTTCTATTCTTATCTTGAGCGGTCATTTATATTTATTTTTCTGAAATATCTGCTTTGCCCACTTTTCTGTTGGAGGCATGTGTATACATACACAGGCAATTACACATTTGTAGGATTGATTCCTGTATTATATAAATATATGTACTTTTTATGTGTGTTAGAAAGAGCTCTTGCATGCACTTTCTTTTTTAATTTTGATTCCCCCCCACAACTTTAAACATTTCTTATATAAATGAAATAATCTTTTCCTATGTGGCTATGGGCTTTGCGTACTTCTTGTACAGATACTTGTAGTTCAGGGACTACCCAGAATCTGAACCCCCTTTTTTTTTTTAATTATACTTTAAGTTTTAGGGTACATGTGCACATTGTGCAGGTTAGTTACATATGTATACATGTGCCATGCTGGTGCACTGCACCCACTAACTTGTCATCTAGCATTAGGTATATCTCCCAATGCTATCCCTCCCCCCTCCCCCCACCCCACAACTGTCCCCAGAGTGTGATATTCCCCTTCCTGTGTCCATGTGATCTCATTGTTCAATTCCCACCTATGAGTGAGAATATGCGGTGTTTGGTTTTTTGTTCTTGCGATAGTTTACTGAGAATGATGTTTTCCAATTTCATCCATGTCCCTACAAAGGACATGAACTCATCATTTTTTATGGCTGCATAGTATTCCATGGTGTATATGTGCCACATTTTCTTAATCCAGTCTATCATTGTTGGACATTTGGGTTGGTTCCAAGTCTTTGCTATTGTGAATAATGCCGCAATAAACATACGTGTGCATATGTCTTTATAGCAGCATGATTTATAGTCCTTTGGGTATATACCCAGTAATGGGATGGCTGGGTCAAATGGTATTTCTAGTTCTAGATCCCTGAGGAATCGCCACACTGACTTCCACAATGGTTGAACTAGTTTACCGTCCCACCAACAGTGTAAAAGTGTTCCTATTTCTCCACATCCTCTCCAGCACCTGTTGTTTCCTGACTTTTTAATGATTGCCATTCTAACTGGTGTGAGATGGTATCTCATTGTGGTTTTGATTTGCATTTCTCTGATGGCCAGTGATGATGAGCATTTTTTCATGTGTTTTTTGGCTGCATAAATGTCTTCTTTTGAGAAGTGTCTGTTCATGTCCTTCGCCCACTTTTTGATGGGGTTGTTTGTTTTTTTCCTGTAAATTTGTTTGAGTTCATTGTAGATTCTGGATATTAGCCCTTTGTCAGATGAGTAGGTTGTGAAAATTTTCTCCCATTCTGTAGGTTGCCTGTTCACTCTGATGGTAGTTTCTTTTGCTGTGCAGAAGCTCTTTAGTTTCATTAGATCCCATTTGTCAATTTTGGCTTTTGTTGCCATTGCTTTTGGTGTTTTAGACATGAAGTCCTTGCCCATGCCTATGTCCTGAATGGTAATGCCTAGGTTTTCTTCTAGGGTTTTTATGGTTTGAGGTCTAACGTTTAAGTCTTTAATCCATCTTGAATTGATTTTTGTATAAGGTGTAAGGAAGGGATCCAGTTTCAGCTTTCTCCATATGGCTAGCCAGTTTTCCCAGCACCATTTATTAAATAGGGAATCCTTTCCCCATTGCTTGTTTTTCTCAGGTTTGTCAAAGATCAGAGAGTTGTAGATATGCAGCATTATTTCTGAGGGCTCTGTTCTGTTCCATTGATCTATATCTCTGTTTTGGTACCAGTACCATGCTGTTTTGGTTACTGTAGCCTTGTAGTATAGTTTGAAGTCAGGTAGTGTGATGCCTCCAGCTTTGTTCTTTTGGCTTAGGATTGCCTTGGTGATGCGGGCTCATTTTTGGTTCCATATGAACTTTAAAGTAGTTTTTTCCAATTCTGTGAAGAAAGGCATTGGTAGCTTGATGGGGATGGCATTGAATCTGTAAACTACCTTGGGGAGTATGGCCATTTTCACGATATTGATTCTTCCTACCCATGAGCATGGAATGTTCTTCCATTTGTTTGTATGCTCTTTTATTTCCTTGAGCAGTGGTTTGTAGTTCTCCTTGAAGAGGTCCTTCACATCCCTTGTAAGTTGGATTCCTAGGTATTTTATTCTGTTTGAAGCAATTGTGAATGGGAAATCACTCATGATTTGGCTCTCTGTTTGTCTATTGCTGGTGTATAAGAATGCTTGTGATTTTTGTACATTGATTTTGTATCCTGAGACTTTGCTGAAGTTGCTTATCAGCTTAAGGAGATTTTGGCCTGAGACAATGGGGTTTTCTAGATATACAATCACGTCGTCTGCAAACAGGGACAATTTGACTTCCTCTTTTCCTAATTGAATACCCTTTTTTTCCTTCTCCTGCCTAATTGCCCTGGCCAGAACTTGCAACACTATGTTGAATAGGAGTGGTGAGAGAGGGCATCCCTGTCTTGTGCCAGTTTTCAAAGGGAATGCTTCCAGTTTTTGCCCATTCAGTATGATATTGGCTGTGGGTTTGTCATAGATAGCTCTTATTATTTTGAAATACGTCCCATCAATACCTAATTTATTGAGAGTTTTTAGCATGAAGAGTTGTTGAATTTTGTCAAAGGCTTTAAATTGGACAACCCTTCATGCTGAACCCCCTTCTTATGCTTGATAATTACTGACCATAAAACTCCATTGACAGGCCCAGCTAAGAGTCCACTTCCTAATCTGAAGATCTAAGGACTAGATACTTGCTTTTTCAGCTTCCCTTGCAGCCAGAGTGCTGGTTGGTATATGATCTAGATTCAGTCCATTTGAGTCTCCCACCCAGAACTTTGCATTAGAAGCCAGTGAAGTAAACACACAGACCTGCGGGAGCAGCAGCGGCAGCAACATTCTTAACGTGGGATCACTGGTGGCAATGGTGCTGATAGGACGAGAGTCCATGACCAGTGCCTACAGCAAGGTGATGAAGACATTCCTGGCTCGGGGTGATAGCAATTGTGACTCACGGGCTGGTTCTGTGGCATGAATGTGGCGGTGCTTTGTCTGCC
The DNA here is from genome assembly GCF_000001405.40 of Homo sapiens. Taxonomy (NCBI): domain Eukaryota; kingdom Metazoa; phylum Chordata; class Mammalia; order Primates; family Hominidae; genus Homo; species Homo sapiens. The sequence goes on along the minus strand of NC_000002.12, from coordinate 228,853,265 downwards.
TAGTCTTCCTTTGTTCCTGCTCATTTTCCAAGCCTGCTTTTCTAGCTCACCCAATGAGTCTCTGTGTTTTCATACATTATTTTACAACTTTGGATGACCAGTTTTTTATTATTATTATTCCTTGAAAATAAGAAGTCTGGTTAGTACATTTCTCCACTCAATATTTTAAGATATATATTGATACTTTTCCCCACTATTTTTATGGGTTATTTAGTTATATTTTATAAGTTTAAATCTTAGAATAATTTAGAGTGTATTTGGAAATAAGACATGAGGTAACAAATCCAGCTGCTGCTCATGTTGCTCCTCCTCCTCCTCTTCCTCCTCCTCCTTCTCTTGCTCATCCTTTAGTCCTAAATAGCTAGACATTGTTCCAGCTTCTCTTATTTAACAATCTATTTCCTCCATTGATTTTTAAATGCAAACTTAAACATGCACAACATCCCAGATGCACTTCTGTACTCAATTTTGCTTCATTGATGGTTCTGTGTATTTCTGTAAAACTATCTAAATTTTAATTTCTGCAGTTTTCTAATCTGTTTGAATAATAGTTACTACATAGTACTAACTATGTACCTCCCTCTCTCTCACTTATAATTTTTTGGTAATTCTTACCAGCTTATTTTTCTAGATAAATGTCAATATCGTGTTGCTAAATCCCTTATGTATTTAATTTGTTATTTGTATTTAATTACATTCTCTTCATAGATTGACATAATAAGGATTTGAAGAATTGATATATTTATAATTGTTGTTTTCCTATTTAAGAGAAGGCAATCCTTTTCACATTCTTCTATTTAAAAACAAGATAAACCTTTTAATATTATTCTGTAAAGAAGAACATTCTTTTCTTTTTCTCTTTCTACCCTCCCTTTGTTCTGATTATAACAATGCACTCATGGGTTTTCAAAATTATGTGTGTTGTAATCTATCACTGTCATTCTACTTGATGCCCGTATATTCCCCCATTTGGCCAGTGGGAGCTCCTGTGTCCTTTTGACATGACTCCATTTATCTTTGAACGTTGACCCCATTAATCCTTCAGACTGTATTCCTACTGTGGATGGGAACTCCAATCACATATGATTAAATTATAGAGTGGAATAAAATGAAGCTAGCTCCTCCTGTCACCTTACCTTATATAATAGTACACCTCACGCCCCATGCAAGCCTCCCAAGGTTGTTTTATTTTCTTCTGTCTTAATAGCATCAGCATATTGCAAGCTTGACACTATTTCTGCTCTTTTTACAATTAAACATCAAAAACAGTCAACAATATTTCTAACTATTCATTTTAAAGATCTATGGGATTTACAGGGCCTCACTTGCCTGGAATTTGCCCCTGAATTAGGGGCAATCTTTAATTTGCTGACTCTCTGAGAGGTTTCAGCTGGAATCAACTGAAAGCTATAACTTACATTTGCACATGGCAAAGAGATCTGTTTTACAAAAACTGATAGTTGATTATACAGGTTTTGATCTAAAATGTTGACCTTCCAAAACCCTGAAATGAATGTTGTTTTTAATCCATTTAAAAAATTAGCCAAAGTAATATATGCTATGATTTAAAAATCTGTTAATAGAAAAAAACTTTCATTGACAAGCTGCCTCATTCTTTCCCCCCTCCAGTCCTGTCTCCAGAGGAAATTAATTGAATCTGTTTCTAATAATTCAGAAAGTCCCATCTCGCATTTAATACTGTGTGTTTATTTATTAATTTTAGATGTTATCTCCTGGGTTCCTGCTTTGATAAAAGATGATTGAGTAAATGTAGCACTTCCTCCTTTTCCCAATTTAGAAATACCACTATTCCCTGGTTCTCTATTTGATAGATTTGTAACATTAAGAAATATACTTGTATTAGTTTTCTAGGGCTGCCATAACAAAGTTCTACAAATTGGGTGGCTTCAGCAGGAAAAAAATTATTGTCTTAGAGTTCTGAGGACCAGAAGCCCAGAATCAAGGTATCAAGGAGGGTTATTTCCTTCTGAGGGCTCTAAGAGAAAGATCTGCCCCAGGCCTCTCTCTCTTTGGCTTACAGATTACCATCTACTCCAGCATCTTCCCTCCGTGCATGCATCTGTGTCCTACTTTCCCTCTCTTATAAAGGCACGGGTTTGTATTGCCCAACCCCTTCCCCTGAATGGCCTCATTTTAACCTGATTACCCCTACAAAGACCCTGTCTCCAAAGAAGGTCATATTCCAAGGTACTGGGGGCTAGGACTCTAGCATATGTTTTGGGAGGTGACACAATTCAACCCAGAACAATAATTATATCTTGATATTATGTCTTTATTTCCTGTTCCACTAAGATTTTCCCCAGACACTTCACTTTATAAGATGACAACTGTTAACATCCTTGAACTTCTTTTAAATTCTTCTAAATCCTCTGTCTGCATTTCGCTTTTTTTTTTTTTTTTTTTTTTTGGAGACATAGTCTCACTCTGGCCCAGGCTGCAGTGCAGTGGTGATTATACAGTGCAGTGGTGATAATAGCTCACTGTAGCCTCAAACTCCTGGGCTCAAGGAATTCTCCCATCTCAGCCTCCTGAGTAGCTGGGATTATAGGTGGCACCACCACACCTGGCTAATTTTTTATTTTTTATTTTTTTGTAGGTACATGGTTTCACTGTGTTGCCCAGGATGGTCTCAAACTCATGGCCTCAAGCAATACTCAGACTTCAGCCTCTGAAAGTGCTGGGATTATAGGCGTGAACCACTGTGACTGGCCTGTATTTTACTTTTAAATTGCCAAGGGTGATCAAGTTTATATCCTGTTAAACACCTTTAAGCCTTTTATGCTATGTCTATTAGCTTGATTTAAAAACTTGAAATTTCATAAATGGTATTTTAATTATGATGATCATAATGCGTCACTTGCTATAGAACCAAATAATATACTATGTTTACATTTCATTTTATTTTTCCCTGGATTTATAATTGATCTTCACTGTATTTCTTAATGCATTCTGCTATGTTCTACAGGTCTTTCAGTATAATGCCTTTATACGTGCATTGTCTGGTTAAAAGTCAAGCTGCCTAAGTTAAAATACAGCTGTACCAGAAACTAGCTGTGTGACCTTGGACTACCAATTTCATTTTTCATTTATTAATTTAATCATTTGCAAAATAAAGGCAACAATTATAGTAGTAATTGACTTCACATAATTAAATATGTTAATATATAGGTATATATGGTATATACGTAGCTGTTCTCACAATCTTAAGACACATAATGCATAGCAGCCAGTTTGTAGGGGCTCCAAGAGGCCACATTTAAGATACACATTTGTGTATCTACAACAAAGATGGTAACAGTGGATAACAAGACATTGATTAAAAGTTCATAAAGACCCATGAATCTTTAATGATACCCGAAGAAAGATAGAGACACAATGTCAGACAATAAATGTAAAAGGAAAGACATTTGAAAATATCATTTCACTACTCTCAATGTGACGACTGGAAGGTAAGTTTTGTCAACAAATGCTAGTGTTGACTGAATGAAAGGTGGCTGTGAAACAAAGCCCGCTATTCACAGTCTCGAAGTACCACCCATGAGTTATTTCTCAATTACATTACAAAAGACAAACCTTCTTAATGGATATATCCATTGTTTCCAGAGTAATCAAGTAATCAAACTCAGTATCCCCAATGCTGGGAACAATATTTTGAATTTCCAAGACCTCTTTCTTAGTTTCTGATTTTTCTTTTTCCTTGACACTCTTTTGCTTTCTTATTTCTATTTATGTAGTCTCTTCTCAAATAGCTCTAGAGAATAGTAATTTGAAATATTTTAAAATATTTTTGTGTTTATGAATATCTCCTTCTCTTCCAAAGATATGTTTTATCCATGATAATATTGGTCTTTGTCTTGCTTCTCTTGCAGGTTTTAATCAAAAGCTTAGTATCTCCTGGTAGATGACAATGGGGCAATAAAGAAACATGGGCATCGTGCACTAAGTGAGGCTTCTTAACCAGGTAATGTAGGTGTAACATGATGACTGGAAGGTGAAATTAGTTGCTTCATAAGTTTTGAGCTTACAGTTTTCTAGGTCCAAGATCTAACCTAGGTTCCTCCCAACCTAGTGGCAGCATCCCTGTATGTTTCTTAAGCTGTGGTTTCACTTAAACTGTTCCAGTCAGTACTCCTCCAAGAACTTTCTATCCTTCAGAAGGTTTTGAGTCTTTTTAACCTCAGACAGCCTGTCTGTGGCTCTTTTTATTATTGTGAATTTATAGCAATTTTTTTCCTTTATTGTTGTTTTTCAGTTTGTTTTTGCTGCTGTAACCACCAACCACATTAACTCAGTGGCTTACAAAGTAGATTTATTTCCCACTTACGTTGTGTGAGGGCTCTGGGTCAGCGGCTGCCCTGCTTGACAATGCTGGGCTTGGCTGCCTCCTTATGTCTTCTCATTGTGGCTTCAAGGGTGAAGGATCAGCTCCTGCCTCGGACGTGCTCTTCTTAGAGCAGAGAACAGGAACACAGGAGCGATAGTGTCAAACCACACAAACCCATTTAAAGTTTCTGCTTGGAACTTGGCATTAAAACTTTCACCCATGTCCTATAGGCCAAAGAAAGTCACATGGCCAAGTCCAAAGTCAACATGGCAGTTTGATATAGTCCATTTAGAGGAAAGCATGCTCATGGCAGGACATGATATTTGTAAATAATACAAACCTGTATTATTTGTTCATAAAATAATTTATCATTGCAAACAAACGATAATTATTATTTCTAAATAATACAGCTTTTCACTACCATTTTAGTGGATCTCGGGAGGAAGGGAGATGAAAAGGTTACTCAATTCATGATTCACATGAAATCAGTCAAGTTACTTAATTTCTCTGTGCCTTAGTTTCTTTCTCTTTAAAATGAAGATGAAAATAGTATTTACATCAAAGCGTTGTAAAGATTAAATGAATACATGTAGATAAGGAGATTAGATCAGTGCCTAGCAAAGAGTAAATAAGGAAATACTTAATAAATCTTAGATAGCATGATTTTTGACTAAAACCATGATTGATACGAACAAGATCAATCTAATTCAAATTGATGAACGATCCATCTTTTTTCATCTTTTTGAAAGCTTTTCAATGTTTATTCATGAAAAACATTCTTCCAAAATACATGAATATGTTTCAATCGTGAAAAACTTCACCACTTGCAATTTACATAAATCATGGATGCAGGCCCATACTTACAAGACCACTCCACTTTTTATCACCACTGGAATTGTAGTAGGAAACACTCAAACGAGCTGGGGAAGATGGAGATTCATTTCTATTTTCAGAACATACAGTGATCAGTTAAAAATGACTCAAATTCAGAACTCTCAGCACTAACAATACTTTTGCTTCTTTCATTTATGTCATATGAAACTTAAATATTAAACAAACTTGACAGTTTGGCAGGGAGGCAAAGTTGCATTCTGCATCTGGTTTCTCTGAGCAAAAGTATGTAAAGGAAAAGGAATGTGATTACTTCTGCTCCATTATTCTTGGAAAGATAATATCAAATAAGTGTTTGAGAGCTTAAAATGAGTTTTACCAGCTTGGGGTTATATTTGTTCCTTTTCATTTTTTGTTTGCTTTTGTTAAATAAAATTTATTTATTGCATTATAACAAGTTTTCCATTTTTGGCATGTGTTTTATCGTATCAATGTTTTTGTGTTACACACCCAGATTATCTGTCTTTGTGATAAGTCTCTGGCAAAAGGTGTATTCTTACCAGTTGTATTAGTCAGAGTTCTCTAAAGGGACAGAACTAATAGGATATATGTATTTTTGAAGAGAGTTTATTAGGAGAATTGATTCACGTGATCACAAAGTGAAGTCCCATAATAGGCCATCTGTAAGCTGAGGAGCAAGGAAGCAAGTCTGAGTCCCAAAACCTCAAAAGTTGGGAAGCTGATAGTGTAGCCTTCAGTCTGTGGTTGAAGGCATGAGAGCCCCTGGCAAATCACTGGTGTAACTCCAAGAATTAAAAGCTGAAGAACTTGGAATTTGATGTTCGAGGGCAGGAAGCATCCAGCACGGGAGAAAGATGAAGGCCGGAAGACTCAGCAATTCTAGTCCTTCCAACTTCCTCTGCCTGCTTTATTCTAGCCAAGCTGACAGTGGATTAGATAGTGCCCACCGAGACTAGGGGTGGGTCTGCCTCTCCCAGTCCACTGACTCAAATGTTAATTGCCTTTGGCAATACCCTCACAGAAACACCCAGGAACAATACTTTGCATCCTGCAATCCAGTCAAGATGTCACTCAATATTAACCATCATACAAATGCCTACTGCAAAACTCGAAGGACTCATGAAGTTCATAAACCCAAACTTGGCACTTTCTCTAATTCTTGCTCCAAAAGGAACTGTATATTTTACACACTCTATTAATATATATTTGGGATACAAAATACTTGCACGTCATAATAGTAAGAAATTAAACATGGAGCCACCCCAGATCTGCTTTCCTTGAAAGATTTTTATTTTGAGAAAGAATGGTAAATTATTTGTAGGTATTCTAGGATAATAATTAAACCAAACATTATTAGCTTTGGTGCTTTGAATGCCATGTGCACAGAGCTAAAATTGACATTCTGGTACTTAAAACTCACTGCATTTTCAGAAGATTTGGAGAAAAGAGGGCTAAATAAACATACCCACTTCTATCATGCGGGAGAAACAAATTTGAAACTTAAACAAAAATAAGGCCCTAATTTAGAAATTTCTGAAATCTAGAGATTGTCTCATTCACTAAACATCCTAGGAAAGTAGCTATGAGAGAAATATCAGAAACTATTCATAATATGCAAATCGTTGGGTCAGCTTGCAAATTCTGTGAACTTTGTGTTTTTTCTGGACTTGATCTAGAGGCTAGAGCTCAGCAGAAATGAGCACCAGAACATTCTGTTTGTAAAAACAGAAGTGGGGGCGTAGTCAAAGATTATGTTTGGGCAGAGCAACTGGGTTCTGGTCTGTATACTGAACTGTCTTGTTAAATGACTTTCATGCTTCATGCCTCAGTTCTTCTGTGGAATATGACCATATTCATGTTTTAAATGATTTTTAACAGTATTTTCCAATTGTCCTACATGCTTTGTGGCTATGTTTTATTGGCTTTTACTGCATATATGTGTTTTATCTTATAAGAAAATCACAAAGATTTCTTATAATCTTTGTGATTATAGACCCATAATTTCACTTAATTAATAGGAATACCTAGTGTATATCATTCAACACTGCTCATTTATATCCCTAATGCACATTTTCTGCCATAAAGTGTGCACGGTTGCAAGCTTATTCTGTCGTGGGTATTTAAGCCAAGCTGGCTTATGACAGTACTATCATCACATTTTCTTAAACACACATCCAAAACTCCCTTGAAATGAGAAAACACATATTTGAGGTATCAAGGAGATACCACTCTCCCCCTCAACTTTTAAATTTTTCCTCAGCTTATAGGAAAAGGGAAACACATTTGAGCTCATTGTCGACATCTGGACATTTGTAGGGTCTTGAAACAATCACATTAGCTTTGCAGCAGTGTAATTGAATGCAGACAGTGGTCTCTCACTGCATAGCTATGCATCCCACAGTAAAGTCTGCAGAAGAGAGTTCTGGCAGCTTATGTCCAGGATGAAGCATTTCAGCTGCACTTGTCTCAGTGCTATGGTAATGGTGACCTCCATGGTGACAGGATGGCTGTCTTGGAGGCTAAGGATGTGGACAATCAAAAGAGGAACAGAAGTACAGAACTACTGTACTTACAGAATGTGGAGCACAAAGTGCTTCTTGGAATGGAATAAACCCAAATGGGCTTCTGGGTTTATTTTATACTCTGTGGGGTTTGCGTGAGAGACAGCCTGCTAGTCTGTTGCAAGGATCACATAGGACAAAGAGGTCATGAGTCTATGCTTGCAAAATGTGTCCATATTCAAATGTCCCAGCCTCAGACTAGAGTTGCTACAGGTAACAAGTATTTGCTGAAGGCCTACTATTCGCTGACACTGTTCTAGGCTCAGAAGGGCAGAGTAAAACATAAATAAAACCTGGCAACATAAAGTATAAGGCAAATGGCACTCTCATACAGTTTTGGGGGATTACATCTCGCTAAACAAAAAAGTGTACATATACAAAGGCCCAGATATTTCATTTAAAAAAATTTAAGTTAGAACAAATATTGCACAAATAACTGAAGAAACATGAACAAAGATATTTATTTTAGCATCATTGATTGGCATGTGTGACAAATTGGGAACTATTTGAATTTGCATTATTATAACGTAAACAAATATGTGACAAACCTGCACGTTGTGCACATGTACCCTAAAACTTAAAGTATAATAATAATAAAATTTAAAAAAAGAAAAAAAAATCCAAATTACAAATGAAAAAAAAAAACGAACTTACATTAGACCATACGGCTATTTAAATAAATTTATTAGGTTTATAAATAGCAATATGGATAGATCTCAAAATCATGATTCTGAGTTAAAAAGAAGATACACAAAACATAATTTATATAAGGGAAACATTGATACTAAATATTGTATACAGACATATTTGTGTAAAGTATAAAAACTAACTACAAAGATAACTACCCATTTGATTATTTTCATTTTTTCTAGAGGTGAGAAGGACTTGAAAAAGATAATATTTAAAAACTTATATTATGGTATATTTGTTTTAAAAATAACAGCACTTTAAGACTTAGTAGTTCCATATCATTGTTCTGTGGTCCTTGGTTATAGCAGGCTTTGTCCTTTTCTGTATTTGGTAAGCACTCATTGTTCCTGCCTGCATAGAATTTACAATCTAGGTTGGGATCCACATGTAACATACACAAAACAACTGGATAATAGTCAAGTGGTAAACTCTGTTATAAGGTTTCCTGACACAAAAGCATTCAGAGAAGAGAGAGACGCCTCAGAGTCCCCAGGACTCTTTCAGGGGTGCACAAATCCATAATAACACTAAGATAGCATTTGCCATTGTTACTCTCATGCTTTCAAAACTATACAGTGGAGTTTTTCTGAAGATACCTAGTGTAGGATATTGTAGCCACCTGAATGCAGAATCAGATAAGAGAATCCAGCTGTCTTCTATTAAGCCAGACATTAAAGAGATTTTGGAAAAAGTAAAGCAATGGTATTCTTCTCAATAAAAATGTTCTTGATTTGAAAAATGTAGTTTTTTAAATCAAAAAGTGTTATTTACATTAACATGTAATGGATTTATTTTATTACTTTAAATAAACTAATAAATACGTATTTCTTTTTTTTTCATTATACTTTAAGTTTTAGGGTACATGTGCACTACGTGCAGGTTAGTTACATATGTATACATGTGCCATGTTGGTGTGCTGCACCTGTTAACTCATCATTTAACATTAGGTATATCTCCTAATGCTATCCCTCCCACCTCCCCCAACCCCACAACGCCCTGGTGTGTGATGTTCCCCTTCCTGTGTCCATGTGTTCTCATTGTTCAATTCCCACCTATGAGTGAGAACATGCGGTGTTTGGTTTTTTGTCCTTGCGATAGTTTGCTGAGAATGATGGTTTCCAGCTTCATCCATGTCCCTACAAAGGACATGAACTCATCATTTTTATGGCTGCATAGTATTCCATGGTGTATATGTGCCACATTTTCTTAATCCAGTCTATCATTGTTGGACATTTGGATTGGTTCCAAGTCTTTGCTATTGTGAATAGTGCCGCAATAAACATACGTGTACATGTGTCTTTATAGCAGCATGATTTATAATCCTTTGGGTATATACCTGGTATAAATACGTGTTTCTAAATTTTCTGTTTTCATTTCTTACATAATAAATATAAATAGCCATAAAACTTGTAAACAAGTGCTCTTCTGAATTCCTAATAATTTTTAAGCATCTAAAGTGCTCATTGCTTGGGCTAGATGATTCTTGGAAGTAATCCTCAAATATGTGGCATTACATTTATTAGAGGGAAGTAAAGAGTACTTTTCAAATGATGTATCATGTATTTTAGTCAGTAATTATTCAGTAAATGTAGGCTTTTTTTTTTATCTTCTTCTTTTTTATTTTTTTATATTTTTTTAGACAGAGTTTCACTCTTGTTGCCCAGGCTAGAGTGCAATGGCACGATCTCAGCTCACTGCAACCTCCACCTCCTGAGTTCAAGCTATTCTCCTGCCTCAGCCTCCCAAGTAGTTGAGATTATAGGCATGTGCCACTAGGCCCAGCTAATTTTATATTTTTAGTAGAGATGGGGTTTCACCATGTTGGCCAGGCTGGTCTTGATCTCCTGACCTCAGGCGATCCACCCGCCTTGGCCTCCCAAAGTGCTAGGATTACAGGTGTGAGTCACTGTGCCTGGCCAATGCAGGCTATTTTTAAAGTTATGTGGTAGACACTGGGGCACCTGGAAGAAAAATAAGTTTTGTTTTCTGTCCTGCAAAAACTCAGCTTAATGCCTATTTAGTTATAAAGTACTGTAATACAGATTGATGTATTATGAAATGAAAGAACCAAATACTTTATAAGTTGATCTTTGATTTCTCCACCAGTATTTTGCTACTTTCTGGAAATGTCTAGAAAAATGAAACCTTATATGATAGCTTTGGAGAAAGAGAGAAATATGAAGTTGCACGTTTGTTGCAGTCCGTTTGCTGTAACCCCTTTAATAAGCTCTGGTGTGCTCACCCCATTGGCTGTGAACATCCTAACAGGATAGACCAGGTTAGCTGTGGTAACAAACAACCCTCAAATCTTAGTGGCTTAGAACAACAAATGTTTATTTATCCCTTATGCTCTCTGTCTGTCCACTGCAGGTCAGTGGGAGGCTCTGCTCAATATATAGTCACGTTCCACATAATGACGTTTTAGTCTACGATGAATAGCATATATGATGGTGGTTGCATAAGATTGTAAGTCTCTATTTTTACTGTACCTTTTTTTATGTTTAGATATGTTTAGATATATGAATACTTACCACTGTGTTACAATTACCTACAGTATTCAGTACCGCCTAGGAGCAATAGGCAATGCCACATGGCCTAGGTGTTTAGTAGGCTTCACCATCTAGGTTTGTGTAAGTACACTCTATGATGTTTGCACAAGGATGAACTCACCTAAGGACACATTTCTGGGGGAGGAATCCTGTTACTAAATGACACATGACTGTATTTATGCTACACCACTTTACGGCACTACAATTTCAACATGCATTATCAGTGTTCCCTGAAACAGGAAGAGAAAAGTTGGAAAGTCAACCACCAGCAATTATTACAAAGCTTTCCTGGAAGAGAGATACATACCAACTACTCATATTTCATTGCCTGAAGTTAGTTTCGTGGCCCTACCTAACTACTGAAAGCAAGAGGGCAAGGGAAGTGGTGGGGAATGCTAATTTTTTTTTAACTGGAAGTAGAAGTGAACCAGGTATCAGGGAAGTCTGTAGTTGCCTACCACAAACGCTGCTTAAGAAAAATAAATGATAGTAAATGTCTAACGCAAGACCAGAGAATTTCTCCAGCTGAATCAAATTCACTAAGGATAGTTCTCCAGCTGAATTAAATTTCTTCCAGCCGAATCAAACTTCCTGTGGTGTCAGTCTCCCTTCTTTCCTAACCCTTCTGGCTTTATTTCTTGGCTGCCTCTTTCAGTCATTTGCTCTTGGGTTTATTAGTCGAATTCAGACTATTTACCTTTATTTCTAATGGATAACCTTTACGACATTATTTATGTTCATTGCTTATCAATTCTATGAACTAAAATTGTGGTCAAGAAGTATTTCACTCCCTTGCCAAACCCAGCCCTGCTCAGCCCCAGAACAACCACCACTCAGGACCACGGTGCCGAATCTCATAACGAACTGGACATCAAGAAGTTTCTACATTCACTGGTATGTACATATGTGGAGTCTGTCTAAATGTATTCAAATTTAGTTAAATTCCTCCAGTGTGGACATTTTATTTTATTAGTATATTTTTTACTATATTTTAATATAGATCAGCAGCACATAAAAAGACATTTAAAAAAACAAACAGAACATGAAGGCATATCTCATATCTAAACATGCCTAGTGCCCAGGAACCTCAACTACATTTTGTGCTTATGTAGGTAGAAATCTCAGGGTTCCTGGTAAATATTGGCCAGTATTTATTTACTGAGTTAATTTGGCTGGCTGAGAAATCTTCCTTCTCTGTTGCTGAGCTGGGCCATTCTTGCCTGCTAGTGGACAAACCCATCTGGAAAGCTGTGCAGGGTAGAAATGCAGGGCAAGCGTTCTGCAGTCGGATCGACCTGGGTTTGGTACTTGAATCTTCTGGTCAGAAGTAACAGTACCATCAAGAACTTTCAGCTGTTAAGTAACCTATTCAGATTGGCAGGAGATCAGAGTCACCTGATTCTTTTGAATATTCCAAGTTCATAGGCTGGGCACTCCAGAAGAATCAGCTCCACACAGCCTTTTCCAGGGCATTTGGGCTGAAAGTACAAATCACGGCTGGTTTCTCTTTTCATTAACTCTAGGAAAAACGTAAAATAGAAACTTCTTCCAGGAAGAGGGTGTGAGGCATAAATAATAGGCAAAAATAATAGAATTAGAGAATGAGGTCTTGAAATTAGTCCACGTACCCATCTAATACTCAGATCTCTCATGCAACATTTCATCCAATTGGTCATATGCTTAAGGCTCCCCAGTGGCAGCAATCACAACTGCCCAATAGCATTCATTGTCTTTGGAAATTTCTGGCAGCTAGAATTATATCTTCTAATGTGCCAATGTCTATCACTTAGTGATTTGGTCATCAAGATTTGCATGCATATTTGAAAGGAGCTATGCTGTTAAGATTTCTGAAAAGACGTATTTTATTGTCACATTTTCTTCTCACATAAACTCTCAGAAGAAAGTATTATCATTAGTTCCTATTCTAGAAATGAGAAAACAGAGGCTTGATGTGGTTAAATGACTTGCGGTAGGTGGCCGCATTACCTTATGAACTGGGAATGAATGAATGTCTGTGCTTTAAAGTATCACTGTGGCAGAGAAAAAATATTAACCTACTCTTCTTGAGTACAAACACATTTATTTGTGACAGTGATACTGTTGTTAATACCATATTTGATAAAAATCGTGTGACAATGATTTGAAGTTGGCCACTGATAACTACCATCATTGCTTTTTCTCCCATGCTAGTTTTTAGATTTCCTGTGGATAAATACTCTGTCTTTTCAATATTTCAGTAAAGCTCAGTGCCAGACACATAATTGCTCAGAACAAAATTGATGAAAGAGTATATGCATGAAATATTCTTCCTATAAATCTTAACAAATGGGCTATTTTTGCAGAATAATATTTCACTTTAATAAAATCAAAGTCTGTATTTTTCTGAAGACCATGAGTCCAGGAAAGCATTTTCAATTAAGTATGTGTGAAATCATCCAGAGATAGAGCTGACTCACCTCTCAGGGGTCATTTCTCCAACATAACGTGTCCAACAAACCAATCAACCAATTAACCAATCAACCAACCCGCCCCCCCCAAAAAAAATCAAACGAAGCTCTGAGCCAGGGGTGATGCAATTTATAAACACATACTAAAAAGTTTCCTGTGCTGTGTGTACATGATGTGCCTTTTGCTTTCCCTGAACCACTATACTAAATCAATAGTCCTCTCCTCTGTCAAAGATATTAAAAAACAAGAACAATGGTGGAAAAATTGAACCTTGGCCTCCTGTTCCTGGGATACAATTATTTCTCCCCACTAAAACTTAGAAATTGTATCACTTTGGCTAATTCCCCAGGAAAGCAACAACAGGTGTGGAAGGGACCCACAGAAGGGAGGAATGTAATACATGTCTACTTTATTTTGGCATGTAATGAAGGCTCTGGGATTCTCACTTCATTTCTTCTTATTACTTCTAACATTCCTCTTTTTCAAATTTAAGTTTCTGCCATGAATTACACACTTTCACTGCCCGTATTCAGAGAGGTTTAGGTTTACACTCCATTGTGATCCAATGCTTCAATTTCATCCAATCCAATCCAATCCTGGAATGCTTATATATTTCTGGAGCATTCTGAGCCCTTAAACTTCTAAACAGAAACAGCCAGGTTTTCCCTTTGTTCTGGAACTAGAAGCACAGCCTCCAGTAATTACACGAGGTCACGATTAACCTCTTTAAACATGCCCTTTTGCCCTTCGAATGATCCAAATTCAATATCCTCAAAGTCCTAGGGCTGTGGGGTTTGAAAAAATGCCAAGCGAGTTGGAAAAGTACACAGAATTTTAATCCTTATCAGACTAAAACTCCTTTTCAAAGGGAAGATGGTTGGGTTACAGAAAGCTGTAATCAGTAACAATAGAGAATTTCCATTTAAGCACTCATTCAAGCAGAACTAGAGGGCAAAATGTGTTCTTGTACCCATTTGTTCTACATGTAAATTAGTGGTTTTGTTTTTGTCTATCATTTTAAAGAATATAAAAAGTCATGAACAAAATATTCTTAAGATGGCAATCTTTAAATAACAAATATGCTTTTACTACTTTTACCTTCCTACTTCTATTTCACTAATTCTTATTGTCAGATTACTTTATAATCCGATCCTTGCTTACCCTTTTGAATGTATATACCATTTATCTGCCTCTATTTTTATTATTTGGAGATTGTTTTCATTGTTTTTCTTTCCCTTTTCTCTGTCATTATGTACTGAAAGAATGCTATGAGACCCCCAGGATTCACTGATGGGCCCATTAGAGAAAAGAAAAGGGCTCAAAGAGATTTGTTTTTGCATAGGCAAATTACTTATTCTCTTTATGCTTTTGATTCCTAGTCTGTAATTAGACTAATAACAGTATCTATCTCAAAAGTTTATGAGGCTTAAATGATTCCAATCAAGTTTTATATAATGCTGGGCACATAGTAAACACTAAATACCAGGCTTATTACTAACATTATTTTTGTCTTCGTTATTGAAACATGTTGTATAAGATATTTGGCCAAATGCTGTCAGGGATTCAAAATATTAGTAAGACATGGTTTTTGCCTTCAAAGAACATACCATCTATGGTAAAGTTGAGATATATATACAGATAACTAAGAAGAATAGTAGAAAATTCTTTAAGGGTGGTTTTAATAAAGTGCCTGGGTAGCTGGGAAAAGGCTCAGGATTCCTTCTCTTTGGAGGAATCATCGAAAGCTTTAGTAAAGTGATAGTATGTTTTTCTAAATCTTGACAGAGCATTTAAGCATCATTAAATTACTAGAGGAGAGCATTCCAGGTAAAAATTATGGTGTGAACAATATGAATAACGACATGGGACTATGTAGAAAGAATAATTGGTCACTTGATATGATTGCAATTAAGGTACACACAGTCGAAATGGGAAAGTATACTGGAATAAGAGTAGACACCTTTGAGCATTAAGCTACAGCATTTGGTTTTCTTTTGTTGGCATTGGGGCGATATTCTAAGTTTTGAAGCCAGCTGGTGAAAGGATATTGCAATAAAAATATTAAGCTGAAAATAATGAGACCTTAGACCTGGAAGGACTCTTAGACATCATTTAGTCCTACGCTCACATTATATTTTTGTAATTGGAAAAACAAAAGCACACTTGTGTGTGCATGTACCCAAAAGTGTTATATGCTCATTAGGGAAAAGAAAATCTACCTCTGAAGTCACAAAAACTGAGTTATATTATTCTATATTACCTATAATTTGTATACATTAAAAGTAGTACTTGCTATTTCTTACCTAATCTTTGTTTATCCAATTAGCTTGTGCATTATTCTATTGGTTATTTGAATTTGTGTGTCACTTCATGTCCTTAGCCTATTTCTTGTAAGACTTTCTCACGAATTTCTCTGTGTTTTTTATATTGTTTTGTAAAAGCACTCTATGTCTTATGGGTGACAAATATGTTAACAGGTTTCCTAATATCAACCCATCCTTCAATTTCTAAAATTCAATTCTCTCAATTTGGCTATATTCCTTTTATGTGCTGATATATTTGACTTTATACTTAATGAAATGTATAAATGGGACACTTTCAACATTTCAGCAGTCTCCTCAAAGGCCATACGTGAAGAAAATTAGTGCATTTCCCAGCTTCCAAACTGAGGTGCTGGTCCACTTATACAGGGTTTGCAAAGGAAATGATAAAGGCTTGTTTTGCCTCCTTAGCCCATATACACCTCTTGAAGGTAAAAATAAATTAAGAAAGAAATGGAAATAACAGAGAATTTCCCTGGAGAATGTTGTTGGCTTTTGTGTCATTGTTTTTCTCCCTTCACTCCCCACGTGGAACAGAGGATGAAGTGCTTTCCCTTACCTCGTGCTAAGTAACAAGGACTTGAACATATGACATCTGTCCCTCGCAGTTTGGTTAAAAAAATTCTTGGGATATTGCATTTTGCCAAGGTCATAATAATGCGGTCTGCCAGAACTTTACCTGTTGCCAAGGGAAAAGCCTATTTTTCCTCCTGTTGAACCAGGGCGTGATGTGACTGCTCTGACTGGAGAACACAGAGAAATAATACTGCTGCTGTGTGACTTCTGAGGCTATATCATAAAATGAAAGAGTCTTTGTCTAACTTTCTTTATTCAGGATGCTTATTCTGGGGATGCCAGTCACCTTGCTTTGAGGAAGTCCAACTTAGTCCACATGGAGGGGATACTTGGAGAGGAGCTGAGACCCCAGTCAAGAGCCTGCATTAGGCACTGACATGGGTGAACTACTTTTAGCTGATCCTAGCCCCTAGGCTTTCAGTCTTACAGCTGAGCCCCTCAGCAAACTTCCTGGAATAGTCTCTTAATACCTTGACTCAGAATCCTCTAGCATAATATATGGTCATCTGGCACACATAAGTTTTAAGGTAATTTGTTATGCAGTCTCAGTAACTAGAAGAGAAACACATTTCATCCCTACCTGTGGAAGACTGAAGATGAAAGGCTGAACCTGGAGTTACATGGTTGTGGCAAAGCAAAGTTATAAAGGGCAATACATGAGCAAACTGCACATGCAGGACAAGGATGTGTGATCCCTTGAAGAAGAAAAGACAGAAGAAAAGATAGAAGGCGGGAAGAGGCCAAGAAGCCAACCTGAAAGAGATTTGGCCAGAGAGAGATGTCTAGAGAGGCAAAGTGACGCTATAGAGGGATGACTGACATTGCATAGTGGTTGAGGGAAAAATAGCCAGCGTAAAGGAAGACCTTAGGCTACCCAAGCAGCATATCTAAGAAACCCTGACGAAGACTATAGGAAAAAAAGGTTTATATGCCTTTGAAGGCCTCAGACACACATGTCAGAATCCAGCTGTATTCACCCAGTTCTACTGTATTCTTTGCCACCTTGTCCACTTCCCTCAGGTCCACATGGAAGTTAGCAAGGAGGGGAGACGAAGGGAAAGAGCAAGTGAAGTGGAGAAGAATAGTGGATCACATGCCTCACTCACTGCAGCCTTTCCAACAAAAAGTTGTATCCAAAGGAGGGAAGAGAAAAGCTTTAAGAAAAGCTCAGAATCATGGTTACAATGGAATGGCCATTTTAGTTATGATGGAGCTTATATTCTACTTGGAGAGAAGAGGCAATAAGCAAATTAACAAGTAAAGTACATGCTAGGTATGCTGGGATATTGCTATGAAGGAAAATATAGAAGGATCATTCTGAATAGACAGCAGCAGCAGCAGCAAGGAGAACAATGTAAGCAAAAGAAATAAATCCATGAATTTGTACACACCCACATATACATGACAGACAAATACACATGCATGTTTATGTGTACTATATTAGCTCAGGCTGCCATAACAAAAACAAACAAACAAAACAAACAAACAAAAAAACACAGACTGGTTGTCTTAAACAATAGACATTTATTTTCCTGCAGTTCTGGAGGCTGAAAGTCTGAGATTAGGGTGCCAGCAGAATCAGGTTCTAGTGAGGGCTCTCTTCCTGTCTTGCAGATGGCCTTCTTGCTATGTCCTCACATGGTGGAGAGAGCTGCTGTTTCTTCTTTTAAGAACACTCATCCCATCAGACAAGGGAGTGAGGGTTTCAACATATGAATTTGGGGTGGACACAAACACTTGGTACATAACATGTATACACACACACACACACACACACACACACACACACATGCACATGTGTCAGGGATGGCTCTCAGAGAAACCGTATTTGATCAGAGAGCTAAAGGAAGTGAGGTTGTGAGCCACAGGGTTATCTTGAAGAAGAGCATTCCAAGGACAGGGGAAACTTCCTCAAAGACCAGTAAGCCAGAGTGTTCTTGGTGC
Organism: Homo sapiens; assembly: GCF_000001405.40. NCBI lineage: Eukaryota > Metazoa > Chordata > Mammalia > Primates > Hominidae > Homo > Homo sapiens. Next base: position 228,834,979 of record NC_000002.12, on the reverse strand, counting down.
ACTCAAGGGACAGGGCAGAGGCCAGTGTGGCTGGGTAGATGGGAGAGAGCTAGGAAGAGAAAAATCACAGGTGATGGGATTAACAGGAAATTAGGGACTAGATCATGTGAGGCCTGTATCTTAATCTAAGTGAGAAGAAAAGTCACAGGAGAACTTGAGTAGAAGAGCAATATGGCATAAAAAGTAACCTTTAGACAATGTGATATGATGATTAGGAGCACAAATACTATAGGATTTTTGAAGCATTTTTAAATAGATAACAATAGGACTTGCCCGATAAAAGAAATGCTTTAAGTCACATTTTATAGATATTTGATGGCTTTGCTTTTAAACGAAGTCAGTGATATTTAGTCACCTTTTAAATAAAAAAAAAAATCGTACAATACACTCCCTAAACAATCTTTCTCCGTTATTGTGAGCCTTCATTATTTAAATGTAATTTGTGGAAGTTAAATACTTAACTAAAAATAGGCGAATGGTTAACATTTTAATCAATGTGACTATTATATGTGGATTCCAATGTAAAAATGTAGAATATTTTTCAGAATTATTGCCTATATATTATTATAGAGAAAAACAGAAAAATATTACTATCAGGACCTTTTCACCTTGACCTTGAAATGAAACCACGCCCTTCAGTTTTCTGTTTGCTTTTTGTATTCATAGCACAGTCTTGCCCTCGCAATATCAATTTCTCAACATGTTTTGAAGGGAAGAAGTTGTAGAGGCAAACTTACAAAACAAAACTTCTGTGATCAGATATGAGTTTCTCACCTGAGCCCAAGAGTCAGATACAATGCTGTGATGGAGCTGTGATTTTTTTCCAGATTACACTAGCTTCTAAGAAACTATGAAAGGTACTGTTGCTATTTTTCTCTCCTTTCTGTTCAGGTTCCACATGTATTCTCAGTGATACAATTTTTCTATGTCATACAAAGCAAGGAGAATTCAAAGAAATTGTGTGTTGAATAAAAAGGAAAAGAAAATTTTCTTAGTTATGTACTGAGAAATAAAAGTGAAATCAGTAAGCATATTTTATTTTTTAATTTGCTTATTACATTCCAGCACTTCATAGCAAATTTCAACAATGTCTGGTATCTGGGGATTTTTAAAAACTGAATAAAATTTGATGGAGTATTCTAAGAAAGGGATTACAAAATTCAGGATCACCCCTCCACTGAAACAGCACTGACCAGATTAACCAACTTTTTCCAGTAGCTGAGCAGTTACAAATCATATTGATATTGATTTTCAAGGGCCTATTATTTTTATGAAAGAAAAGTGGTGGTAGAGTTTCAATTATATGATGAAACAGGCTAAGAAACATCCCAAATAATCAATTTTGGCTTCTCTCATGAGGTGGTATGTGTTCTGGCATCACTCAGACAGTGGCTTCAAATGTACTGATAGCCTGGCTCCTCAGTTAAAGGAGCTTTCACCGCTCTGTGGAGAAATGGGCTGAGTAAAATGTGTTTGTTTGTTTGTTTGTTCGGTTGTTTTAAAATAGTAAATACATCCAAGTTAAAAGACTGTCCTATATAAAAAATTCTCTTTCCTATATTTTTGGTGTTAAAATATTTTCATTTCTTAGGAAATGATTAGTAATATTTCTTTCTGGAAATTTCTTTCATTTGTTGCTATAATTTGGTTATTGGTCCCCTCGAAATCTCATGTTGGAATGTGGTCTTCAGTATTGGAGGTGGGGCTCGCTGGGAGGTGTTTTTATCATGTGGGCAATCCTTCAGGAATAGATGAATGCTCTCCTTGGGAGGGGGAAGTGAGTGAGTTTTCTTTTTTTTTTCTTTTCTTTTATTATTATTAAAGTTTTATTATTATTTAAGTTTTAGGGTACATGTGCACATTGTGCAGGTTAGTTACATATGTGTACATGTGCCATGCTGGTGTGCTGCACCCATTAACTCGTCATTTAGCATTAGGTATATCTCCTAAAGCTATCCCTCCCCCCTCCCTCTACCCCACAACAGTCCCCAGAGTGTGATGTTCCCCTTCCTGTGTCCATGTGTTCTCATTGTTCAATTCCCACCTATGAGTGAGAATATGCGGTGTTTGGTTTTTTGTTCTTACGATAGTTTACTGAGAATGATGATTTCCAATTTCATCCATGTCCCTACAAAGGACATGAACTCATTATTTTTATGGCTGCATAGTATTCCATGGTGTATATGTGCCACATTTTCTTAATCCAGTCTATCATTGTTGGACATTTGGGTTGGTTCCAAGTCTTTGCTATTGTGAATAGTGCCACAATAAACATACGTGTGCATGTGTCTTTATAGCAGCATGATTTATAGTCCTTTGGGTATATACCCAGTAATGGGATGGCTGAGTCAAATGGTATTTCTAGTTCTAGATCCCTGAGGAATCTCCACACTGACTTCCACAATGGTTGAACTAGTTTACGGCCCCACCAATAGTGTAAAAGTGTTCCTATTTCTTCACAACCTCTCCAGCACCTCTTGTTTCCTGACTTTTTAATGATCGCCATTTTAACTGGTATGAGATGGTATCTCATTGTGGTTTTGATTTGCATTTCTCTGATGGCCAGTGATGATGAGCATTTTTTCATGTGTTTTTTGGCTGCATAAATGTCTTCTTTTGAGAAGTGTCTGTTCATGTCCTTCACCCACTTTTTGATGGGGTTGTTTGTTTTTTTCTTGTAAATTTGTTTGAGTTCATTGTAGATTCTGGATATTAGCCCTTTGTCAGATGAGTAGGTTGCGAAAATTTTCTCCCATTTTGTAGGTTGCCTGTTCACTCTGATGGTAGCTTCTTTTGCTGTGCAGAAGCTCTTTAGTTTAATTAGATCCCATTTGTCAATTTTGGCTTTTGTTGCCATTGCTTTTAGTGTTTTAGACATGAAGTCCTTGCTCATGCCTATGTCCTGAATGGTAATGCCTAGGTTTTCTTCTAGGGTTTTTATGGTTTTAGGTCTAATGTTTAAGTCTTTAATCCATCTTGAATTAATTTTTGTATAAGGTGTAAGGAAGGGATCCAGTTTCAGCTTTCTCCATATGGCTAGCTAGTTTTCCCAGCACCATTTATTAAATAGAGAATCCTTTCCCCATTGCTTGTTTTTCTCAGGTTTGTCAAAGATCAGATAGTTGTAAATATGCAGCGTTATTTCTGAGGGCTCTGTTCTGTTCCATTGATCTATATCTCTGTTTTGGTACCAGTACCATGCTGTTTTGGTTACTGTAGCCTTGTAGTATTGTTTGAAGTCAGGTAGCGTGATGCCTCCAGCTTTGTTCTTTTGGCTTAGGATTGACTTGGTGATGTGGGCTCATTTTTGGTTCCATATGAACTTTAAAGTAGTTTTTTCCAATTCTGTGAAGAAAGTCATTGGTAGTTTGGTAGCTTGATGGGGATGGCATTGAATCTATAAATTACCTTGGGCAGTTTGGCCATTTTCATGATATTGATTCTTCCTACCCATGAGCATGGAATGGTCTTCCATTTGTTTGTATCCTCTTTTATTTCCTTGATCAGTGGTTTGTAGTTCTCCTTGAAGAGGTCCTTCACATCCCTTGTAAGTTGGATTCCTAGGTATTTTATTCTCTTTGAAGCAATTGTGAATGGGAGTTCACTCATGATTTGGCTCTCTGTTTGTCTGTTATTGGTGTATAAGAATGCTTGTGATTTTTGTACACTGATTTTGTATCCTGAGACTTTGCTGAAGTTGCTTATCAGCTTAAGGAGATTTTGGGCTGAGACAATGGGGTTTTCTAGATATACAATCATGTCATCTGCAAACAGGGACAATTTGACTTCCTCTTTTCCTAATTGAATACCCTTTATTTCCTTCTCCTGCCTAATTGCCCTGGCCAGAACTTGCAACACTATGTTGAATAGGAGTGGTGAGAGAGGGCATCCCTGTCTTGTGCCAGTTTTCAAAGGGAATGCTTCCAGTTTTTGCCCATTCAGTATGATATTGGCTGTGGGTTTGTCATAGATAGCTCTTATTATTTTAAGATATGTCCCATCAATACCTAATTTATTGAGAGTTTTTAGCATGAAGTGTTGTTGAATTTTGTCAAAGGCCTTTTCTGCATCTATTGAGATAATCATCTGGTTTTTGTCTTTGGTTCTGTGAGTGAGTTTTCATCTTATGAGTTCTTGTGAGAGCTGGTTGTTAAAAAGAGCCTGGCACCTCCCCTTGTGCTCTGTTGCTTCTTCTCTCCCTATGTGATCTCTGCACATGCCTTTGGCCATGAATACAAGCAGCCCGAGGCTCTCATCAAAAGCAGAGCAGATGGCAGTGCTGAATTTCTTAATTCATGAATGTATATTCCAGGCCACCACTGTAAGGTTTGTGTCATATATGGAGGGGTATCTCTCTGGTCAATAAATAAGTATTGAGAAAGTGGTTATGCTCAAAACTGATCTAAAATATCATGAAAGAGGAGACTAGAGATGATAGTGGAAATGCTGTTTTCCTTTTTGGGAGTCCTTCCTCCAGATCGCCTAATGGCATTTGTACTAGTTGGTGTCACTCTCTTTCCAGGTAAAGGGGACGCTGAGTTTGCAGGAAGTTAAGGGTCGCAAAAAATGACGCTATTCTAGATATTGTAAACAGGAAAAAACTTAGTACCAAGAAATAGATGTTTGCAGAACTATCAGAAGTGTTGGAGAAGTGAAGGTTGAGGAAAACCTCTGCTAACATTTTGGGAATCAGGAATTACTGGGGCCATAGGATGCTGCCTCCAGTGATTTCTGCTGCCTGCTGAAGAGGGCAATTCACAGAACTTCTGGAAACCGCTGAACTTCTCATGACTGTAGTCTGCCTACCATATTATAGCTTCTGCTTTTCTTTCACTTTCTACATTTCACAGAATTGTCTTTCTTTGCAGGAGTTTGAACCTGTATCATACAAGTAAGGGTGTCTATAAAATGTAGTTACAGGGTTTTAGCCTTTGAATTGTGGAGGAAAGTTGGGGGTACAGTGACGGTGGTGTGCTAACAACAGATTTTAAGGACAGTCACCTAGCTGTGATCCTTTCCCATTTCCTTTTTTTATCAGAGCCCTGATTGGGATCAAGCATCTACTTCATCCTTTGCTCCAGAAAGAGCTAAATTTTGTTATGGAATTAACCCAGTGATGATAAATGTGGTTGGGGTGGGCATATAACTTATGTGTAGGGGGCATATCTCTGTGTGTATTAGTGTGTTCTCATGCTGCTCAAAAAGACATACTCAACACTGGGTAATTTATAAAGGAAAGAGGTTTAATGGACTCACAGTTCCACATGGCTGAGGAGGCCTCAAAATCATGGCAGAAGATGAAGGAAGAGCCAAGGGGCATCCTACATGGCGGCAGGCAAGAGAAAGTGCTTGTGCAGGGACTCCCATTTATAAAACCATCAGATCTTGTGAGACGTTCACTATCACAAGAACAGCACGGGAAGACCTGCCCCCATGATTCAATTACCTCCCACCAGGTCCCTCCCACGACATGTGGGAATTATGGGAGCTACAATTCAAGATGAGATTTGGGTGGGGACACAACCAAACCATATCACTGTGTCTCTGCTTTCTATTTAACATGCACAAAGAAGCATGTAACTTAAATTTTCATAGGCAGTCATTCTGAAGCCATGACAAGACCAGGATGAAGTAGATATTAAGGAAAAAATAGCGAAGAGACAGAAAAATATAACTTTTTTAAAAAAAATTACATAATTTTGCAACTCTTCATATTATTTCTGAAGACTCCCTACTTCTGAGTATTTTATGTGTAAAAGTAAGTTTCATTATTGTTTAAGCCAGTTTCTGTCCTGGTTTCTGCTACTTTTGAAAGCATCATAACTATTAACCCTGACTCAATTTCTGTGCTTTGAAATCCAACAAACTATAGGTGACAAAGGAAGGAGGTAGACAGGTGTTTTTGTTTTCAGAAATTTCTCTGAGTAATTATTTCCATGATGAAAATACCAGGTACCACAAAAAACTAAGACTTGGGGGGTGGGTGTCATTGAGCCCCTTGGTTCTATTCAGATTATCTGGCAGCTCCCAGCTCTGAGTAGATACAAAGCCACATCCTTTCATATCTTTGCTTTGAAGGAGTCTGTGTTTTAAAATCTTCCTATATCCCTGCTGAGTAGGCTGAGCTAGAGGACATGAACAAGACCTTAAGGGCAAGATTTGATAATAAAACTCATGGTGGAATGGGACCCAGTCATTTATGGAGGGCAGTCATAGATGCTGTCTGCTTCCAGAGTGTTATGACACGGTCAGCATGTTTTTATGGTACATAGTGACAAAGACTCTCCCTGACCAAACTAGTCAGGCTTCTTTGAACCCTGTGCTCAACTAGGCCTTGGCCTTCCCTCCTGGCAGAATCCAGTATTAGCAAGAATCCTGCTAGGTCAGTTTAGCAAGAGCCCTCACGCCCTTGATCTCTGATCACCCTGGCCTGCTCTTAGCAAGAATCCTGTGTGGTCAGTCCAACAAAAATGCCCCCTGTCCTTGATGTCTCCTGTTAGTAATTTTCCCTCTGCCAACATCCATCCCCATCCCACCTGCTCCTTGGCTAGAGATTTCCACTTTTTCTTGTATTTGAAGTGGAGCCCCATCTCTCCCCGGTTGCTTGCTACAGTCTTGACACCTATTGCAATAGTCCTGAATAAAGTCTTGAATGAAGTTTTCCTTACCATTTTAGCAAGTGTCGGAATAACTTTTCTTTAACAATTGAAGTGGTTCAAGGAGTTGGAAATGAGGTGACCTGAGCCTAAAGTGGATCCTGGTTTGTCCAGAAGTTTCTTGTTTTTTTTTTTTGCACTAAAAAGCTACTTCTAAGAGACTAAAGCTCTAGGCTCTGGAACATTCAGAAATAGTTTGTTGTGTAAGCCACCAAGTCTATGGCATTTTTGTCATAGCAGCTGGAGCTATGACAGTGTGTAAACTTTGTCTTTTCATGATTGAATTAATGTGAGTATTTTATGTGCAGAATGTGTTGTGGTGTAAGAATGGAGATGGTGAGCAAAGAAGCTAAGGGCTCCAAGATGAACACTTTTGTACACTTCTGACTGCTGTAGAAACACATCGCTTATCTGAACTGTCAGTACCTCGGACTCTTTACCAGGGAAAAAGGATTGGCAATTTGTTTTGATCATCACACTGAATAGCAGTGGAAAATGCCTAATAATTTTGAACTGAGATGTAAGGTTGATAGGATAAAAACAGGAGGGGAGCTTAGGCATCCAAAGACATTATCAAACTAGAATTAAAGAAAACACAAGTAACGGACCAAAGGCTTTAGAGGCGCTACAACATGCAGTTGGTTGCTTCACATGAATAACTTTCTCCTTCCCTCTCCCTCTTCCAGTCTGAACCTCATCTGACTTATTTGCATTTTGATCCCAAAGGGAAGATCTCAATGTTTAGAAAAATCCCTCATTTTTTGCTGTTACTCATAAATGATCAATAGCCACAATAATGAAAAACATAACAGGAAGTTCTTTTTGGCAGTCATTCCTAACAATTTCGGGACGACTGCTCAGCTGTTTATGATACAAAGCTGTTTAATTTTGGGAAACTGTAACACAGGTAAAATATGGTCTCAAAATGAAGTGATTGAGGCTTTTGAATGTTTTTTAACTCTACGGTTGGCCTTTTTAGACTCACAGGCACTGAACTCCTTATCAGCCTGTTTTAGACACCAGTCAAACCAGTTGTGTTTTAAAATGCATCTGGCAGGCATTATAACCATACTAAGATGACTTCATTCTAACAGTCCTGCCTCAGGCAGAAGGTTGCTTCCTGAAATGCTCTGGCAATTACAGAATCTTAATACTATATTCACTTAGACAAAGTGTCTCTCTTTTTCAGATATACATATTTATTAATTCCCAAAAGTCTACAATGGTAAGTCAGCCCCCTACTTTCATTCTCTTGGAGACTGAATATTTCCTGACCACCTGCTCTAAATCAGAAGACTGAGTAACCTTCTAATAACACATCAGTTACCCACTTCTGAGGCCTCTTTGATTCCCAAATTTCAGTGTGCATCACCTGCACAGCTTGTCAGATCATGGTTTCCTCAGTCTCATTGCAAGATTTTGTTTTAATAGGACAGAGTTGGGTCCTGAGACTGATTTTCTAACACATTCCTCAGTGATGCTGACACTAACTGTCCATGAACCATGACGTGGAAGACACCAAAAGGACTTTCCATCTTGGACTTGAAGTGATAGTAGGCTATGAATCCTCATCCTGAGGGTTCGTGAAAGCCTGTTCCAAGCAGCGTACGTGGGCACCATGACCCGCACTGCCATACCATTTTTACTTGTACTGCCATCCCAGTAACATACTCTGCTGCAGGAGCCAAGAGTTAGCAGCAGTGTTAAATATCAAGTTTCCCATGGCCCTGGTCAGACAAGTTCCAAAGCTCATGGTGAGATACAGGGCTCTCTGGGCACATACTAGGGATCAGGGCTACATTTTTACAAATTGGTTGGTAAGTCAAAGAAGTAGCCCAGTACAGAAATAGGATGATGAACTCCTTGTGATTTCATTTTTTAAAGACCCACAGGAAGTATACACTCACACATATGCCTATGAAATTATATAAATACATATATACATATATAATCGTATTTAATAATGTATATACACATACAATCATATATAAATACACAATACCTATATAACCATTTAATATATACGTATGCTATCATATGTGTGTGCACACATACGCACCACACACACACAATTAACCCATTAATGCACTTTCACACACATCCATCTTTAAGTTGATGGAACATTTTTTCCCCTCTTATTTATTAGATGCTCATTGCCATTTGTGTCTTAATTTCCTCTTCAAAGCTGCCTTTAATAGTCACCTTTTAAAAATATGTTTCATGTATAAAGATGCTGAGCAGGCTCACGCCTGTAATCACAGCACTTTAGGAGGCGGAGGTGGGCAGATCACAAGGTCAGGGGATCAAGACCATCCTGACGAACACGGTGAAACCCCGTCTCTACTAAAAATACAAAAAAATTAGCCGGGTGTGGTGGCGGGCGCCTGTAGTCCCAGTTACTCGGGAGGCTGCGGCAGGAGAATGGCGGCGTGAACCCGGGAGGCGGAGCTTGCAGTGACCCAAGATCGCGCCCCTGCACTCCAGCCTGGGTGACAGAGAGAGACTCTGTCTCAAAAAAAAAAAAAAAAAAAAAAAAAAATGCTGAGCAGTTTGGGGCTAGTGGTGTGGTACAATGTGATATTGCTTGCTGGGCACTTTCTATCAGGGCACCTGACACTGGCAGAGAATGGCTACCATGTCCCTATTCTATGTGAGAGGAAGCCTAGAGGAAGAAGCTGGTCTCTGAATTCTTGCCTCAGGCCTATAGGAAATGTTAACTCCACTAAAGGAAAAATTCTGATAGGAAAGGGATGTCCTTCTCTCTTGAATGTCATCAGAAGGAGAAGTAGGAGCCCCCTAACCTACCTGTTATTCAGAATATGACAAAGGAACATTTTTCCCAAGGATATTATGTCAGAGACATGACTGTTCTCAACAGTATTGTTTTCAACTATTTTCTTAGAGTGCACGAAGGGTCATTTTTATTGGTTCTCAATGTAAACCAGGGTCATAAAGCCAAAGTGCAATTTAGTGAATGCAATTTGATAGAGGAAAGAATTGGAGAATTTCTGAGATTATTGATATTCTTCTATCTGTTGCCCTCTTCCTTGTAAATAGTCCATTTCAGCAACAAAGGTGAAGCCATGGATAGGCTAGCTCTCAGTCCTTTCTTGACATTTATAAAGCTGGGCTGCTTTGTGTGAAGGTCAGGCGGTCTTCCTTTCGGTATGGATTCATGTCTGGCTTCTCCGCTTTCATAAGAGTCCATCAAGTCAAGGCTTAGCTCTGCTCTCTTCCAAGGAGTTGTCAGGGACTAAAAGCCCAAACTCGCTGCTCCCAGTTCAGAGAACCTTATTTGTAGACAACTTCCTAAAGAATATGCTTTTGCCTTTTTCTCTAGACTGTCTAAAATTTGTCTTTGATTCAGTAGCACCACCAGAGAGCTGTTAATATATTAAGATGCTGGTAAAACTATTTCAACTTGACAATACTTCTTATTTGTTGGCTATTATTTTGTTGCCTAATTTAAGACATATCAGTAAGAGCAGAAGGGGTCTACTTATCCCACTGGTTTCATCAGCATCAAAAATAAAGCTCTGAATGGCATTCTTGAGAATTCTGTGATTTAAAATGTTCTCAGAATTCTCTCTTTGTAAGTGAATCATTGACTTAATGAAAATTAAACTGTAATTGTATTTCTAAGTCTATCCAGTGAATACTTATTAAGGCAGTTACATTTATGTTTATGAATTAGGAATTTAACCAATAGCAGTTTTATTGTGCAACTCATGAAACCGAGGGCTCTACATGGACCTCTCTTGGTACAAAATCATATTCATTGAGACTTCAACATGGTATAATACCTATAATTGTAGAACTGCAAATTTTAAGGCTTTTGGAAAAAAACATGCTAAAAGGGAAGTTCATCCTTTGTGCATAGTAAACTTTCTCCCAATTATCAGCTTTCTTATATTCTTGAAAGAAACAACAATGACAGGCTGCGCATGGTGGCTCATGTCTGTAATCCCAGTAGTTTGGGAGGCTGAGGCAGGCAGATCACGAGGTCAGGAGTTCAAGAACAGCCTGGCCAACATGGTGAAAACCCGACTCTACTAAAAAATACAAAAATTAGCCAGGCATGGTGGCACTCTTCTGTAATTTCCGCTACTTGGAAGGCTGAGGCAGGAGAATTGCTTGAACCTGGGAGGCGGTGGTTGCAGTGAGTGGAGATCGTGCTGCTGCACTCCAGCCTGGGTGACAGAGCAAAACTCTGTCTCAAACAAACGAACAAACAAACAAAGAAACAACAATGACAACAAACCCTCTTCATTGTTCTCTTCTCTCTGCCTTTCCAAGCCTCCTGTTCCCAGCTTGGGGGCTGTCTTCCCCTCTCTTCCCATGCAGACCCCTCCCCACTGCAGTGCTCTCAGTCCTCCCTTTCAACAAGGGGCTGGTAATTAGAGGAAGATTCCAACACCTGACTTTTCCCATTGGGTACAGCCACCTAAAAATTGCAATTCTTCACCAGTTCCAACAGCTTTTCAGAAAGGAGAGCCCATCTGGTATTCTGGAGAATATTCTTTTTTTCCAGTGGAATAATTTGTATATCCATCCTACAGGGTTGCTTCATGGTCATGTGACTGCACAAGTACACAGGGCCACGCTCTCTGAAGGGTCTGTTCCTTGGTGAAAGGCTCTGTTGTCACCATCTTGAAATTCCTAATACTTGTGAATAAGGAGCCCTGCATGTCCTTTCTCACTGCACCTGCAGCTGGCCCTGCCCTTGTGGCATCCCTCCGTTCCGAGGAGTTTGAGAAGTGAGGTAGCAACCGAGGAAAGGAAGCAGGACTGAAAACGTCACCAGATCTAGGTTCAAGAGAAAAGTTGGGGGAGGAAGGAAGGGAGAAGTTTTTGGGTGTCTGTTCACAGAGCTTCCCCACAGATTGCTTGTGCTTGCTTTATTGTGTTTCAGTGCTGAAAGACTGACAGGAGTTTCTTTCTCCTGATTCTGAACCTGAGGCTGAGCAGTTAGACTTTTATCAAAAATTATTAAGATGTGATAGTGACTTGCAGAACTTTGAAGCTCTGAAGAAAGGCCTGAGGCAATGATGGTTTGAGTTCACACTGAAAAGAAATCTAGCCTCTTTCAGTACTTATCCTGCAGGTCACATTTCAAAGCATTTAAACTTTATAATAAATTCTCTATTAGGTTCCTCTGCTAGGAAAACAAAAAGCATTTTCTTTAATCCCTAATCGACTTATTTATTTGTATGTGAATTGAAAATTTTGTTCCTCTTCCTTTTTTTAAAGAGTAATATAAAATTCTTTTTTTAATAAAAAAGTTATTTTATGTTCTTTGTTTTTGATTTCATAGAAATGTTTGGGAACAATATATAGAGATGTAGTAAGCATAGTTATTACTTCTAGAGTATTGTGTTGGACCCATGTTAATGGAGAGTTTATCATCTGAACTGAGCTGCCACAAGGTTGATGCCCCTGGGAAAGGAGCCCTTGTTTCCTCTTCACGTCCCCAGTATAACACAAGACGTGGCATACAAAAACACTCCATAAAAATTTATGGAAAGTATAGCATTGAAAATTTTGCTCAGGGGCCATGCACAGTGGCTCATGCCTATAATCCACAGAGTGATACCTTATCTCTACTAAAATTACGAAAAAAAAAAAATTAGCCAATCATGGTGGTGCACATCTGTAGTACCAGCTACTTGGAGAGTTGATGTGGGAAGATCTCTTGAGCCCAGGAGGTTGAGGCTGCAGTGAGCCATGATCACACCACTGTACTCCAGCCTGGGGAACAGGTGAGATCCTGTCTTAAAAAAATTTGAATTCCAGTAAAAAGACACAAAAATAATTTTAAAATGTCTTGCTTTATAGTAACATGTACTATTTATTGATTTGCAACAGGCACTTTACATAAATTACCTACACTAAGCCTTATGCTAACCTTATAAATTACTATTATGAGTTCCATTTTGAGATGGAGAATTGAGGTCCAAAGACATCAAGAGTCTTTCCCAGGTCCACCTATCTTTGAAAGTTTCTTAATAGACTTTGGCAAGTATATAACCTAATTATGAATAAGTATGTTTTCAATCTGAACAAGCTGTGGACTAATAACATTTTATACTCTACTGTAGAAAATTGAAAAATTGAAAATGGAAACATAAAGAAAATTACAACATTCCAAAGAGCCTCCTCATTGACTCACTATCAAAGGATGAGCAAATGGACAGGAAACTAATAAAGAGGATGCATGCTTCTCAGGAGTCAACTCAGACCCCCAGGAACACTGTTGCAGCCTCAATCTTCCAGGAATGGGGGAAATTTTAAACATTGAGGTAGTAAACAATAATAGGCAGTTTATGATATATAGTGACTCCAGCTTGAAGTCACCTTCTACTTCTGATGGCTCTTGGGTAATAGAAATTGACCCCAGGGTGAACAGGAAGGCAAGGTATAATAAGCCTGTGGTTCAAGCTACACAAAGGAACAGAGTACAGGGAGAGTCCTGATGCCAGCTCCCCACCGAGGGGCTCAGATCTTGTCCTTTTAAGTAAGTTGAGGTGGAAAAAAGGAGAGACATGTAGACATGTTTAGGCAGGGTCTTCTTTGCACCTGCATAGGAACTATCATGCCCTAACATGCGTTGCATGTACAGAAAATGGCAGATAGGACCTGCCTTGGGCAGAGATTTTAGTATTACAATGAGATTATAATGAGAAAAAAGTCAATGAAAGGTTACAGAAAAGTCAGTGAAAGGTCAGCACTGAAGTCCATCTTGTTGCCAACCAGCTGGATCTCGTGAGGTTCTTATCAGGAATGGCAGAGTCGCACGTTAGCAACCTTGGAAGACATTACACAAGGAGATAAATGGTTAGGTTCTTCCTTTTATGGTTAGGAATTTTGCCTGGTCTTCTAGGTTAGGAGGGGTCCCCATTTCTGCTACTGATTTGAGTCAGCTTGTTGAGGGAGACAAGGTAGGGGAGGTGATATGCCCAGACATGTGAGGCTCACTGGCATCCTAATTACAATGTCTCTTGTCTGCCAGGACCGAGTCTCCTCCCTAAACTGTCTTACTTCCCTTTTAAGTATTAATTGAAAATTGTAGATTAAAACAAAAATGAATCTCCCAAGGAGATGATTTGCAAATAATGTAAATAAATATCTGATATGGTTTGGCTGTATCCCTACCCAAATCACACATTGAATTGTAATAATCCCCACAAATCAAGGGTAGGGTCAGGTGGACATAATTGAATCATGGGGGCAGTTTCCTCCATACTGTTCTTGTGGTAGTGAATAAGTCTTACAAGAGCTGATGGTTTTATAAATGGGAGATCCCCTGCACAAGCCCTCCTGTCTGTTGCCATGTAGGACATGCTTTTGCTTCTCCTTTGCCTTCCACCATGGTTATGAGCCTTCCCCAGCCATGCTGAACTGTGAGTCCATTAAACGTTTTTCCTTTATGAATGACCCAGTCTTGGGTATGTTTTATTAGCAGCATGAGAACACTGACACAATATCTGTCCTCAGGAAGGTGGAGGATAACTCTCCCCTCCTTAAATGTGGGCTGCACATAGTGACTGCCTTTCAAAGAGGACAATATGGAAGGGGGCTAAAAGAGTCACTTGACAGTGGAGAAATCTGACAAATATGAGTTCAGCCAGGTGATCAAGGTCAACATCAACAATAATAAGACATGTTGACATTGTATACCCTTGACATGAAGTCATGAGATGGCACTTTACCTCCATGGTCGTACTCTCCAAAATCCAAACCACTATCTAACTATGAGAAAAGCATCAGACACATCCCAACTGAGGGTAATTCTACAAAACACATGACCAGTACCACTCAAAACTGTCAAAAAACTGTCATAAAAAACAGAGACTATGAGAAACTGTCAGAGTCAAGAAGATCCTAAGGAGACATGATGACTAAATGTAATATGATATTCCAGAAGGGATCCTGGAACAGAAAAAGGATGAGGTTAAACACTAAGGAAACTGAAAAAAGTTAATAAATACCCATATTCATTTATTAATTGTGACAAATGTAAAATATTAATAATAGAACTGTGTGTGTGGTATATAGGAACTCTACAATCTCCTCAATTTTTCTATAAATATAAAGCTTTTCTAAAATAAAGTGTTTATTAAAAAAAACAAGTAAAAGGAAGTTTTACTATAGACTTAGCCCTCTTAAATTACTAGAAAGCTTTCTTGATTGAGTTGTTTTTGCTACAAAACCAAAAGACATACTTGATGAACATTTCATAACCAACTTAATGATGATTACTTCCCATAAAACAGAAGAAGCCATGCTGTCCCATAATGAACCTGCTGCCTCTAGCATGCGCTCACCTCAGATTGAAAGCCGGAAGTCAGAGGCAGTTAGAAGGAGCAGATGGTGTCTGATGACCAGGCTGTGACTTCAGGTCTTTGGAAGGCCCAGGAAGTGAGGCATTCTTCCTCCTAAGTGCCTACCCTTCCTGAAGCAAGGGCTGAAAGAGCCAGGGGGGTTTAGTTTAGTGTGTTCCGAATGAGTTAATGGGTGACATACCAGTGAGTATTTTCTATCACATTAATTTTAATGTATTCTACTTGTCTGATGTAAAAGACTCAAAATGACCTCCCAGTGTTCCTAATTAGTGCTCTCAGTACAACTTCTTTATCATTTCTTAGAAGTGGCTTCTACTATGTTTCTAAATTTAGAAAAAATTACAATTTATAAGTTTTGCATGTATACTTTGGGGGTTGAATAAGGAGATTAATATCTATGTGGAATTATCATAAGTAAAACAATTGATGAAGATAATACAGTGTTAGAAAAGGTTTCATGAAACATTCTTAAAGACATGTGAACCACAAATTTTCTGTGGCAGATGCATAGGTACATGTCTTCCTTGTCAAACACTGATTAAAAGTGCTATGTGGCATGGAAGATAAGAAAGTAGCCCATGTTTATAAAACCAAACTGTAAATTTAACTGTAGGTATAAATCAGTAATCTCAATTTTGAAAATAATTCAAAGATTGCATATGTTGGTCTGTTATTTAAACATTATTTAGAATTTGGAGGTAAGCAGAACAAGACGGCAGAATAGAAGTCTCCACCAATCAACCCCCTCAACAAGGACAGTAATTTAACAACTATTTACACACAAAAAAATGCACCTCCAGAAGAACCAAAAATCAGGTGACCACTAAGAGTACTTGCTTTTAACTTCATATCACTGAAAGAGGCACTGAAGATGTAGAAAAATCAGTCTTGAATTGCTGATACCACCTTACCCCTAAACCCCAGCAGTGGCAGTGTGGCACAGAGAGCATTTCTGTGTGCTGGAATATGGAGGGGCATGCAGCAATTGTGAGGCATTGAACTCAGTGCTGTCCTGTTAGAGCAGAAAGGAAAACCAGACCAAACTCAGCTGACACCTGCCCATGGAGGGAGTATTTAAATTAACTCAAATCAGAGGGGAATCACTGATCCCAGCTGTCGGAACTTAGTTCCCACAAGCCTTGCCACCTCAGGCTAAAGTGCTTTGGCGCTCTAAATAAAATTGACAGATGGACTAGGTCCATAAAGACTGAAATTTTTAGGCAAGTCCTAGTACTGAACTGGGCCCACAGCTAGTAGACTGTAGGGATGGCACACAACCTACTGAGACACCAGCAGAGGTGGCAAAAGGAATGCTGGCGTCACCCCTCTCCTAACCACAGGCTGCACAGCTCACAGCTCCAAAAGATACCATTTCCTTCTGCCTGAGGAGAGGAGAGGGAAGAGTGGGGAGGACTTTGCCTTGCATCTTGGATACCAGCTCAGCCAACAGCAGAATAGAGCACTGGTCAGAGTCGTGAGGCCCCCTTTCGAAGCCCTAGCTCCCAGATGACATTTCTACACACCCCTTGGACCAGAAGGGAAACCACTGCCTTGAAGGGAAGAACCCAATTCTGGCAGCATTCATCACCTACTAACTGAAGAGTCGTTGGGCCCGAATAACCAGCAGTGATACCCAAGTACTACGTTGAGGGCCTTTGGTAAAACCTTGAGTTGTGCTAGCTTCAAGTGAGACTTAGCACATTTTCAACTGTTGTGGCTTCAGGGTGAGACTTCTTTTGCTTGAGAAAAGCAGAGGGAAAAGTAAAGGGCACTTTGACTTGCATCTTAGGTACCAGCCCAACCATACCAGGGTAGCGTACCAAGTAGGGACTTGGGTACCCTGATTCCAGGACTTGGTTTTGGACAGCATTTCTGGACCTGCCCTGGGCCAGAGGGAAGCCCATTGCCCTGAAGGCCTAGTCCCAGGCCAAGCAGCATTAATCACAAGCTGACTGAAGAGCCCTTGGGTCTCAAGGCAAAATAAATGGTAGTCTGGTAGTACTCCTTGTGGGCCTGTGGTAGTGGAGGCCATGGGGTGAGGCTCCTCTGCCTTTAGAAAGGAGAGGGAAGAGTGGGAAAGACTGTGTTTTGTGGATTGAGTGCCTGCTCAGCTACAGTACAATAGAGCACCAGGTAGACTTCTAAGATTTTTTAGCTAAGTCCCTGGCTCCCAGCACCTCTGGACCTGCCTGGGACCTGGGGGATATAGCCACCCGGGAGGGAAAGCATAGGCCTGGTTGGCTTAACCACCTGCTGATTGTAGAGCTCCAGGGCCTTGAGTAAACAGAGGAAGTAGCCAGGGAGTGGTTACAGCAGGCCTTGGGTGAGACCCAGTGTTGTGCTAGCTTCAAGACTGACCTAGTACAGTCACAGTGGTGGTAGCCACAGGGGTGCTGGTGTCACTCCACCCCCAGCTTCAGGTGGTCCAAAATGCATAGAGAGACTCTTTTTGTTTTGGAGAAAGTAAGGGAAGAGAACAAGAGTCTCTGGTAATACAGAGAATTCTCCCAGATCTTATCTAAGACCATCAAGGCAGTACCTCTATGAGTCTAAAAGAACCACGATGTAACTGGGCTTGGGGTGCCCCCTAAAGCAGATACAGCTTGGATAACAACACCCAAGTCCTTTCGAATATCTGGAAAGCCTTCCCAAGAAGAATTAGTACAAAAATGCCCAGACTGTGATGACAACAATAAATACCTAACTCTTCAATGTCCAAACACAGATGAACATCTACAAGTATCAAGACAATCCAGAAAAACATGACTTCACTGAATGAACTAAGTAAGCCACCAAGGCCCAATCCTGGAGAAAAAGAGGTATGTGAGCTTTCATAGAGAGAACTCAAAATAGCTATTTTTAGGAAACTCAAAGAAATTCAAGATAATGCAGAGAAGAAATTCAGAATTCTTCTAAATAAATTTAACAAAGACTTTGAAATAATTGAAAAGAATCAAGCAATAATTCTGGAGCTGAAAAAGAAACTGGCATACTGAAGAAAGTATCAAAGTCTTTTAATGGCAAAATTGATCAAGCCGAAGAAAGAATTACTGAGCTTGAAGACAGGTGGTTTGAAAATCCACAATGAGAAGAGACTAAAAAAGAATGAAGCATGCCTCCAGAATGTAGAAAATAGCCTCAAAAGGGCAAATCTAAAAGTTATCGGCTTTAAAGAGGAGGTAGAGAAAAAGACAGAGGTAGAAAGTTTATTCAAAGGGATAATAACAGAACTTTTCAAACCTAGAGAAAGATATAAATAATCAAGTACAAGAAGGTTATAGAACACATGGAGATTTAACCCAAAGACTACCTCAAGGCATTTAATAATCAAACTCCCAAAGATCAAGGATAAAGAAAGAATCCTGAGCACATCAAGAGAAAAGAAGCAAATAAGTTATAATGGAGCTCCAGTACATCTGGCAGCAGGTTTTTGAGTGGAAGCTTTCCAGGCCAGGAGAGAGTAGCATGACATATTTAAAGTTCTGAAGGGAGAAAATAAAACCGTTACCCTAGCATAGTATATTCAATGGACATATTCTTCAAACACGAAGTAGAAATAAAGATTTTCCCAGACAAATAAAAGTTGAGGAATTTTATCAACATCAGACATGTCCTGAAAGAAATGTCAAAGGGAGTACTTAAATCAGAAAGGATAGGATGTTAATGAGCAATAAGTAATCACTTGAAACTACAAAACTCACTGGTAATAGTAGGTACAAAGACAAACAGAATTATATAACATTGTAACAGTGATGTGTAGACTACTGTTATCCTAAGTGTAAAAATTAAACAATGAACCAAACAAAAATAGTAACTACAACAACTTTTCAAGAAATAGGCAGTACAATAAGATATAAATAAAAACAACAAAAAGTTAAAAAGTGGGGGAAAAGTTAAGGTGTAGAGTTTTTATTAGTTTTCCTTTTGCTTGTTTGTTTATACAAACAGCTTTAAGTTGTTTTCAGGTTAAAATAATAGGTTATAAGATAGCATTTGCAATACTCATGCTAACCTCAAACCAAAAAAATACAATTAATATAAAAAAATCAAGAAACTAAATCATATCATGTGAGAAAATCACATTGACTAAAAGGAAGGCAGAAAGAAAGAAAGAAGGAAGAGAAGACAACAAAACAACCAGAAAAGAGATAACAAAATGACAGGAGTAAGTCCTAACTTATCAATAATAACATTGAATGTCAACAGACTAAACTCTTTCAATCAAAATAAATAGAGTGGAATTGCAAATTGTGCTATAAACATGCATGTGCAAGTATGTTTTTTCATATAATGACTTCTTTTCCTCTGGGTGGGACTCAGTAGTGGGATTACTGGATCAAATGGTAGTTCTATCTTTACTTCTTTAAGGAATCTCCACACTATTTTCCATAGTAGTTGTATTATTTTACATTCCCACCAGCAGTATAGCAGTGTTCCCTTTTCAACATATCTATGCCAACATCTATTTTATTTTATTTTATTTTTTGATTAGGGCCATTCTTGCAGAAGTAAGGTGGTATCACATTGTGGTTTTAATTTGCATTTCCCTGACGATTAGTGATTTTATTTCTGTGATTAGTGAACAGAGTGTCCTTTCCCTACTTTATGTTTTTGTTTCTTCATCGAAAATCAGTTAGCTGTAGGCATTTGGATTTATTTCTGGATTCCGTTGGTCTGTGTGCCTATTTTTATACCAGGTCTATGCTGTTTTGGTGACTATGGCCTTATAGTATAGTTTGAAATCTGGTAATGTGATGCCCCCAGATTTGTTCTTTTTGCTTAGTCTTGCTTTGGCTGTTTGGGCTCTTTTTTGGTTCCATATGAATTTTAGAATTACTTTTAATAGTTCTGAGAAGAATGATGGTGATATTTTAATGGGAATTACATTGAATTTGTAGATAGCTTTTGGCAGTATGGTCATTTTCACAATATTGATTCTACCCATCCATGAACATGGGATGTGTTTCCATTTGTTTGCGTCATCTATGATTTCTTTCAGCAGTGTTTTGTAGTTTTCCTTGTAGAGGTCTTTCATCTCGTTGGTTAGGTTTATTCCTAAGTATTTTAATTTTGTTGCAGCTATTGAAAAATTGGTTGAGTTCTTGATTTGATTCTCAGCTTGGTCACTGCTGGTGTATAGCAGAGCTACTGATTTGTGTACATCAGTTTTGTTTCCTGAAACTTTGCTGAATTCTTTTATCAGTTCTAGGAGTTTTGGGGGGGAGTCTTTAGGGTTTTCTAGGTGTACAATCATATCATCAGCAAACAGCAAAAGTTTGACTTTTATTTACTGATTTGAATGCCCTTTATTTCTTTCTCTTGTCTGATTGCTCTGGTTAGGACTTCCAGTACTATGTTGAATAAAAGTGGTGAGAGTGGGCACCTTTGTCTTGTTTCAGTTCTCAGAGGGAATTATTTCAACTTTTCCCCATTCAGTATTATGCGTGGGTTTGTCATAGATGACACAGATGTCATAGACGGTTTTTATTACATTGAGGTATGTCCCTTGTATGCCAGTTTTGCTGAGGGTTTCAATAGTAAAGGGATGCTTAATATTGTCAAATGCTTTTCTGCAGATGCAGATTGTTTTTAATTCTGTTTATGTGGTGTACCACATTTATTGACTTGTGTATGTTAAGCCAGCCCAAATGCCCATCAATCAATGAATGGATAAAATAAAACTGTGGTATATATTAGGGAATACAACTTAGCCATTAAAAATAATGAATTAATGGCATTCACAGCAACCTTGTTGTAATTAGAGACTATTATTCTAAGTAAAGTAACTCAGGAATGGAAAACCAAACATTCAGTGTATACTGCATGATGGGTGCACCGAAGTCTCACAAATCACTAAAGAACTTATTCTTGTAACCAAATATGAGCTGCTCCCCAAAAACCTATGGAAATAAAAAGTTTTAAAAAATACAGGATTACTTATTTTTAAAAAAGACATAGAATTCTGAATTGATTTTAAAAAAAGAAACATTGATTTATTGCCTACAAGAAACACACCTCACCCATAAAGACACATATAGACTGAAAATAAACAGATGGAAAAGATATTTCATGCCAATTAAAATGAAAAAAGGGCAGCAGTAGCTATACTTCTATGAGATACAATAGATTTCAAGACAAAAACCATAAGAAGAGACAATAAAGGTCACTATATAGTGATAAAGAGGTCAAGTCAGCAAGAGGACATAACAATTTTAAATATATATGTACCCAACACTGGGGCACACAGATATATAAAGAAAATATTCTTAGAGCTAAAGAGAGAGATAGACTCCAATACAATAATAGCTGGAGACTTCAACACCCCACCGAGCAGATCTTCCAGGCATAAAATTAACAAAAATAATTGGACTTAATCTGCACTATAGACAAAATGGACAAAATAGATATTTACAAAACATTTCATCCAATGGTTGCAGAATACACATTATTCTCCTCAGCATGAGTCATTCTGAAGGATAGACCATATATTAGGTCAAAAAACAGGTCTTAAGACATTTAAAAAATTAAAATATTATCAAGCATTTTATCTGACCACAATGGACTAAAACTAGAAACCAGCAACAAAAGTGATTTTGGAAACTACAGAAACATATGAAGATTAAGCAATATGCTCCTGAATGACCAGTGGGTCAATGAATAAATTAAGAACATTGAAAAATTTCTTGAAACAAATGATAATGGAAACACACATACCAAAATATATGAGATACAGCAAAAGCAGTACAAAGAAGGAAGTTTACAGCTATAAGTGCCTACATCAAAAAAGAAGAACAACTTCAAATAAACAACCTAACAATGCATCTTAAAGAAAGAGAAGAGCAAGAGCAAACTAAATCCAAACTTAGTAGAAGAAAAGAAATAATAAAGATTGGAGAAGAAATAAATAAAATTGAAATGAAGAAAACAATCCAAAAGATCAATGAAACAAAAAGTTGGTTTTTCGAAAGTTAAACAAAATTGGAAAACCTTTAGCCAGACTGACTAAGAAAAAAAGAGAGAAGATCCAAATAAATAAAATCAGAGATGAAAAAGTAGACACTACAACTGATACTGCAGAAATTCAAAGGATTGTTAGTGGCTGCTATGAGCAACCATATGCCAATAAATTGGAAAATCTAGAAGAAATGGAAAACTTCTTGGAAACATACAACCTACCAAGATTGAACTAGGAAGAAATCCAAAACCTGAACAGACTAATAATAAATAATGAGATTTAAGCCAATAATAAAAATTCTCCCAGTAAAGAAAAGCCTGGGACCTGATGGCTTCACTGCTGAATTCTACCAAACATTTAAAGAAAAACTAATACCAATCATACTCAAACTGTTCTGAAAAAACAGAAGCAGAGGGATTATTTCCAAACTCATTCTACAAGGCCAGCATTACCCTGATACCAAAACCAAAAACGTATCAAAAATAAAGACAACTACAGGCCAGTATCTCTGATAAATACTGATGCAAAAATTCTTAACAAAATACTTGCAAAATGAATTCAGTGATACACTAAAAAAATCATGCATCATGACCAAATGGAATGTATATCCAGGATACAAGAATGATTCAACAAGTGCAAATCATTCACTGTGATACCTCACATCAACAGAATGAAAGATACAAACTATATGATCATTTCAATTGATGTTGAAAAAGTATGTGATAAAATTCAACATCCCTTCATAATAATAATTCTCAAAAAACTGTGAATAGATGGAATGTACCTTAACATAATAAAAGCTGTATAAGATATATCCAAAGCTAGTATCATACTGAATAGGGAAGAACTGAAAGTCTTTTCTCAAAGATCTGGAACATGACAAGGATCCCCACTTTCACCACTGTTATTCAACACAATACTCAAAGCCCTAACTAGAGCAATCAGAAAAGAGAAAGAAATAAAGTACATCCAAATTGGAAAGAAAGAAGTCAAATTATCCTTGTCTGCAGGTTATATAATTTTATACTAGGAAAAACCTAAAGATTTCACAAATAAACTATTATAACTGATAAACAAATTCAGTGAAGTTGTAGCATACAAAATCAACATACAAAAAAATTAGTGGCATTTCTATTTGCCAAAAGTGAACACTTTTTAACAAAATTTTTAAAAAGTAGTATCATTTACAATAACCACCAACAAAATTAAATACCTAACAACTAACTTAACTGAAGAAGATAAAGATCTCTATAATGAAAACTATAAAACACTAATGAGAGATTGAAGGGGACACAAAAAAATGGAAAGATTGTCCATGTTCATGAATTGGAAGAATCAATATTGTTAAGATGTTTTACTACCCAAAGCAATCTTCAGATTCAATTCAATCCCTATCAAAATACCAATTACCTTCTACACATAAATAGAAAAAAAACCCTAAAATTTATATAGAACCACAAAAGACCCAGAGTAACTACAGCTATCCTAAGGAAAACTAAGCTGAAGGAGTCACATTACCTGTCTTCAAATTATACTACAGAGCTATAGTAGCCAAAACAACATGACACTGGTTTTAAAAGAGACATAGACTAATGCAACAGATTAGGGAACCTCAAAACAAATTCACACACCTACAATGAACTCATGTTTCAACAAACGTGCCAAGAATATACCCTGGAGAAAAGATAGTCTCTTCAATAAATGGTGCTGGGAAAATTGGGTATCCATATGCAGAAGAATGAAACTAGACCCCTATCTCTTGCCATATTAAAAAATCAAATCAAAATGGATTAAAGACTTTAAGTTCTTCAGCTATGAAACTACTATAGAAAAACATTGGAGAAAATCTCTAGGGCTTTGATTTGGGCAAAAATTTCTTGAGCAATACCCCACAAGCAGCCAAAGTAAAAATGGACAGATGGGATTACATCAGGTTACAAAGCTTCTACACAGCAAAAGAAACAATTAACAAAATGAAGAAACAATACACAGAATGGGAGAAAATATTTGCATACTAACCATCTGACAAAAGATTAATAACCAGAATATATAAGGAGCTCAAACAACTCTATAGGACAAAAAATCTAATAATCTGATTTTTAAAAATGGGTAAAGATTTGAAAAGACATTTCTCAAAAGAGGATATACAAATGGAAAACAGGCACTTGAAAAGGTGCTCAACATCATTGATCATGAAAGACATGCAAATGAAAATTACAATGGGATATCATCTCAAACCAGTTAAAACAGTTTATATCCAAAAGACAGCTGGTATGGTTTGGCTGTGTCCCCACCCAAATCTTATCTGTTGGAAGGTAATTGAATCATGGGGGCAGGTCTTTCCCATGCTGTTCTTGTGATAGTAAATAAGTCTCACGAGATCTAATGGTTTTAAAAATGGGAGTTTCCCTGCACAAGCTCTCTTCTCTTTGCTGCCATGTGAGACATCCGTTTCACCTTCCACCATGATTGTGAGGCCTCCCCAGCCACGGGTAAGTTTAATTAACCATTAAACCTCTTTATTTTGTACACTGCCTATGTAAATTGAATATGTCTTTATCAGCAGTGTGAAAACAGACTAATACAACAGGCCATAGTGAATGCTGATGAAAATGCAGAGAAAAGGGAACTCTGCTACACAGTTGGTGTGAATGTAAATTAGTACAACCACTATGGAGAACAGTTTGGAGGTTCCCAAAAAAACTAAAAATTAAGCTACCATATGTTCTAGCAATCCCCCTGCTGGGTGTATACCCAAAAGAGTGAAGTCAGTGTATCAAAGAGATATCTGCACTCCTATGGTTGTTGCAGCACTGTTGGCAATAGCCAGGATTTGGAAGCAAACTAAGCATCCATCAACAGATGAATGGATGAAGAAAATGTGGTACTTATACACATGGTGTACTCTTCAGCCATAAAAAATAATGAGATCGTGTCATTTGCAATAATATGGATGGAACTAAAGATCATTATGTTAAGTGAAATAAGCCAGGCATAAAAAGGCAAACATTGTATGTTCTTACTTATTTGTGGGATCTAAAAATCAAAACAATTGAACTCATGGACACAGAGAGTAGAAAAATGGTTATCAGAGGCTGGTAAGGATAGTGAAGGGGAAGTTTGGGGGGCGTGGAAGGGGAGAAGAAGATGGTTGATAAGCATTAAAAAAAAAGAATAAGACCTACCATTTGGTAACACAACAGGGTGACTATCGTCAATAATTTAACTATACATTTAAAATTAACTAAAAGGGGGAGGGACCAAGACGGCCAAACAGAAAGAGTTCTGGTCTGCAGCTCCCAGTGAGACCAATGCAGAAGGTGGGTGATTTCCAACTGAGGCACCCAGCTCATCTCACTGAGACTGGTTAGGCAGTGGGTGCAACCCATGAAGAGCAAGCAGAAACAGGGTGGGGCATTGCTTCACTGGGAAGTGCACGGAGCTGGGGGACCTCCCTCTCCCACCCAAGGGAAGCAGTGAGGGACTATGCTACCCACCCGGGTACTACCCTTTTCCCACGGATTTTTGCAATCCAGGGATCAAGAGATTCCCTCATGAGCCAACACCACCAGGGCCCTGGGTTTCAAGCAAAAGACTGGGCGGTTGTTGGGGCAGGCACCGAGCTGCAGGAGTTTTTTCACACTCCAGTGGCGCCTGGAACTCCAGTGAGACAGGACAACCATCCACTCCCCTGAAAAGGGGGCTAAAGTCAGAGAGCAAAGCGGTCTCGCTCAGTAGGTCCCACTCCCATGGAGCCCAGCAAGCTAAGAACTACTGACTTGAAATTCTTACTGCCAGCACAGCAGTCTGGGGTTGACCTAAGAGTATCAAGCTTGATTGGGGGAGGGGTGACCACCATTACTGTGGCTTTAGTGGGCGATTTCCCCAAGACATTGCTAAGGAAACTGGGAGGTTTGGACTGGGCAAAATTCACCACAACATGGCAAAGCATCTGTGGACAGACTGCTTCTTTAGATTTCTCCTCACTGGCCAGGGAATCTCTGCAGAAAAGGCAGCTGCTCTAGTCAGGGGCTTACAGATAAAACTCTCATCTCCCTAGGACAGAGGGCCTGTGGGGAGGGGCAGCTGTGGGCGCAGCTTCAGCAGACTTAATTTTTCCTGCCTGCTGGCTCTGAAGACAGGGGCTGATCCTGACAGGGGATTCTCCCAGCACAGTGCACCAGCTCTAATAAGGGACAGACTCCCTCCTCAAGTGGGTCCCTGACCCCCATGCCTCTTGACTGATAGAGACCTCCCAACAGGGTTCGACAGACATCTCATACAGGAGAGCTCCAGCTGGCATCAGGCTGGTGCCCCTCTGGAATGAAGCTTTCAGAGGAAGAAGCAGGCAGCAATCTCTGCTGTACTGTAGCCTCCACTGTTGATACCCAGGCAAAGAGGGTCTGGAGTGGACCTCCAGCAAACTGCAGCAGACCTGCAGAAAAGGGGGCTTGACTGTTAGAAGACAAACTAACAAACAGAAAGCAACAACAACAAAACATCAACAACCCCCACACCCCCACCACAAATCCCCATCCAAAGGTCACCACCCTCAAAGGTCAAAGGTAGAGAAATCCATGAAGATGAGGAAAAACCAGTGCAAAAACAATGAAAATTCCAAAAGCCAGAATGCCTCTCCTCTTTCAAATGATTGCAACACCTCTCCAGCAAGGGTGCAAAATTGGACAGAGAATGAGATTGAAGAATTGACAGAAGTAGGATTCAGAAGATAGGTAATAAAAAACTCCTCTGAGCTAAAGGATCATGTTCTAACCCAAAGCAAGGAAGCTAAGAACCTTGATAAAAGGTTACAGGAACTGATAACTAGAAAAATTAGTTTAGAGAGGAACATAAATGACCTGATGGAACTGAAAAACAGAGCACAAGAACACCGTGAATAGCCGAATCAATCAAATGGAAGAAAAGATATCAGAGATTGAAGACCACCTTGCTGAAATAAGGCATACAGACAAGATTAGAGAAAAATTAGAATGATAAGGAATGAACAAAGCCTCCAAGAAATATGGGACTATGTGAAAAGACCAAATCCACGATTGGTTAAGTGATGGGAAGAATGGAACCAAGTTGGAAAACACACTTCAGGATATTATCCAGGAGAAATTCCCCAACCTAGCAAGATAGACCAGCATTGAAATTCAGGAAATACAGAGAACACCAGTAAGATACTCCATGAGAAGATCAACCCAAAGACACATAATCATCAGATTCTCCAAGGTCAAAATGAAGGAAAAAGTGTTAAGAGCAGCCAGAGAGAAAGGTCAGGCCACCTACAAAGGGAAGCCCATCAGACCAACTTCTGATCCCTCAGCAGAAACCCTATGAGCCAGAAGAGAGTGGGGGCCAATATTCACATTCTTAAAGAAAAGAATTTTCTACCAAGAATTTCAATCCAGTCAAACTAAGCTTCATAAGTGAAGGATAAATAAAATCCTTTCCAGACAAGCAAATGCTAAGGGTTTTCATCACCACCAGGGCTGACTTGCAAGAGTTCCTGAAGAAAGCACTAAATATGGAAAGGAAAAACTGGTACCAGCCACTGCAAAAATACAGCAAAATACAAAGACCGATGACACTATGAAGAAACTGCATCAACTAGTGTGCAAAATAACCATCTAGCGACATGATGACAGCATCAAATTCACACGTAACAATACTAACCCTAAATGTAAATGGGCTAAATGCCCTCAAAAGACACAGACTGGCAAATTGGTTAAAGAGTCAAGACCCATCAGTGTGCTCGATTTAGGAGACCCATCTCATGTGCAAAGACACACATAGGCTCAAAATAAAGGGATGGAGCCCAGTAAAAGCTGCAGGCTCTTCCAGCTTAATTCTCCTGTTCATAACGTAGAAGGAATCAGCATAGGACCTATGCATAGATACTGGGGAAAAAATTCAAAGAAAAGAAACATAAGCAAAAGTCAGATGAAAAATGGTATTTAATAGTTCCAAAGTAACTACAGGTGATATGATTTATTGTTGTTGTTCTTTTTTCTTTCTTTTTAAGGAAAGCTCAAAGAAGAGCCTCAAGGATTCAAAAAAGAGATTATATCACAACACCGGAAAACAAAAAGCAAGCTAGTGGTGCACAGAAAAGCCAAGGAAGAATAAAGCAAAAAATATTACAGAGATGAAAAAAGCACACTGCACACTAGAAGCAACAAAAAATAGAATAAGTGTAACTAAAATGTTTCCTCTCGGCCTCTCAATGCAAACACAAAATGAATAAAGAACAAAGACATTGAAATTATTTTGGAGAATATATGAATATATGACACAGTGATCCAACATACAGACAGAACAATAGAACTGAAAAAATAAGATAAAAGATATAATGGGAGAAAACTTTCCTAAAATAAATTTGTTAAAATACAAATTGAAAATGCACAATGTCTGGGAGAAACAGTGTTGAAACAGAATGGTCAACAATGAAACATATTCTGAAATTCAAGAATGAAGAAAAAAATTGTCTAAGCATGTGGCCTGAAAAGTAAATCACCTATTAAAAAAAAAAAAAAAAAGGAAACATTGATTTCAGCGCTCTCCACATTCAGTGCTGGAAGAACATGAGTTAATGTTTAAAAAACAAAATTTGACAGTTTTGTGGGCAGAAGGCTAAGAGGAAAGAATAGTCATTCCTTGGTTTCCACAGGGGATTGATTCCAGGACCTCCGTGGACACCAAAATATGAGGATACTCAAGTCCCATATAAAATGGCATTGTATTTGCATAAAGCGTATGCACATCCTCCCATATATTTTAAGTCATCTAGATTACTTATAATACCTAGTACAATGTAAATGCTATGCAAATAGTTGTTATATTGTATTTTTGTGTTTTATTGTTGTATTGTTGTTATTTTGAATATTTGTGATCCACGGGTAAGTCTGCATATGTGGAAGCTGCAGATATGGGGGGTTGATTTTACAGCTAAGAACTTTATACCTAGCCAAGGTTTTATTCAAGTATAAACACAAAGAACAGATTCACAAGCATGCATGAATTCAAGAAATAAACATGAGAGCCCTTGAGAAACGATCATCCCCCTCACAAAAAAAAACAAAAAAATCACTGCTGTTTGTCAAATTCCAGTTGAAAGACTTGCATCAAAGTAAGCAATTAAGAACAGAAAAGATGAAGTAAACAAAGTGGGAATGAGCATTCATCACTTTAAAATATAACATTATGATTAAATCACTTGGGATATTATGATTACAGAACAGAATTTACATGTTATAAAGCCCAAAAATAATAACAATAATCAAGATAAAGAGCAGAAGTAGTAAAGCTTTTTGTTTCCTCTGCCTTCAAAACAAGAAGCCAATTGATGTATACTAAAATAATAAACACATGTCCAGCTTCTTAATGCTGTTATGAACTCCCACTACTTTAATTTTGGGGACAATTTCAGGAACAATTACTATCCCTTTGTTGAAGAAAGAGATATCTTAATTTTAATAATTCCTTCACTTTTTCTGCAATTCATTATTCTTCTGTTAAATACAATTAAATGTATGCTCTGTAAAGTAAAAATAACAAGGATAGCTTGATTTAAATTTCTGACTACTCTTTCTTCCTTTACACAAGAGGTTGTGGAATTTTGTGGTTTATGGTGTAGACCCTGGAGATGAGTTTAAAATAATGAACACACTACCTACCATTTATAGCTTCTTACGCAAGTTGCTACACATGCTGTTTCAGTTTCCTCATTAGAAAGTGAGAATAAAGATAATATACATCTCATAGAATTATTCAAAAACCGAACATGTCCATTAATATAAAGTGCTATCATTGTCCCTAGCTTATTGTAAGTGCTAAATATGTCACTTTTCTGTGTTGTTTTATTTTTTGGCTTAGCTAATATGTATTTGGAAAATAATATCATTATTCATTAAAAATAAATATTTTATATCCAGCGAGAGGACAAACTAGGACACAACGAAATTTCCTTCCCGTATATTCAGTCTTCTGCTCTATTTATGGAATTGTGCCATTATGACCCTTCAAGAAAATCTTCTCCAAATTTTTATTAGTACATAGCATTTCAGAATTTAATCTCTCTCTCTCTCTCTCCGTGTATATATATATACACATACACGCATATACACTCTCTCTCTCTCTCTCTCTCTCTATATATATATATATATGTAGACTAACACTACACATACACACACACACTTTTTTTTCTTTCACCTGCGTGGTAGGTGTTTGAAAGGAAAACAATTCAAAGATAATAACTTTAAAGCCATTTATAATTCAGGTATTGCTTTATATTAAATGTCACTTGGAGACGAATTCTATTGTTCAGAAAGTTCCATCTGTTTCTCTAACTTGCACAGTATCAAATTCTTAAAACCTTATGTATATTGGCATTTCAAGAGCAGTTCCTGAAATTAATTTGGTGTCATAATTCTGTTGCTAATTAGATGTAAAACAACCCAAAAGTGTCTAGCATCTGTAGGTACCTGCCCATCTCATGGAAAATTCTAGAACTAACAATGTGTTCTGCTTGGAACAGCAGATTTATATGGGCTAATGATATAAATAAATGATGTTATGGGGATGTAGGCTTGATAGCCCAACGATGAGACTATGAAATTCTGAAATACGTTGAAATTTAAATGAACATGCCAAATGACAGGACTTAATGTTTCATTCCCTTCAACTCTGAATGTTGTGAAGGAAAAAGATCTTGGCTGCCTTGACATAGACTAGTGGAACCTAATAGCCCAGAACAAACCCGTTCATATATGCTCAACTAATTTTTGACAAAGGTTCCAATAATATACAATGGAGGAAAGTATAGACTCTTTAATAAATGGTGTTGGAAAAACTTGATATTGACAAGCAAACCTTAAAATCAGATCTTTCTCTTATATCATACACAGAAATGAATTCAAAATGGTTTAAAGACTTACATGTAAGACCTGAAACCATGACACTCCCAGAAGAAAACATGAAGGAAAAGCTCTTTGACATTGGTCTTGGCAATGATTTTTTAGATTTGATCTCAAAAGTACAGAAAATAAAAGCAAAAATAAACAGGACTACATCAAACTAAAAACTTCTGTACAGCAAATGAAACAATGAAGAAACAAAAAGGCAACCTACAGAAAAAAGAAAATATTTGTAAACCATATATCCAGTAAGGTGTTAATATCCCAAATATATAAGCAACTCATAAAACTTAATTGCAAAAACAAGTAACAAAAATAAACAAAAAACACCCCAAATAACTCAAGTTAAAAATGGGCAAAGGACATGAATAGACATTTTCACAAAGAAGACCAAAAATAGCCAACAGATACATGAAAAGATGATGAATATCATCAATCATTAGGGAAATGTAAATCAAAATCACAATGACATATCACCTCATGCCTGTTAGAATGGCTACTATCAAAAAGCCAAAAGGTAAGTGTTGGCAATGGTGTGGAGAAAAGGGAACCCTTGTACTCTGTTGGTGGAAATGTAAATTGGTACAGAACTTTCAGAAAACAGTATGGATGATTTTTGGAAAATTAAAAATAGAACTACCAAATGGACAAAGCTTAACGAGGTAGAGTTAGTGAAAAGAGAGATTGCAACAGGAAGAAAGAAGATGAAACAAAAGCAAATTAGAAGCAGTTAGAGTTCTTTATTTCTCTTTTCCACCCTAAAATAAATTTAGGAAAAAAATATTAACCCATGGTACATAAGGACCTCTCTGCTGTAGGGGAAAATATGAGAACAATAACAGAGAACATGGCCTTGAGAGAAACAGTAGAAATCCTATACAAGAAAACCAACCCTTGGACACTTGAGCCTTTCAAAGAAGGTGTTTAGAGTCAGAGCTGGCCCCTTTAGGAAAATCATTATTATTTTTTAAAATTTAGAAATGGGTGAATTTATTTTTATTTTTTGGAACTCTTCAGACCTGAGCATGCCGTCCAGTGGACCTCAAAACTAATATTCTTTGGTGTCATGTCTAAGAAGGCTGTCAGTGTTCTAAAAATAGCTGATGTTCATTTAACTTGGCATAGTTCATCAAGGAATTGAACTATCCTCTGCCTGGCCCAGGAGGTTGTAACTTCTCTCAGACTGTCTGGAAATGTCTAAATTTAGTTTTCCATCAGGTAGCTTCCTCTAATTTCCTTCATGCTCATATGGTATATTAACAACAAAATAAACCAACCACATCTCCGTGGAAACAAGCACAGATGTTTCAGAATATGCCTGCAAAAAGAACCCGTCAATGAACAACCTGTAGTTCTCTAATTAATTCAAATATTTTGCTGTCAGCTCTCTCTCTTTGAAGCCGCAGATTGTTTTTCATTTTGAGATTCACTTTTTTCCCAGTAATAGAAACAGATAGGTTTCTTTGGTCCCACTGTGTCAAGATTTAGAAACAAGATTCCTCTTGAAAATCGCAAGCCGTGGAGTAATTCATCTGTAATTACAATTTGGAGACTTTTATCCTCTTGATTAAGTTCACATCATAGTCATATGGATAGCATTGCTCTTCTTTTATTATATCAAGCATTTCATTTTGGAAGCATTTCTCCTAGATGGGCCAAAATACATATTTCTATTTAATAAGTCAGAATCTTATACAGCTCTGTTTTAACAATTATGCAAACTCCACCTAAAATTTTTCTTACATTCATCCAACATCCATGCTTTTCCCCCAAATATTCCTGTGAGCCAGAAGACCACAGCTTTTTATTTTTCTTTTTTAATGTTATTGTTCATGTGGAAATGATGTCTGAAATCTGACCTGAGAAATAGATTTTACCTGTCTGAATTCCTAGGTTGGGGATGGATTACATTTTTTTTCCTCTACTCTTGGCCTGTGCTGAAGGAACATCAATTGGATGAGAAGACAAGTGGACTGAAGTTTAACACTGAAACAAATTACCATATGGATTTATTTGATGGCATAAGGAAACTATTTTGGTTGGGATATAGTTGTATTAGTAGCTTATTATAAATAATAATACATATTATTAATTTTTTAATGTTTACTGATAACATTGACATGAACTTGAATGAACTTGTCCCCTGGAATTCACATAGATGGGGAAAAAAGAGGCTCAAAGGAAATGCAGATTAATGTAAAAGGTAAGGGTGAAGCTTGAATCATGCTTTTTGGTTTGCCAAATGGCAGTGGTCTGGAGAGCACAGCTTTGGGAAGGAAAACTGTTCACACACAGAAGCTAAGAACGCCCATTGCTTCTCTCTCAGCCCCACCATGAGTTGAGAAGGAAAATAAGAGAGGATGAAGTCCTCACCATATCTCTCCCTTGTAACTGATTTCTGCTATGGAAAGCAAATCCAAACAAAACAAAACAATTAAAGGCATGATTTCAGTTTTCATGGATTTTATCATCTGATAGGAACGTTGACATCTAATCACATGAATCAGATACATACAACTTTTAAAGCTCTGTATCAACAAACACTGGTTTTGACCACTAGTGATGCTAATTTGAGATTAGAGAAGCTTGTTTTAAATTACAGCCCATTAATGATAAAACAATTCTTAAAATTGTTGTAACTTGTGTCATAATTACTGAATTCTTATTATTGGATGTATGTTCATAATTCTTAAGGCAACTCATAGCCCATACTGTTTCACTAGAAGAAATCTAATCTTCAAAGAATATAAACAACAGTTGAAGTCTGGGTGGGACAAAATGCTGATGTATATTTATGAAATTTTACTCATGTATGTTGTATATAACTCAGAAACCAGAGTCAGTGTTACTCAGGAAAGATATGATGAAGCACATTCTTTACAAAAATTTTACCCCAGAATTTTTATGCTGTTATTATTAAGGGATCCATGAGTTTCTGTCTTCTGGGATATCTTCTGGAGCTATAAATCGTACCTCTGAATTTGGTTTCTTAAGAGTTACCTAAAAGTTGTAAAGGTCGTTGTATGACAACCTCCCATAATTCCTAAATAATATCTTAGTTTCTAAATTTCTAGATATAACACTTCACTGAATCAATGCTAAACAAAGCAAACCTTGGGAATTGTGTGAGATCAAACAAAGATGAATAAGTTTTCCATTATAATCATGATCATTTGGACTATTTTACCCCATTTATAGAGAAAAGCATATATATCATGTTTAGTGTTTGAAGGGCCATTTCATAATACAAATACAATTCATAATTAATAGTGAACACTATGGTTTTATTCTACATAGTCACACAGTCTAGCAAGCTCTCAAAGTAACATTTGCCCACTCTGGGATTAAGGACTGAATTGAGAAAAGAAAAACGTATCATTACTAGCTAATAACATATAAATAGATGGGAGAGATTGCAATCATGAACATAATAAAGGACACTGAATGAGGTTACTTGGATGAAGGAATCACAAAACTAGGTTGCTTGGGAGAGAAAAACCTCATCTTGTCTTGCCAGTGTGGTCTGATATGGTGGTGGGATGGTGGGAGACTAAAAGGGGCAAAGCTCATCTATAACCTTGAGTATCAGTTGAAAAGCTGGATCTAGAGTGTTATGGGACACCACAAAGAATCTCAGAGTATGAAAGTTGTGGCATGCAGGTGTAGGTAGGTGTTGTCAACCAGACCAAACAGATTTGGGGGCATTCAGGAAAAGAGAGCCTGAGGACAACATTAACTCATAATGCTGCCCCAAAAACGTGATAATTGCAACGAATGTTGATAGATGCCAAAGGATCACCACATTAGCGGAGAAATGGAAAGGTACTCAATAACAACCTACTACGTACTGGCTAAATAAGAAACCTGAGTCTTGAAGTCTTCAAATACCCAGTTGGCTTCCATTCTTGGCCACACCTCCTCTGGTCTATTCAAGACAACCAGAGAGAGTCTTTCAAAACCTAAGTCACTCCTCTGCTCAAAACCTGCACCAAATCTCCTTTCATGCAAAGTAAACATCAGTGTCCTCACAGTGACTCTCAGGCCTCACATGATCTAGTTTTTGTCCCTTCTCAGGCTTTATGTCCTCTTGCCTAGCTCCCACCATATGCCCACTCTTCTGTTTCTTAGGTTGTGGCTTAGGTACCTTTGCAAGATCTTTTCCCTTTGCCTAGATTGCTTCTCCCCCAGATGTTTGCTAGTTAATATGCCTTCTCCTGTGTCTCTGCTCAAAGGGCACCTCTTAAATAATATTGAACCTACCCTCATGTTTTGAAATTGCAACCTACATACTCTTTCCTCTGCTGCCATTCCCAATCCTCTCACCTACTTTGGTTTTTCTTTTATTTCCAGCTTCTACCATCTTCTTACAAAGTATGTAATTTACATATTATGTTTCTTATTATTCTCCCCTTGCCTAGAATGTAAGCTCCATGAAGATAGAAATCCATGACTGTTTTCTCTAATGCATCCCAAGTGCCTATGCTTAATAATGAAAAGAACATAAGCAAAAGTTGTAAGAATGAATGAAATAAATAAATGCAGGAACTGACTGATGATTACACTGCAGGTGAGCTAGGATTTGCATTGATGTTTCTTTCTACTATTCTCTCAGTAAATGTGTACTAAGTATGCTACTGGGCATTCAGTAGAAAAAAGAGCCAACGTCCAAGCCACTTTTACTGTCCATGAATACAGGATTGGCTACAAAATGACCTTGAAACCTCTGTGGTTAGATTAAAAGTGCGGTAATGCACAGACTGAGACCTTTGTTCCCGTCAAAAAGGAGAGTTTTGATTTCCTTGTGGTCCACTTGTAGTCCTGTTCTTTATTAGCATAGGTGTCCTTGAGTCTGATCAATCAGAACTTTTCCCCTGCGACTTACTGAGCCAATGGCATTAATTCAAAATGTAATAATAAAGCTGTCATCAGCAGATGAATGCAAGCTGCTGTTCTGTGTCTGCCTTCCTTCCGGTGTCTGCTGCTAGCCGCCTTCATGTTCTCCGTGGTGAGAGTGGGGCTGCTGTGGGGGTGGGCAGTGGACTTAATTAAATCATTAACCTTCATCACCAGTTCTTTTTAAACTCAGAAAAACACATCCCAGATGTAATTGGGTATTAATATGAAATATGGGTCTTTAAGACTCCCTCCTATTCCATTTTTAGAACACAGATGTAATTATCATGCCTAGCCGAGCGTGCTCTAGAAGGTGAACTAAATGATGGCCCTAGAAGGCATGCATAATTGGGATGAGGACCTCTGAGGAACGCGATGATGATTTTTATAATTCTGCCAAAATGTGAGTCTCTCTTCATGGAGCCCATGAGCTTAGCATTGCATGACATAAATGGGATTACAGGGTCACGACAGCCCAGGTTCTCTTGCCAATAGCACTTTCATTGGGAGACAATACAGTCAAGGTCGTCAATGCAGATGGACTTTCACCTGACAGGGGAGGTCTGGAGCTTGAGTGAGGGAGTGGAAAAGAAAATGAGGGGTCATCAATCAAAGCAGACTGCTGAGTTCAGGCTGTGTAATAGGCAAGGGCTCCCAGCCGAGGCCCTGAAGTCAAATAACAAAGAGGGTGCTTCAGCCCACTTTTCCACTCAGCTCCAGCTCTTCCGATCCTTTCCAAGTAACTATTTCAGGATTCTATGTTGAAGGCTATTAATTTTTCAGTAGTATCCTTTATACCTTCCTGCTCCAAATAAGCCAGAAAAATGTGCTAAGCAAAGCAGAAGAGGCATATTCCTGCCTCAAGCCCCATTTATAGCAACAGTAGTTATGCTACCTTACAGTTCCATTTTGATGAGGGTTTTGAATGAGGATGTCTGCTTCTTTCCCACGCATACTCCTTATCCTTAGGTCTGGAGTTGGAAGGAAGGGAACCAACTTCTGTAGAACTTTCTACAGAAAGTTTTGTATGTCGTGTTTTTTAGTCTTAACAAGAAGCTGGCAGGAAATATACCGGTATTTCTAAATGTGTCAAAGAGCAAATGGTTGAAAGAAGAGTTAGGGAAACTTGCCTTGAGTCACACAGATAGAAAGGACAGAGCAGGAAGCTGGCTTTGCCCCTACATATAAGGCCCACTACTCTATCTTACTAGGGAAAACCCAAGGAACCTTCTAATCATGTTGATTGCCTTTTAATTGCTTAGATTGTCACATTCACACTTGGCTTAGTTTTAATATATACTGAGGTAAAGCAGAAGTCAGAGATGTGTTGCAGAGTCTAGTGTAGAGAGCCAGTCTTTAATTTACAATGAGCTAATTACAAAAAATCTAAATAACCAGATTCTTCTGCCATAGATAAAATTTTAGAGGTTTTTTTTTTTTAATTGGTGAAACTAGAATAAAGGAAACTGTGAGAGGTAAGAGTAGATGGCAATAAAACTAGAAGAAAAGGCTGGTCCACCCACCCGGCTGGGCTGAATACTTTTAGTTTTACTAAAAGCTCTGCCCAAATGGACGGATTTCTCAATTCAACTCTTCTAGCCCCTGAAATGTCATGAAACACCAGTTCATTTAGGTTGATAGGCATTCAACACTGGAGAATGCAGCTACCCTCACACGCTTTAACGGGCTATCAGTCACTGACCCATTGGGAATTAATTTTAGGAGATTGCTTCTAATGCTCAGTGTAAGTTCATCTGCGCTGGGGGATTTGGAGTCAGGTTTGTATCAGGAGGAACTTGAAACATGAAAAAGATTGAGTTTAAACAGAACTGAGTGGAATAGGTGTTTCCTACTGCAGGAGGGCTCTCGTTGCCTAAGAATAGCAGAGGTGCACAAGGCCTGTGGGAGTTCTGAGGTCAGAAAAAAGGGAGTCGATGCGTATATGGCTTAGCAATGGTTGATGATCTGGGATGAAGAAAGGTGAACAGTCTTTTTCAAATGAGACAGTAAAGATGTGTGTCGTTGGACCTCTGGCGGAGCAAGGATGGATATGATTCTGCATTTCTGCAGAAACACAGATTGTGTACGTACCAAAAATAAAATCCACAAATTTGGACCAAAATAATATGATAGCTTCTTTATCTTATTTTGAGATTTTCTTATTTGGTGATTCTTTTAGAATGTTTTCAGAAATCTCAAAGAGAACAGAAAAGTTTCTTTTCGCTTAGTATCTCTCAAGCTGGCTGCACATTTGAATCACCAAGGGGCAGTGTAATATAACACAGATGCCCAAAAGTTCTGATGTAATTTGTCCATGGTGCAGTCTAGGCTTCAATATTTTTAAAAGCTCCTCGGATGTTTTATTGTGCAGCCAGCATTGAGAACCACCGCATTAACTTAAAACCATGTAATCCTGAGCCTCAGACATTGAGCAGAGGATCAAATAATATTGTTTTTAATCCACTCCAACATGTGGGTATAAAAAAGTGAAACACATTTCCTCTTTCGAGGGAAAAAACATCAGTGTCTCTGCAGCTTGGGGAGCAGGAAAGGGTCGGTGCTTTCAGAATGCAAGAGGTGGCACCCAGTGCTAGCAAATTATAACAGAGGATGTTGGGGCAGATGTGCTTTTGATGGGACTGCATTTTCTAATCATTGGGTGGAAATTGTGTTCAGCAGACTGTGTCTGACTGCATCAGAGGATGGAGTAGTGTGTGAAATGAATATATGAGAAGCCTCCCCCTAGGAAAGACAGAAAAACAGGGCAGTTAAATTCAACACCTGAATTAAACATAAACAGTAGTAAGACTATAATATTAAGTATAAATAAATATAATATTAAATATAAATCAATCAATAAATAAATAAACTAAGGGTCTTATGTGGAGTAAACAATGCTCTCGACCCTGGGGAAACAGAAATGATTGAGGCACAGACCATCTTGTTGGAGAGCCCACTTATTACTGATGGCTAGACAGCTATACAACTGGGACATAAGGTAGGAGATAAGGCAGCATCTGGAGACATCCCAGAGAGTGGTGCTGAAATGATTACAATGCAAAGGAAGAAAAGACCCAGAGTAGGGATTTCAGAGCCAGAGGCATCTATGTTTTTATCCTGCCAGTTTCAACCACTTGGTATATGTGTGGCCTTAATTAAGGCAATTAACCTCAACCTGAGCCTCACCATTTCCCCTTTGAAATAAGGAAACCAAGTTCAACGTGTTGTTATAACAATTAGTAATTATGGATGTTATATGCCTCACACAGTTACTAGGAAATGGTAGCTTTTGGGTGAACACAGGAAAAGGGGACTATAAAGTTAACATGACCATGTAGTTCACTACCGTTATTGGGACTTTCAGTATAAAGGGGTATGTTTTAATAATTATGCTGCAATAACACTGTAAACTTGGAAAGTCCTAGGCAACCATTATATATGGTCATCTTATAAATGATACTGATAAGGTGTCACTGATCAGGCATTAAGGGCATAAGATTTGAATTACACTGTTGGGTTAAAATTTTGTGTACATTGTTCTGGCACAGTGGCTCATGCCTGTAATCCCATCACTTTGGGAGGCTGAGCCGGGCAGATCACAAGGTCAGGAGTTCGAGACCAGCCTGGCCAACATGGTGAAACCCTGTCTCTACTAAAAATATAAAAATCAGCCGGGAATGGTGGAGTATGCCTGTAGTCCCAGCTACTCGGGAGGCTGAGGCAGGAGAATTGCTTGAACCCGGGAGGTGGAGGTTTCAGTGGGCCAAGATCATGCCACTACACTCCATTCTGGGCAACAGAGTAAGATTCTGTCCCTGACCCCAGAAAAAAATTGTGTACATCACTCACTAGTTATGTAACCTTGAGTCAGTTAGTTAACCAATCAGAATCTCAGTTTCCTCAATTACAAAATGGGACTGATAATAGTACCTTTCATATATAAGTGAACAAATTAAATGTTTAATATTTGTAATGTCTTTAAATGAATCTATAGGACATCTTAAGCACTCAGGAAGTTCCAGTTAATGTTATTACGGCTAGAAATAGTGATAGATTTACAATTAGAAGGGGGAGAAGCAGGGGAAAAATGGAAGTCAATTGTTGCAAAAGAAGAAAAGGAATCAATTCAACAGATGTGGATATAAGAAGAGCAATATTGACTTTTGAAAGAATAATTTACTAGTTTAATGGGATCTAAAAGCTTGCAGAGTGTGTGAACAAGAAAGAAATGTAGTCTTTGCCTATAGATCAGTCTTCCTAAAGGCTTGGCAGCGAATGATAGGACCCAAATGTTCGGTAATCAGAGGGGGATGTAGTATTGAGGAAAAGAAGTAGAATCTCTTGGGTATTCTTAAAGACAAGGAGGAAGGTGTTAATGGAGTGGGCGAACTTCAAGTATGAAGGATGGTAGCAGTAGTTAAGGATCAAAGTTCTTGAGGTAGGGATAGAATCATGGTCAGATAGGTAGGATCTAATCTTAGAAAGATGAGAAGAAATTGCCCTTATATTTATTTTTTATGCTTTATGCTATTGGAATGAGAGAACAAAAAATGGGAGTGGACATAGAGTAATGTTCACATAGAAGTCTATCTTACCCCATGGGTTCTTGATCCTCTGCTGTTCTTGAGGGATTTTCCTTCCATAACCATTCTAGTTTATTCTCCCTCTTCAGAAAGACAATTTTGCAATTGCCTATATGATTTCTATCATCCTAAAGAAATACATAGATGAATAATAAAAGTAAATCAACTCTGTTGAGTCTACATCTTCTAGCTGTTATCTAACCACTCTCCTTGTCCAAACTTTTTGAAAATTGATCTCAATTTGCCTAACCACATGGCCTCCTCCCGTTCATTTCTAAACCTATTGTCACCTGGGATTTGACCCTTTCACTCACATCCACCATATTTCTGGTCGTTATCCTTTATTTTCACATTGAGTAGTGAATAGGTTTTTTTTTTAATTTTAATTTTCTTTTGGTGCTTATCTTACTAGATCTACCAGTTGCATAGTCACTCAGCCTCCTTCTGGAACTTTCCCACTGTATTCTCCTGGTCCAGCATCTACATCCCTGACTGTTGCTCCTTTCTCACTCACAGGCTGTCTTATTCTAGCCATGTCTTCAATGGTGTTCTTTGGGTTCTATCCTCAGCCCTCACATATTCTCACTCTTCACTGTTCTCTGGAGATATAATTCACTCCAACATTTTTTTAACTGCTCCCCTGTTAAGTTAATGATTCTCAAATTGGTACGTTTATCCAGAGTTTTAAACTCTTACGCCCAATGCTTTGATTAAAGTCTCTGGGATCTCAAACAGGTACCTGAAACCCAGCATTTATAAAATGAAACTCATCATCAAACCACTCATTCTGTTTCCATATCCCCATAAACTCTGCTTACTAAAAGTCCTAGTGCAGGTTCTGAAGCTAAAGTTCCTGAGTATAAAACTCGGCTCCATCATTTCCCGCCTGTGTGACGTTATGTAAAACATTCAACATTCATATACCCCAATTTTTTCTTCTAAAATGAAAATAATGGAATTTAGCTTTCTTGGGTTATTGTGAGGGTAAAGTTTAAAAAAAGTGAAAATCACGTAGAAGAATGCTTAGTGTAAAGGTGCTAAATTAAAGATAGCTATTATTGCTACTGCAATATTCTCATTCTCTCTTTTCATTGGAGCATTTTAGCCTACCAATTTACTCACACTAGAAGCTTAGGGAATGTTTCTGATTCTGCCTTCCTCAGTCTCCACATCTACCAATGGCTAACCCTCAGTAATTGTACTAAGCATTTAAAAACATCTGTCTTCTCTTTTCATTTATGGCCTGTACTATTCCCTTAATTTAAACCCCCAGCAAATATTTTCAGCATTACTGACAGTGTCCCAAAGGGCCTCTGGACTCCAGATGTGTCTCCCACAAATCCGTTTTAAACCCAGCCCCTGGACTTTAATTAAAAGACAAACGTGACACTGGAACACTCACATTTAAAACCCATAGATGGCTCCCATGTCTACCCAAGTAAGTCAGGTTCTCAATATGGCATGTGAACTATGAGCCTGATGCCAGATCTTGAAGCATGTATGGGAATGTCATGGAGTCCTGGACCCAAAAGCTGAAAAGCTGATTCAGCTGGATTGTATGGACTTCCAAAGAAAAGAGGCTGGTGGTTGATATGAAGAGTGTAGAGTAACAGTACTTTTTCTACTCATTTTCTAAAAAAATTATTCTCTTAACTCATGCATATGTGTGTATGTGCATGTACATGCTGCATGAAACAGGAACCATGAAGAAGATCAATGCTGATAGTGTTAGGGAGAGCAGTCGTGCCATGGAGGTGGGGGGAAAGTCTTGGTTAAGGAAAAAAAAGACCACAAAAATGTTGAAAAAAAACCTCAATTGTGTATATTGGAAATATAGAAAAATTGGTTTACACTAGAAATAAGAAGAGATGGTAAGTTAAGGTCATTAGAAAAATAAATGCTCGTGATTCTTAGCCTCAGGAAAACTTTTAAATAAAAATATAGATAGATATATTAGATAGATATATGATAGATACATAGATGGATAGAAATATATCTAGCTTTATATTCTTATATATATTTTGCATATATTTATATAGTCATCTCTCAGTATCAGTGAGTATTTGTTCCAGAACTCCCTTGGATGCCAAAATTCATGGATGCTCTGGTCCCTCACATGAATAAAGACTACACACATCTTTCCATATACTTTAAATTATCTGTAGGTTACTTATAATACCTAATACAATGTAAATATTTTGTAAATATTTGTTATACTGTATTATGTTTTATTTTTATTATTTTTATTGTTGCATTGTAACTTTTTATTGTCTTTTTTTTTCCAAATATTTTCTATCTGTAGTTGGCTGAATCCATGGATATGAAACCTGCTGATGTGGGGAGCTGACTGTCTATAGGCGGATATTTGTATCTATCTATTTGTATGTCTATATAAATATCTATAGCTATATTTACATATACAAGGTAAAAAATGAATATATGGAAATGTACAGAAAATAGTTGTAAATAATTTTTAAATAGGGTTGTCATAAATAGGAATAAATAATTTAATTTGTGATTTTAAGACGTTATCAAGACAGAGTAAGATTTGATTTAAGATACCCTAATGTAGATCAAGAGACCATGCTGGAGACTAAGGTGGAAGAAAAGGATCAGGAGTTGACTGACGGTCATTTGTATAATGACCTGAGAATCTAAGTCAAGCCTGTCTTAAGATTCACACTCTAACAATAGTATAATGTCTTAGTTGAGGAAAAGCTTTCCATCCAGCCAGGTTTTGAGTGGTGGGGGCTTTCTGATCTCCACGTATGTGAGGAATTCTAGGGGTGAAAGCAGAACACACAGAGGTATCGCCTGCTGAGTGCTGTCAAAGTTATCAGTCACATTCAAAAGTGAGGACATGTCATGCTGGTATGTGGATGGCCGTGGAATGAAAGCACAGAGCAGCAGTTGGGATTATGTAGAAATTTAAACAACCAGGAAAGATCAGGGGAATGCAGAGTAGTCATGTTCAGTGAGGTTGGCAGAGGCAGCAAAGGGATGGTGTTTGCTCCTGACTCAGGAAGTCAGGAAGTTAGTAGAGTTGATGAAGCAAGTA
This sequence comes from Homo sapiens, assembly GCF_000001405.40. NCBI lineage: Eukaryota > Metazoa > Chordata > Mammalia > Primates > Hominidae > Homo > Homo sapiens. The sequence continues at coordinate 228,791,574 of NC_000002.12, read as the reverse complement.
GGGTTGATATAATCTGAATTTTGTCCCCTCCAAATCTCATGTTAAAATGTGATCCCCAATGCTGGAAGTGGGGCCTGGTAGGAGGTGTTTGGGTTATGGGAGTGGATCCCTCATGAATGGTTTTCTTCCCTCCCTCCAGTAATGAGTTTATGTGAGATCTAGTTATTAAGGAGTCTGGGACCTCCCCCATCTCTTTCTCACTCTCTCTCACTGTGTGATATGCTTGCTCCCCTTTTACCTTCCATCATGACTAAAAGCTTTCTGAATCCTCACTGGAAGCCAAGCAGATACAGGTGCTATGCTTGTACAGTCTGCAGAACTGTGAGCCAAATAAACCTCTTTTCTTTACAAGTTACCCAGTCTCAGGTATTCCTTTATAGCAATGCAAAATGGACTAACTCAAGGTGAATAAAGTTCTGGTTCTAGGATAGAGGCATTTTGTTACTTGTTCCTATTTATGTTACATCTTCATCTGTGAAGTGGGCCTGTGGGTACTCATTCCATGCAGAAGGCAACCAAAGGCCTTCCAATAAATGCTGTCTTTGATGAGAAAAAAAGGTTAGAATCAGCTCATGTAAACTTAATTAAGGGTAGTGTATGGTGCTTTTGGTTGCAAGTATCAGTGAAACCAGAGGCAGGTGGTGACAGACTTAGTTTGCTCAGCAGTAGAAGACCAAATTTCTTTCCATATTACCACTCTGTTGTCTGTACCCATTGGCTATCATCCTCCAGCTTGCCTCCTCATGGTCACAAAATGGCAGTCACAGCTTCAGATACCACACCCTTAGACAACTGTCCACATATAACCTCACCAAGGGGTAGAAAAACATAGAAGCTTCTTTTCACAACAGTTTTTTTTTGTAATAACAAGTAAAACATTTCCCAGGACACTTTGAGCAATATTTTTTCCTCTATCTTCTTGATCAACATTTTTTTCATATGTCTATTCCTATATTGATTATTGGCAAAGGGAGTGGAATCCCCATGAGTGAACTAGACTAACTGTCATCTTCCAAATGTGGGTATAGAAGAAGTTCCTCATCCTAAGCATATGAGAGGAGAAGGTAGGACCATATGGATGAAGGGGATGACCATCCTTTTGGTGGCGTCTGTCTTCAGAGTGTTTCACTGTCATTGAAGTTGCCACGTTAGAGAAGAGAATCATGTCTGGATGAAACATCTTAGAAAAACTACTCTCTCTCATTATTATAAGATTTGACTCCATCACTAGTTGGGGAGATTTCCACTTGGCCTGGACTGTGCTGCTACACTCATGGATCTTTGCAGGGAAGGATTGGAGGAGGAGCAGATTGTTGGACAGTACTCCCATTGCTGAAACATATCAACAGCTCTTCTAAACTACCAAAGCAGAGATTCAAACCGAATGTACTTCCAGATATATCTCTGCAAATCAAGAGTAGAAATGTGCTCCATTTGGAACTATCAGATGGACCCACTTTAGAAAGAAGAGCGCTGCAGGCAGGGTGAGACCATCACAAAATGTAGAGCTAAAAATGTATCATTTGCATGAAAAGCTTTAAGTAGACTAGCTTGAAGAGTCAAAAGTCTAATGATAGCCTAGAGTATAATTTTAATTTCTTGAATTACTTGAACAATGGCATTGCATTATTGGCCATCTCAGAATTAATGAGGGGAAAAAACCCTATAACTTAATTATAAACTTCTAAAATTTTCCTGCCTTGGGAGATAGATTATAGTGGAAGTTATTGAACTCAATGTGCTTTAAGGGTCACTGTTTATGATTCTCATATATTATTGATGCAGATATTATGCTGACTGTCTTTCTAAAAATTATTCCAGGTTATAGCCTCTGAATTTGGTGATGGGTATGTGGGTGTGTGTGTGTGTGTGTTGTCTAAATCCTAAAAATGAAATACCAAATCAAAAACAAAACCAAAACTACAAAACTACACCCCACAAACCCTTGATCAGTTGACTGATGTTGATTAGTTGAATTCTAGTTGATTGAAACTTGACTTCTAGTTGATTGAAACTTGACTTCAGATTGTTCTTTATATTTTCTGCTCTATGTTTCCACAATTTTACATCAGAATGAGCCCACTTTCATGGGCCTATGTGGATCTCATGGTCCACAGAGGAATCCCAGATTCTTCCTTTGGTTTCATAATTTGAATTTAATTAGATGTGCTTTCACATATATTGCCTGATCTAATTATCACAGAAGCAACAGGCATTTAGCAGAGTAGAATACAATATCCCATTTTATAGGTAAACAAATAAAGGCATGAGTTTATGTAAGTTTTCTAAGGTAACACAACTAGTAAGTGGCAAAATTGAAAATCAAGCCCAGGTGTTTTATCTCTCAATTCAGAAGACTTTCAACTCCTAGTACAAAACATCCGATTTATATTGTCCGGTCCTAATTTTATATATTAAATTAGAATCTCCATAACTATGCTCAAACTTGCAAGAACATGAGCATGGTTTCTTTAGGAGGCAGAAATGCTGTGAAAATATGCTCCTGTTTCCCTCCTTGCTAAAGTGTAGAAGAATTCCCAAAGGAGAAATCAGAGAGACACTTAAGTGAATGCACCAAGTGAAAGTGTTGTCTCCCACCACTTTCAAAACACAGGCTGAAAACTGAAAAAAAGTTTGTTGTTCAATGTATGTGGAAATGGAAGGATAGCAGCAGCCCTGCTCAGGAGTCAGAGACCAGGCTTTGGAATCAGGGAACACCCCCAGCTCCCACCCGCACTCAACTCGGCCCCATCCCACCTCCACCACTGACTGTAGATCCTGAAGACTAAGCTGAAATAACTAATCCTCAGTTCTAACCTCGCCAAATTCAGCTAATAATAGCTAAAATATCGTACTTTGATTTACAAAACTCAACAAATTGCATTTGTGTATAAGAACAAGGAAGTCTAAGCAAATAACCTACCTTCTAACTTTGACAAGAAAGGATAAGTCACTTCATAGAAACCCTTAAAAAATCTACAGATTTCCTGCATTAGGTGATGTATTCTTTCTTCCTCCTCTTTGAATGCAATACAAAAGCTATCATTTTATTTTCTAATGATTATGCTTTTGTGTTTCCAACTTTACCTTCCCCTGCCTTCTGAGAAACTTCTTTCTATTATCATGTTTTCTTTGCACAGTTGAACTTTGAGCAACATGAGGGTTGTGGGGTGCTGACCGCCTCATGCAGCTGAAAATTTGTGTATAAGTTTTGACTCCTTAAACTTAACTACTAATAGGCTACCATTAGCTAGAGCCTTATTAATAACATGGTCAATTAACACATATTTTGTATGTTTTGTGAATTTTATACTGTTTCCTACAATAGAGTAAGTTAGGGAAAAGAAAATATTATTAAAAAATTGTAAGTGAAAATATATTTACTATTTGTTAAATGGAAGTGGAGCCTCATAAAGGTCTACATCCTCATCATCACCATATTGAGTAGGCTGTGGAGGAGGGGGAAGAGGAGGAGTTGGTCTTGCTGCCTCACGGGCAGAAGAAAAGGAAGAAAATCCACATATAAGTGGACACAGGGCAAAACTGTGTTATTCAAGGGTCAACTGTATGTATTCTTTTTCCCACCAACATTTAAACATGATCCTTAGGGTAACATCCCTCTTCTCCATGCTTCTCTCATCTAATCCCTCTCATTCTGCCATAACCAATTCAAAGAACGACCTATACAAAGTGGGTTTCTGTTTTAATTTCTACAACTCCACTCTTAACCCACTGCTTGCTAGTTTTTGTACTCCCTAACATCCCAAAACTATCCTTACCAACAATAGGTTTATCATTTATTGTTGAAAATGGGACACATTTGAGAACGAAAGATGGGTTAGTCATACCATTTTAGCCTAAATTCAGACTTTTCTGGGCAAACTAGCACCTATGGGACTCCTATAAATAGGCACATCTCAGTCCTTATTTGACTCGATTGCCTGGGAGCACTGCACTCTCGAACCTTCATTTCTGTAAAGCACATCCTTTCCTGCTGCCTCTGTGACAAGATGTCCTCTGGTTTTCCACATCCTTTGGTTGTTCTTTATCATTATTTCAGGGGCTTCTGCTCTTCCAAGCCACTACAGTTTTGTGTTTCTCAGAGTTTATTCTAGGTCTTCTAACTATTTGCCTCTGTGAATGCCATTCATTCCCATGGTTTAATTACCATCTAATGACGCTAACTCATAAATTCACAACTAAAACTCATAGGTCTGTTTTGATATTCCGATCCTAATATCCTACTGTGTGCTAGACCTCTGCTTCTGGCTTTCCCACAAATACCGGAAAATCAGCATGCCAAAATCTAAAGCCTTATTTCAACATAAAACCATTCCTCAATCTAATCCATCATCAAAGCCTGCATTCCATTAAATGTATGAAACCTTCTCAATTTATTCTCTTTTCCTGCCACTTCACCAGTTCAGGCCAGCATCATTTTGTATTTGCACTTCTATAAGAGCCTCTCCAATCTAAGTTTGGTTTCCTTTAATCAGATTTCATTACGGCTGACAAACTTGTTCTCGAGTGCAAATCTGATAAAGCTACTCTTCCGCTTAAAATATTTCAAGAGCTCCGTTTTTTTTCAAGGTGGAGTACCCTCATGATGTGGTTTTTACTTACTTTCCGAGCCTCAACTTTTGCTTCAACTAAGCTTGCCATTGCTAAGTATTTTTTAGCTCTCTCATCTATAGATTTTTTCATACACACTTCTCCCTTTATTTGGATTATTCTCCTCTGTTTCTGCCTATCTTTCATCTATTTCAGTTTTAGCATAAATGTTACTTATTTCAAAGCCTTCCCTGATCCCCACAAACATAGATGGCAACCATCACATGGTAATGTAATTGCCTGCTTACTACGCTATCTCCACCACTGGATTATAAGAAACATGGGAGCTGAAAGTATAGACAATTGGTCTCTAATAGTGTCTTGTATATAATAAGTGTATAATAAATACATATAGCTGAATGAATTAAATTACTGAATGAATAATAATATTTCAACTGATCCCTGAAGATAAACTTCAATACTCCAAGGTAAGAAAGACATCCCAAGTGAAAGGATAGTATATAGCAGTTCACAGAGTTAGAAAATTTAAAGACATGAATTAGAAGCTGTGAAGAGTATATTTTGATAAGAATAGTGAGTAGAGTGCTTTGCAGGAGAATAAATCTGGGGTGGAAGAATCCAGCCAGAAAGCTAGTGTAGTAACAGAGGTGAGAAGGCACATTATTTTTGATGAGGGTCTGAATATTGTGTGGTATGTTGAAAAACATGATACTGTTTTGATAGGTAAACCAAGCCATTCAGAATTATCTTCTGAATATATCAATGAAAATCAATCAACAGACAAAAAAGTCAAGTCATTTTTGTGTGGTTCTATCCTGGTTGGCAGCCTGACACACTGTTAAAAATTGAGAAAAACAAACTTTATTAGTTAGCAAGTATCCAGAGATTATTGGCACCCTTTTCTTTCTGTCAGCAAAAGGCCAAGGAAATACATTTGCTTTCCAGCCTAGGAGTAAGATGTTAGAAATTTATGGACAAGTAGTCTAGATTACAGGTCAGGTATTTTGAAAGGTTTCTTGTGAAGATGTGGACACAGTGTTATTGTGGGTTTCTTCATATGTACAACCATCTTCCTTCTGAGAGCATTAAAGTAAACTCTGAATATTAAAGTTGCAATTTATGTAGCCTGTTTCTATCAGTTAAAAACATTCTGAATAAATTGAAATAAAGTAGATTTTTACAAATCACTGAGAATAATTTTAAAATACTTCTTTTCAGATAAGGTATTTTTATTTTAGAAAGGAGAACTATCAAAAGGTAGAAAATAATAATGCAAAATTTGTTCTTCAAAAATGCCTGACACACACGAGACATTCAATGTACCTCTGTTAAAGCAATAGATGAGTGAATGATGAATTTGGGGTGTCAGAGAAGTGGTGAGGAAAAGGTTTAGATTTCTTTGTATTCCTGAAATTATACTACACACAGGGAAACTGTTAAACAAAATCACCTAATATAACACCCCCTCACCTCAATTCTATCACTTCCAAAAAGGCAAAACTCACGTCCAAGTAAGAATGAAGGCAGAACAGATCCACCCTAATTCTCAGCCAAGTTTCCCTTACATATGAGCCTCTTGTGCAGGATTTTTCAAATGGAAGTTTGCACCCAACATCATCATCATATTTTATACAAAATGAAATGGAATAGAACAGAACTGCAAGCCTGGATCACATATTGTAAGGCTAAGTATCACTCTATAAATTTTTGTTTCTGTCATAGGTGTCTCTGTATCTGTATCTGTATCTGTGTGTGTCAGTGTGTGTGTGTGTATGTGTGTGTGTTTATGTGTGGTTTTACTAGATATTAATGTAAAATGCAATGTCAAAAACAATTCTTTGAGCTAGTCATGGTCAAAAAATTTTGAAAGACTCAGCCCTTCCTTTTGTTCTGCTTCACATGCAGCAGACTATGTTACTGCCAGAAATTTCCACCTCTGTGGAAATGTTTCTGTCTGGTCTGTTCTTCCTTTGGTACTAGAGATGAATGCTAGCTCACTTTACAGCTTGTCTAACTGTGTTGATGAACTGACAGAAAGAAGCATCCTTTCTTTTTTTATTTTTATTATACTTTACGTTCTGGGATACACGTGTAGAACGTGCAGGTTTGTTACATAGGTATACACATGCCATGGTGGTTTGCTGCACCCATCAACCCATCATCTACATTAGGTATTTCTCCTAATGCTATCCTGCCCCTAGCCTCCCACCCTCTGACAGGCCCTGTTGTGTGATATTCCCCTCCTTGTGTCCATGTGTCCTCATTGCAATCTATCCATCTGACAAAGGGCCAATATCCAGGATCTACAAGGAACTTAAACAAATTTATAAGAAAAAAAAAAAAACATCAAAAAGTGGGCAAAGAATATGAACAGACACTTCTCAAAAGAAGACATGTATGCGGCCAAAACAAACATGAAGAAAAGCTCATCATCACTGGTCATTAGAGAAATGCAAATCAAAACCACAATGAGATACCATCTCACGCCAGGTAGAATGGCGATTATTAAAAAGTCAGGAAACAACAGGTGCTGGAGAGGATGTGGAGAAATAGGAATGCTTTTACACTGTTGGTGGGAGTGTAAATTATTTCAACCATTGTGGAAAACAGTGTGGCAATTCCTTAAGGATCTAGAACCAGAAATACCATTTGACCCAGCAATCCCATTACTGGGTGTATACCAAAAGGATTATAAATCATTCTACTATAAAGACACATGCACAAGTATGTTTATTGCAGCACTGTTCACAATAGCAAAGACTTGGAACCAAATCAAATGGCCATCAATGATAGACTGGATAAAGAAAATGTGGCATATATACACCATGGAATACTATGCAGCCATAAAAAAGGCTAAGTTCATGTCCTTTGCAGGGACATGGATGAAGCTGGAAACCATGATTCTCAGCAAACTAACACAGGAACAGAAAACCAAACACTGCATGTTCTCACTCATAAGTGGAAGCATCCTTTCTATTTGTCCCACCTGTGTGCTAATCCAATAATTTTCAGCCAAAACCTTCCAGTGAAAAATGTACACAAAGGGCTTTCTTTGGTCTCAATGTACAATGCAAACTTGAATTAGGTGAAAAGTTTCACTATTTGGAAAATGTTAAGCTCACATAGACCCTTACACTGTATTTCTACTTAGTGTCTGCTGGTTCTCAGTCTTGCTTCTCCCATTCCTCCTCTGGCCAACTTTTAGTGGTCTTTGTCATTCAGTTTCCAAATTGAACTTGGATTTGAAGGTTGTAGTGGTGCACCTGCCCAAACTTTCAAGGTCATATAGAAGAGAAATTATATAAATCACTCTTGGGAAAACATCTTTAAATGGTTAAGAATATGTTATTAAGATACAAATTGCTTTATCAGTGGCACAATGACCCAGAGTCTGAGTTCTTTTGATACCGGAGGATTCAGCAAGCTTCATAATTCACAAAGAAGTTTGATCATTCTTGTTTGGTACCATATCTCTCAGCTGAGTGACCAGCCCATCTTTTCTTACCACTGAGCTTCTCCTTTAGGAGGAAAAATGAGATTGGCCATTTGGGTGCTCTGTGGAGCATGGCAGTGAGTGACTTATTACTGACCATCTCAGAGCTGCCTCCTGAGAAGCCTTTTACCAGACTGAGGTCCATATTTGTGAAGCAGTCCCAAGTCTGTGTGCTGTGCTGGGCATCCAACCACCCGGGTATTTCCTTCCTTGAGTGCTCTGAAGAGGGGTTAGCCATCAGAGCAGAAGGAAGCAGCTGGGTTCATCAGACAATGGCAGGCACTAAAGAGTTACCAATCTCAACTTCAGTGCATCCAGATCAAGAGCTAAATTTTCCAGTGGAAGTGAGAACAGCAAACCATGGAAATATTAAAAGTAAGAGCTATACAAGCTGGAATGATTATAGGCCATATAAAGTGAATCACCCAATGCCTAAGGAATGATTGTGGCCATACTTGAGCCACAGCGACAGCACTTTGCTCTTTTTGCATCCTAATAATAACACAGCCATACAGTGCTTTACTAAACAATACTCACATATGTTATTTAATTCACCCTTTCAACAACATTGTGAGTAATTCAGGGACTGTTTTACACAGATTTTACAGACAAGGGAACTGAGAATTCAAGAGATTAAACAATTTACCCAACTGTCTCAAAGTCCCTTAACTTCAGAGCTGAAACTCAAATGAGAGGCTACATAAAGTGATGTACCTTGCAGAATACCAAGGGGACATGGATCCAAGTGTGTTTGCTGGGATTGCATTCAGATAGATGACAGATTGATTAAAAAGTCAGGAATAGCAGAAATTGACTAGGGAAAGAGGGTCCTAAGTTACCAACGACCTGAGATGGTCGGGGTAGCAGATTAAAGAACAAGCTTAGAATGTGTAAGAGAGAAAGGAAAATAACAAATGAGCTACATGCTAGAGAGAAGGAATGCCAGGTTAGCAATCACTCACAGGTAATAAAATTCTTCAATTATTCAATGTCAGTTTGGATTTTCTTCTACTTCCCATGGCAGCCTGATAATAGCACCCTTTCAAATCAATCCAACTCTCCTGAAGAAATGTCAGCATATCATTACAGGTGGTTGAGTCCACAATTCTAGCACCTCTGGTAATTCAGCATTAATGAGCTAAAACATCAGCCCTCTGTTGGGTTCAGTCTCATGTAGTTATAAGCTGTCGAAGTGAAAGAATCTCGGGGGCCTGGAGCATTGGCTGACTCCTGTAATCCCAGTACTTTGGGAGGCTGAGGCAGGTGGATCACTTGAGGTCAGGAGTTCAAGACCAGCTTGGGCAACATGGTGAAACTGAAAACATGGTCTCTACTAAAAATGCAAAAATTAGCCAGGCGTTGTGGTGCGTACCTGTAATCCTTGCTACTCAGGAGCCTGAGGCATGAATATTGATTGAACCTGGGAGGCAGAGGTTGCAGTGAGCCGAGATAGTGCCACTCACTGCACTGGAGCCTGGGGAATAGAGTGAGATTCATTCTCAAAAAAAAAAAAAAAGGAAAGCAAGGATCTCTGGACCCTGAAGGGAGAAAGCTGCCTGCTGGATGATCTGGACCTGCGTGTTTCAGTTCTCAGTCAAGTCCTCCCCCTTCACTGTTCACCAACTACAGTTCTCAAAATTGTTCTCAAGAAATAATAGCAGAAGTACATTCATTCTAAATATGTTAGAAGCAAAGCTGTTTCTGGGAGTTGATCTAGGAAGCTGTCAATAAGATTGCCATCTTGAAGGAGAGGGAAATTGAAATCATAGGTCTTTCTTCATTTTCTCTTGGACAACATCCAGGAAACAGGTAATCTATTAGGAGGCAGAAAACCTGCATTTTTAATTCTCTGTTTACTCAATCACTCATTCATTTACTAGTTTACTCATTTAGTCAATATTAATTTGGTGCCCATTATATGCAGGCACATCTGTATGGGGAGCAAGAGAGCTGACATTCTATTGTGAAAAATTGCTAACAAATAAGTGAGAACTAGACAACATGGTATGAGACAGTGATAAATGCTGTGAAAAAATAAAGCAGAGTGAGGAGATGATGAGTCTTGTCTGAAAAAGACCTAATTTGGTCAGAATTGTGTGGGAGGCAGAAGTCTTAGACGGCTCCAAGATTTTCTCTTCCTGATATGCAAAACCTATGCAATCCCCTCCCCTGAATGCTAGTGGGACTTGTGAATATGATGGGATTTTCTATCTAATATTATGCCACATTGCATGGCAAAATGGACTTTGCAGATGTAGTTAAAATCCCTAATCAGTTGACTTTCAGTAAAATCAAAAGGCAGATTTTCCTGGATGGATCTGACTTAATCTGGTGATGCCCTTTTGAAGGGAAATTGGAAGCAGTAGAGAAACTCTCCTCTCCTACTGGCCTGGAAGAAAGCAAACAGTCAGGTTGTGAGCCATCTATAAGAGCCAAATAACGGGGACCTGACGGTGGCCTCTAGAGTAATCTTGTTTGAGAGCTAGTGAAACAAATAGGGGCTTAAGTCTTAAAACTGCTAGGTACTGAATTCTTCCAACAATCTAAATGATGATGGAAGAGGACACCAAGCTCCAGAAGAGACTGAAACCAGTCAACATCATAGAATGGATTTCACTTATGTGAGAGAGACCTTGAGCAGAGAATTCAACTATACTATGCCTGAATTTTGGGCCTGCAGAAACTGTGAGATTCTAAATGGGTGTTTTGTCAAGTCACTAGTTTGTCATAATTTGTCATGAAGCAATAAAAGATGAGCATAGCATTACATTAGCAGTTACCAATTTTTTTTCCCCAAAGGCAAGCCACCAAACCAAGCAACTTGTTAACACATTTCACCAAATCCCACCTTGTCCAAGGTTCTGGAATTTCACTTTCAAGAGAAAAGGTAGAGGAGTCAGAACAATCAGAGGCTCACACGGGGTTTTCTTTCTATAATGGCACCAGAGAACACCTGGCAGACAGGATGCTGGTTCGTCATTGATACATTGCCCTCCTCTTGCTAGACAAGCCCTGGGGAACCACTTCTTGGGGACTGGGTTGCTCAACAAACTCATGAAACGCAATAAAGCCAGATAGACACTTACTCCTGACTTGAGGAGGGGGTAAGCTGGCTCCCCTTGTCTCAAAGCTTCTTAGTGGAAAGTGCTTTATGGCCCTTTATGACAGCCCATTACCCCCAAATGAAGGGAGGAGAGCAGAAAATGAATATTTCATTGGGTCTCATACAGTGGGCATGGGCCTGAAGTAAAAATAAATGTTCTATGATATTCATCTTTATAAAATGCATTCTCCCTAACCATAAAAGAGATCCAACAATTTATCTTTTTTCATGTCTCTCAGCAGTAATGACAGTAAATAATTGTCATATTCTTAGATGGTCCATGTGCTGGGAAAAGTTATGCCCAAGTAGTAGCAGTTCTCTCTCATACAAAAGAAAATTATAAAGACACTGGTTGGAGTTCTATTTCATTTGAATATTGCCGTTAAATTTTTCTCAGTCAGATGCGGCCTGAATTTTTTAAATGAATTGTCTAGGATTTTCTGTAGAATAATGATTTCCAGAGTATTAATATCTCATAAAAATGTTATCAGTTAAACATCCCAAACATTAAACATATTTATTGCAAATGAGTTATGGAAAGGATGCAAATAGGATTGTGAGGTTTTACTGACTGAATATCTTGCAATGGCTATGAGAAGATTATCAAAGAAGATGAAAAAACAAAGAAAAAAATAGAACAGAATCAAGTCAAGGGAAAAAATAGCATCCAAAAAGATGCATTCATGTGGCAGGGTGGGTTGAAGTTTCAATTTGGAGAGAATTTGATTGTTGTCTTACATCTGATTTACTACTGGAACTCTCCATACAGTTTTAATTATTGCTTACTTATCTTGGATTTTCTAGATGCAAAAATTAATTACTTTTATTAATTTCTTTACATCATTTAGGATGACCAACCACTCCCTCTTGCCAAAACATTCTCTCCTCTCATGTTTTTTTTCTCTTCCACCTCATCAATTTCCTTCCAGCCTTTTCAGCTACTCATTCTCATTTATTCTTTCAACATTTCCTCTTCTAATAAACCATTTAAGTTTGAAGTTGCTTAAAATTTGTTTTCCAACATATTTACTTCATACTCTATATTTTTTCTGTTTTTCTTACATGATATCCACTCCCATCATTCTAATTACCACTTACTTTATAAAAATGTGGTTGCAGTGTGGCTGCTGTATTGCCAGATATATCATGGTTCCCAGATGTTTCAGTCAGTTCCAACTGCTATTAACGAATTACTGCAGATCTGGGGGCTTAAACAGTAGAAACTTATTTCCCATAGTTCTGGAGGCTGGAAGTCCAAGATCAGGGTGGCAGCATGGTCAGGCTCTGGTGAGACCCCTCTTCCAGCTTGCAGACTGCCAACTTTCCCTTGTATCTTCAGGTGGTGGAAAGGAGGTGAGAGAGCTCTCTGGGGTCTCTTTTATAAGGAACTAATCCTATTAATGAGGGCTACATTCTCATGAGCTAATCCCCTCCCAAAGCTTTACTTTCTAATACCAACTGGAAATGGCTAGTTGAGAACGACTCTGACAGCCAGTGAAAAAAATAGGGGCCTAAGTTTTAAAACTACTAGGAACTGAATAATTAGGGCTAGGATTTCAATATATAAATTTAGAGGAACATAAGCATTCATTCCATTGCACCAAGCAGGCAGATAGGGAAAAGGCCACCGGGCAACAGAGTGGTGCATGTGTCATGAAAGCAAACACCCCACAGTTCCTAGAGGAGTTCCTTTCACGTCTCATAGTAGCACTCAGAGTCAAGGAACCAACCTCATATGTTAGGAAGTCTGAGAAGGTGGGAATTTTTAGTTGAGCATATTATATGTTTGAATAAAATTAGGATTTTGTTAACCATGGAGATGGAGAGAATGAAGGCGAAGTAGACAGTTACTCCCAAATGTATATTTTCAGTCTTAATCTAATTTTGGAAATCCAAACCAGGGTCTCAAGTGTCTATTTAACAAATTAAATCAGATTATCTCTATACAAATCAACAGGTTTGTATGCTTATTCTGCAGGAATAGTGCAATACACTGAGACAAAAAGTTTGCAGCAGAGACAGAATATAATGATTGCAGGCTGTCCAGCAAGGAGATGGAGGGAGACCCTCAACTCCATCTCCCCAAGGAGTTCTGGGCTGGGGTTTTTAAGGGGATCATGGAAGGTGAGGGGTTGGAAAATTGTTTTGTCACTGATTGATTAAGGTAAGGCGGTTGAAGTTATTAGGATGTAAAAGCTTCTTTCTTTGGTGAGTCAGCTTCTTGTGGGGTCCTTCAGACCAACTGGCATTGGTCATTTCACTGGTATGCAGGACCTGAACGAGTATCTCAAAGAGAAAACTTAACGTTTCTTAGTGTTCAAGTTGTTATCTATGGAGCAGTTAAGGAGAGCTATAATCTTGTAACAGAGTCTATGATTCTAGGACAACAAGCACCAAACAAATATGAGGAAGCAGGTCCAAGAGCAGGCTGACTTAAGGATTAATGCTGAGTCTGTTGCAAGCTTGTTTTATTTCCCCTGCCCTCCTTCCCTGATTAATTTCATAAAGTTTATCCGGACAGTTTCACCGTTGGACACTCAAAAAACTGGTCCAAAGTGACCTCCCTCATTCAACTTTTTCTGCCTTCATTTTTCCAGTGTCAGCAAATGAGTCTATCAATTATTTAGTCAAAGCCAAAACTTTGACATCATCTTTGCTTCATCCCCTTTCACCAGTTCCCTCTATCCAAAAATCACCAAGCCCTCTCTCATCTTGAATACATCTACTTCATTCTAACCCTAATCCTCCCACCTTAGTCCAAGCTACCGTCTTTTCTTGCCTAATAGAGTGTAATAGTCCCCTAACTAATCTCTTTCATCGATTTTTGCCTGTCACCCATACATTTTTCATTGTTTTACTTCCAGTAATTTTTTAAAGTATGAGTGTGATTTTAAGCCTCCCCTAGTTAAAGTCAAATAATAGTCCTCCTGTTGAACTGAAACTTTGTATCTTTTGATCAATATCCTTTTCTCCATCCATCCCTGATGAGGGATTTGTTAATTAGCCTGATTTAATTATTCCACATTGTAAACATGCATTAAAATACCACATTATACCCTATAAATATGTACAATTATTTTTCAGTTAAAATTTAAATTAGAAAAACAAATAAAAAGTCCATTAATAGTCGTCAAAATCCTTTAAATGGCCTAAAACTCCTGTCTAATCAGGCTCTTACTTATCTCTCCAGACTCCTATTATGTCACTCTTTCCACATGAACTATATGAGAGTTTCCTCCATTTTTTAACATGGTATCCAGCAGGGCTATAGTAAACTAGTTATTGTGGGAATTATGCCTTTAAACTACTATAACCATCACTGTAAGTGTTGCTATTGATAACTTACTATTATGATATTCGTGTTAGCTCTCAAGGGCAGTCTTTAGTGCAAAATTGAGGTAAAATTCAATGATTTTTTGCCCTAACCACCCCTTCCACAAGCACAAAAATGTATACAGATACATATACTCACATTTCTCACTAGCGAGCAAGGTAGGCTTGAAAAGAAGCAGGAGAGAAATGACAGTGACTACAACCCAGGATACTGCTTTAGGAAATGTCTCAAGATATACCTTTGGGCATTGTGTCATCTGGCACTCAGGAGCCAGTGCCCTTCTCCCTGACCTGGAGGCCAGTTGCCCAGCTTTTCTTCCCTTTCTTTCCTTGATTGCTTATGGCCTTAGCCTTACTACATATTGGGCTTATTAGCATTTCCACAGATCGTTCTCCATCTTGTTTCTCCGTATTTACCGTCTGGCTCTCTGGGCTGATACATGTTGCTTGAGGCCTCACCTTTGCTGTCTAAATTAGTGTGGATTAGACTCCAGCTGCAGAAGTCAAGTCTGCCTTGATGCTGCTCTGTGCCCTTTGCCTTAGTTGCCATTTTTCTTCAACCAAGGTGCTGAGGTTCCTAGCGGTAAGTTATGTTGAAATACCCTTACAGTTTTGATCCATCACAAATGAAGCTGATGAAATGCCATTTAAAAGTGGTAGACAAATATTTTAACCAATGTCTCTGATTCCAAATTCCTTATCAAGTTCCACATTGCTACAAATCAAATAATAATTAATAGTGGAAAGTTAAAAGAAGAGTAACCACTTTCTGACAATAAAATAGGTGATGGGCCATGTAGGTGGGGTAATATTCTATTCAGTAGAATCAATTTCTATGCTGTTTAAAAGAAGGGTTAATTTTTAAAATTATTTTTTATTTTAGACGGGGGAACAAGCTGTCTCTTTCTTTTATTTTATTTTCTTTCTTTCTTTCTTTCTTTCTTTCTTTCTTTCTTTCTTTCTTTCTTTCTTTCTTTCTTTCTTTCTTCCTTCCTTCCTTCCTTTCTTCCTTTCTTCCTTTCTTTCATTCGAGGTTTTGCCATGTTGCCAAGGCCAGTCTCAAGCTCCCGGGCTCAAGTCATCCACCTGCCTCGGCCTCCCAAAGTGCTGGAATTACAGGCATGAGCCACCACCCCTGGCAGGAACAACCTTTTAAGTAAGGTTATTTGTTAATTTAGCTTTGTATCCTCAGACAGCATCAGATGTCTGCTGGTATCAAGCCAAGGTGAAGGCTGGAGACATTTTAATGGCAATACATTTTAACTTTGAGCTAAGAGGTTAAGGGGGGTTGATAAAGAACCACTCACAGATAGGTAATCAAAGAATTTACTTATAGATAAGAGTGTGGTATCCAAGGCACTTTATAGTAACTTTAGAGGGACAAATCTAGAGAAATACAGATACTACAAAACATCAATGTTGAAATTAATTAGGCTTTGAAATACGGTTTAGGATAAACTATTCTGATGAGTTAATTTGTGCTGAAGGAGATGTAGATGCCCATGATTATAAATCCGTGGAGCTTGAGCAGAGGTGCCAACAGGTAGAACATACACATTTCTCATGCTATGAGATCCAGATCATAAGACCCAGAGGACAATATGTGCCAAATTTGAAACTCAGTGATCTTCATCTGGAAGTAAAATTCAATTGGGAGCTGATGACAAATAACATGTTATTTTAGCTATTCTCCCACAGTTATTTGCATTACTAAGAAAGTTTTATATTTTCTCCTGCTTATCTCATTTTTTTCTCAACAAAAATTATTCACATGCAGCTAAACATAATATTTTCAGATACTTTTCTATCCTTGTATAATATGGCTGAAACTGAGTTCTAGATATTATGCCCCAAAGCAGGTCCCCTTGCAGACTTAAACATAACTCTATCTAGATGCTTAGATTGATGGCTTTATTTTCCTCATTGATTCTTTTCATTTTCTTCCACAACACACATCTTTTCCAGTAGCAAATATTTTTAGTTCTGCTTTCAAAATATATCCAGAGTTTGACTGTTTCCCATGCTGCACTGACACCACCCTCGTTTAAGCCATCGCTCCTCTTGATTATTGCAAGAGCCTCCTAATCTTGCCTCCCTAGAGTGGTCAGAGGAACCCTATTAGAAAGGAAGGTTGATCATGTCACTTCTCTGTTTGAAACTCTTTATTCCCTCTTCTTTTTACTCAAAATAAAAGTTTCAGACCTGATCTACTGCTACTGATGGACATCATCTCTATCACGATCACACATTTTAGTGGTGCCAGGCACATGGGGCTGCTGTGTTAGTTTAGCTTCTCCAAGAAGCAGACACCAAAATGAAATGAGAGGACCAAGAGATTTATTGCCATAAATTGTCAAAGATAAGGATACCCAGACATTAGTGAAGGTAGTGAAAACAGATGTTATTCAGTAACTACTGACAGTAGGGGGAAGAGCTAAGCTCCATTCTGATTTGTACGGAGGTGATTAGGGTGTTTTGAGAAAGAAGAAAGAGCAGGGGCTCAGTAGAGTAAGAGAAGTGAAAAATTACAAAGTGTTGGTCAGTGTAAATGCAGTTAGGCCAGCTGTGTCTGCTAGCTGGTGGCAATTGAAGTAAGCATTCTCTTCTCCCACAGAGACTAGAAGACAGAGACCCTAGCCTTCCTGATGATTACATTTGAAAGAATGGTTCTCAGGTCCTTGGGAGAGATACGTTGGAGCTCTAAGAGATGCATATTCACAATTGTAAGCCCGTTTTAATAAATGCTCTAAAAAAGGGAAGTGAGGGGCCTATCATCAGGTGTTGGTCAGAACAAACAGTACATATTCTGGGAAGACAGTGTTGAGCTTCCTTAGGTAAGCATTTTAATGAGGGTCTAGGGTCATCCTAGGAATATGCCATTATGCTGCTAGAAGCTATGCTAGAGTTTGCTCAGGTCTCTTAGTGCAGGTATTTGGATAGCATTATGTTCTCAGAGTTCTGCAGTTTTTAAAATGCCTGTGAACTAAGGGAAGAAAGTAGAAATAGGCAGAACCTTCAGACCATGATACAGGTCTGATATCTGTGAAAGGAGACTGGGAAGAAAGGAAGGTCAAGTTAGAACAGTCTCAAACCTCTGAGTCACCCTGACCAAGTTGTAGCCAGCCTGATGGGGAGTCCTCAAGTGGAAGTCATCGTCAGAGGAGTCCCAAATGCCATGCGCACTATGCCCTCACCATGCATGCTCAGTCATTGGCTGGGAGCAGTCCCTGGGAACCATGGACTTTGCATGAATGTGGTGATGGATTAAAGGGATGGAAACTGGGATTGTAGTTATTTGCTACCAACAGAGCAGAGAATTCAAGAAATGTGTTTTCATGGCCGTTGCACCTGCCTACTGTCGGTTGAGCATTCCAGGGTTGCTCCTATTCTGGGGTCTCTACACTTAGTGTTTCTTCTTCCTGGAACAATCTGGCACTAACATACATAGGACTACCTCACATTGGCCAAGTCTCAGACTACACTCAGAATCCCCTATCCCATGGAAGCCTCCCATCCACCCTGTCTTACATGTTACCGCACTGACATTTCACATCTCACTTCCCTGATGTATGTTTTTCTCCTTAGCACTAATGACCACTTAACATACTTTATATTTTATCATTTGTTGTCTGTCTTCTCACTAGAATCTAAAGGATTTTTGTTCTGATTAGTACTAAGTTTCCAGCACCTAGAATGGTGCCTGAAACCTACTAGGTGCTTAATAACTGTCTGTAGAATAAACTTATTTTAGCGAAAGCAATGTGACTATCACCTCTTCACCTCAGGACATTCTGGTCTTCCGTCTCCAGCTTGGAAAAAGTAAAGTGATGTCTTCTCATAGAGCTGAAATAGTGTTGGAATGGGGGTTATTTACAGGTTACATACTTTTTGCGGCGTCCAAGAGGTTTTATTTATTTATTTATTTATTTGTTTATTTATTTATTTGAGTGTCACTCTGTCGCCCAGGCTGGAATGCAGTGGCACAATCTTGGCTCACTGCAACCTGCCTCCTGAGTTCAAGTAGTTCTCCTGCCTCAGCCTCCCGAGTAGCTGGAATTACAGGCACCCACCACCATGCCTGGCTTATTTTTGTATTTTTAGTAGAGATGGGGTTTCGCCATGTTAGCCAAGCTGGTCTTGATCTCCTAACTGCAGGTGATCCCCCCACCTCGGGCTCCCAAAGTGCCGGGATTAGAGGCATGAGCCACCGCACCTGGCCATTTTAATCTTTAAAGAGATCTCACCAATAAAGCAAATGCTAACTTCCCAGTTAATAAAACAGCTATTAGGTAAATTCTAGAGTGGAGACTTTCTTGGGAAACCATCTGAGAGCACAAAACCAACTTTCACAAAGGATCTTATTCTAGGATTGTTTTAGGATGTGTCTTCTTCCCCTGTCATGAGAAGTCAGAACCAGAGCAAGGGAAGTAGTTTCTGTATATTTGCTCAGTTCTACAATTAGTTTGCATATTCATGTTTGCTTGGTTTTGGTGAACCTAGTTTGCTAGGTTGTTAAAACAAAATAAATCAAAACAAACCTATGAATACCTTAGCAATCATTCCATAGAGTAATGTTTTATATCCACTGTTACTTTCTACTCTAGGATCTGCTGACTTTTAGCATTAAGGTACAAATTATTGTACTATTTGGGATTCAAATAACACATAGCTGACTTGCCCAGATAATTGATGAGAATGAAAAAAAAATCCAGAGCAGTTGGAAGATTTTTTCCCATAATTTCCAGAATAAAGACACAGAGAAAATGATCTCTACCAGACCAATGAAGATTAAACAATGACCTACGGAAGAAAGTATTTCTCTTTCAGATTTTATTTTCAACTTCCGAAGTAAAGCTGAACCAGGACAATAAAGAAAGCTTGACATGTATACTGCCAGTCTGTTTATGAATTCCAGTTTTATCACAACACAAATAGATAAATAATAGAAGCCCATAACGCTTGTCTCTGAAATAGTAGTTAAACTGAAACTCAGTATGCAGGAAACAAAAGATGAATGATCTCTCATAAACATGTTTTTATAACATAATCCACTCATATAAACAACTGGCAGTGCATCCTTTTGGGATTCTTGTTAGCCAGGATTTCCAAAGCTACAATGAATGGATTGAGTTTCAAAATTATTTCCCAATGTTGTGCTGCTTGGAAGAGACATCTGTTTACTGTATGTAAATGAACAAGACATTCTGTTCTTTTAGGGACTCAACAAAGAACCCTTAAAGTAGGCCAATTTTGCAAATAAGAAAATACAGTGTCTTCAAAGGACTACAAATAATGTTTAACTAGAAATAATATGAGGGTTTTATTTTTCTCTTCAAAGTTTCTATATTTGGATCAAGTGAGGGATTGATATTTCCCTTTGATTAAAAACCTATCTAGGCTTTTTTCTGTCTTCTTGCCTGGTCATCAGACAGACTGAAGTTAGAAAACAGATTTACTTCATGGAAGAAGTGTGCAGCAGACAGAGAGGAGCGAGTAGGCATAAATCTTAGTTCAGTTAATATTTCCACATGTCTGGCAAATACCCCTGGAAGGCCAGGAGTCCAAACAGTTTGAAGCAGATGCCTCCGCATGTGCCTTGCTTTCATATTCTATTTCGCCTCTTTGTACTAGATTGATGTTGCTCATCTTGTACATACTAATTTTGTATGAGCTGAGCTTGGCTTGAAGCAAGGGAGTAGTCCTGATGTGCGGTGAGCTGGGGACAGCTTAATAACGGGAGTCAGTCAGATACAACTTATGTGCAAAGACAAATAGAAAACTCTCACCTTACACAGAACTTACAAATGTGGTTTCATAACTCAAAGGGAAGTGGTTGTTTTCTTAAATTCTAGCTTTTAGGGAGAAAAATCTAAAAATTAACACCATAATGCTGCCGAAGAATTGTGTTTCTTATTCATTAAACTTAAATATCTCAATTACTCTTTAATATTAAAAATGCAAATACCTCTGTGTTATAAGACTATAACCACTCTTTCTATATTAAAAATGTACTGAATACACTCTAAATATGAAAAATTTGTAACATTTGCTTCAATAAATATTGTTGATACCTAATTGATACTCCTCCATTTTTTTCCATTTAAGAAGACATGTTAACCAGCCATGTCTAGAATATTTCACTCATGGTTACATTGAAACTGAAGGTGATACAACTTTATTGGCATCCTGTTGATTTTATAAACATTTCTGATAAATGTATTTCACTCTTTTCTTCCCACTTTTCTTGGTTGTTCTGACCCTCAGCAATATTTTTATTCAGAGCCCACTATGGGAAGAGCCCTCCTTTTAAGTGCCTAGGCCCACTTCACTTTCCTAAATTTAGATGTGTTCATATAGAAGTAATGGAAAGACTCCCCCAAATTATATTTTCTTTTTAATACTAATAAACTTGGTGGAACTCTACTTTTTTTTTAGCCAGATGCCAGCACATTTAAACCAAATTTTGGCCTTGCTGTTTGGTTTTATTTTTTCCCATTTTGAATCTCCTCTCTGAAAAAAAAAATTGTGTAAATGATTTTAAAACACTACAAATATCAATGATGAAACCAGCCAAAGAAAAGCATGTATACAAAGCAAATAGCACACATCTCCTCTCTCTTCCCTGACCAAAAAAAAATAAAGTAGGAAAAAAAGGAAGGATAGAATTTGAATAGAGAAGAAAAGACAGTGGTTGATGTCGAGCCATAATATAATTATGTGTGTGTTGTGTTTGCTTAGATGTTTTGCTTCAAACTTCTATGACCATTGGCTACCAGCGATATTAGAAATAGGAAATACCTTTGTCTGCCTTCAGAAATACCTGCCTATTTGGATTACACATGACTAAGAAGACCATAGTTAAAGGTGGCGCCATCATGGTTTCAGCCGTCATTGTCTTGTCAGCAGTGGCGCTTGGTTATCTGAGCCTGGCCCTGGGTCATTATCTTTGTCTCCTTATCTAGAATTCAAGCTCCTATTCATCTCATTTAGTTCTGTCTGATATCCTGAATACAGATCCAGACATCTTCATGAGGAATTACCTTCCTGCATGTTTCCACTTTTCATTCAAAACTTTTGAAGGCTAACCTTGACACGCTCTTTTGAAATATACTCTCTTCCCGGTGCCACCTATTTTTATAATGAAATATTGATGCCAGCTTGTTTATAGGCTATTTTCTTTTCATCTCTCAGTTTTCTGCTTTACAACATTACAGAACTCCCTGACACAGAATCCATTTATTTTTGAATTTTATGAACATACCTCTCTCTAACTTAATTGATATAATAGTTAAAATCTTTTTTCTTAACACCTTGTTTATAAGGCATTCTTGTCAGTCTAATAGATCTTTCTAATCTAATCTGTAACCTTGCACAGACTTCAAGGCATGGTCTGTGAAAATAAAAGAAACTGCATTTAGTGGCATATTTATGTTGAGAAGAAATTGGGAATATGATTAATGCAATAACCTCAATCAAATTGGGGTGAGTCTGGAGTATGAGGCTTAAGAGTATAAATTTTATCCTGCAGGAAAGGAGATGACAGTTTAAAACCAAAGTTCTAGGACGATTGACCTATCTGTCTAACACAGGAGAGAAAGACAGCAGAAAGATCCCTGTAAACAGATGATTTAAGTCCCAGTCTATATTCCAAAATGCAATTTTGGGAAAGTCATTTCTGTTGTTTTATTGTCCTAATTTCTAAAATAAAGAGTTTGAATCAAATTTATTTCTAAGATTCTTTTCAGTATCCAGTGATTATAGTATATTTTTTCTTTGATAAGGTCATAATATGATTAATCAAGCTCATGATTTCTACAGGATAGAAATATCTGTGTAGATAAACAATGTAGTTAAATGAAAAAGCAGAAGGAGTCTTTAAAAAGTAGAGGAAAACATAAAATCCATTGTGTTTAAATGCTTTGTTGATGGATTTACCTGATGTAATAATTTCTGCATCCAAACTCACCACCTCTAAGTTGGTTTAACTTCAGGGAAATTTTATAAGCAAAACCATTGCATTATCGTAGGAACAGTGACTACTCACAATAACTTTTTTAGGGATGAGTCACTGTAATTACAGGTCCCATGAGCATTCTGGTGAACTTGAGCTGGAAAGAGAAAGTTTTCCCACTGATTAAGAATGTCATTTTGTGATTGTTAAAACCTACATAATTTATGTATTTATTATTATTACTATTACTTTTCTATTACCATTAGCAGGTGTTTTGAAAACCAATATCTTATTCTGTGACCTTGGGCAAGCGGCTTAAGTTATTTAATCCCTCACTTACCAGAAGACATTTTAGACTAAAATATTTTTGTAGTATTATGATATTATAAATTCTAAATTGTGACAATTATTCTCACATAACATAAAAATTTAAACTTTTGAATAAATTATTTCACCTTTAATGTTGAACATTCCACCTTTACTCACCTGGGAAACAAGATTATGTGCAAATTGCTCTGTGTCTGATGTGGCTTCAACACTTGAAAAACAAAAACAAAGATGGGCAAAGGCTACCCACCTTCTAATATCAACAAGTGAAGACTATTTCTTTTTTAACCCTATTTAAAGTTATATGGTGATATGGTTTGGCTGTGTCCTCACCCAAATCTCATCTTGAACTGTGGTTCTCATAATCTCCATGTGTCGTGGGAGGGACCTGGTGGGAGGTAATTGAATCATGGGGCAGTTACCCCCACGCTGCTGTTCTTATGGTAATGAGGGAGTTCTCATGAGATCTGAGGGTTTCGTAAGGGGCCTTTCCTTGCTTTGCTTGGCACTTCTCCTTGCTGCCACCATGTGAAGAAGGACATGTTTGCTTCCCCTTCTGCCATAATTGTAAATTTCCTGAGGCCTCCCCAGCCCTGCAGAACTGTGGGTCAATTAAACCTTTTTCCTTTATAAATTACCCAGTCTCAAGTATGTCTTTATTAGCAGCATGTGAACAGACTAATATACATGGCTCCAATATCATTCCTTTAGAGGACACATTCCATTGCTAATTTGCAGAAGGATTTGATTGTAGAAGGGAGTGTATGTGGAGTTTCCTCTTACATGGGGTGGGAGTTATCTTCTGATTTGCTTAAAACATCTCTTAAATTACTTAAAAAGTATGTATTTCATAGACATAACCCTGAACAATGATGCTTATATACACTGTGCTTTGTAAATCACTGTGCGAAATTGAAGAACAGGGTAAATCTGCAAGTCTGGGCATTCAAACCATGGTGCCCTTAAAACAACTGCCATGTCCCTACAGCAAATGGGAGATGCAAAAGCAAATTTACTGTAAGGCTAATGAGATACAAGATTCACTGCCCCTCACTTGCACAGAGGTCTTTCAAAGGACTAGTTTATTCATATGATTTGTACAAGTTGTAAAAGTAATATATTTAATTTTGATTGGCAAGACCACTGCCTCTTTCTACTGTAATTTATTCTTGGTCATACTTACCCTACCACTCAAAAGTATAGGAGTGGAGAAGGTCACTTTGGAGATCTAGCTGAGAGTAAATTAAGTTGGGGATACATATAGTTTGGGTTTGGTGCTATGTAACTATCATGGTTCTCAGTTATTTCTGGGATAGAGTCAAATTTCTTCTGGCTGCTCCAAGTGCAGAAATGGCTTCCAAGAACTTTCTACCACCCACTATGCCAACTCACCAGATATCGGGCTGTGAATATACTGGGCCAGAGATTATGCTGCAATGTGAATATGAATCATGCTCCTGGTACTCTGAAAAGCTAGATAGAGGAGGGGAAACAAAACTTGAAGTTCATGGAGACCAGAGCTAATCTGTGGCAAATCTTTCCAGTCATCAGACGTGCAACATTTTAAGTGAAAGACTTGTTTCTCATTGACACCTGGTCAAAACGAAAGTTCTTTTCTGTCAAGAATTTTTAATAATGCAATGTGTGTAATATATATCACATGAAATTATCTGTAACATCTCAATATGCAAAGGACTCAATAGGAGTTTTTTTCAAAGTCAACAAAAATACTAAATTTTTCCATCACATTACTAATAGCGAAAAAGTATGTTTTCTAAGTTCCCTGTAATAAAAAGCAAATTTTGATCAATCATATGAGATGTATTAGTTTACCAGAGCCGCCATTATAACGTACCACAAAATGGGTGACTTAAAGCAACAGAAACTTATTGTGTCATGGTTCTGGAGAAGTACTAGAAGTCTGCAATCAAGGTGATGGCACAGTCACATTTCCTCCGAAGCTTCTAAGGAAGGCTCCCTCCTTGCCTCTTGGAGCATCTGATATCCCCAGATGTTCCCTGGCTGTGTCAAAGTAACACTGATCTCTGCCTCCATCTTTGTGGGATCTTCTCCTGTGGCTTTGTGACTTCACATGGGCACCAGTCATATTGAATTGGGGCTCACCCTACTCCTGTATGACCTTATCTGAACCTAACTAATTACATCTGCAACAATTCTGAGATACCATAAGTTAGGACTTTACCATATTTGGGGGCATACAGTTTAACCCATAATATTAGAGAAATGACTAAATTATCTCTTAAATCTGTCCACAGAGAAAATGTTACTAAAGTGTTGTTGTATGAAGAGGTGACCAAGAGTATGCAGTCAAAAATATCGGGGAAAAGAAAAAAGAAACGGGTGTTTCGAGTACTTCATTAAGGAAGCAATGTTTTTAAAAACTGTTATGTGATGTTTGTGTTATTTAAAGTCGTTATGTTTGAAATTTCTTCTGATTTCTTATTCTAAAAATGCACTTTTATTAATTTTTGTTAATAAATCCATATCCTATGTTCTTATAGAAGTCCCCACACTCTGAAATTGTATGAGTTTCAGGCCAAACATACTTGGATCTACACCTGGGGGTCAGGTAGTCTGCTCCTGTTTGCTTCGGATTTGCTCCATTTTATTACCCCTCCATCATTCTAATGCACGAGATGTGGGGTGCTGGGTGCTTCCATGCCTTTGTTCACAGCTCAGCCATGGCTGCTTTCCCTCTTACTAAGAATACAAAGTTGAGGTCTTTACAAAGGTTCACAAGGCTACTATTTGTCCCCTTCCCCTTCCCACCCCTTCCACTACCTCTTTATTTCTTTCCCCACACTTGCCCTCACCTTGCTTTCTCTGCCTCTACTCACTTACTGCTGAGACAGGCTGGTGTCCCTGTCTCCCGGCCTCCATTCCATTCAAAGGTGACATTTAGGCAACCCTATTACTGATCCCACAACCGCACACCCTAGCCCCTGCACAACTCTCCTTTTGCTGTAGCTCTTATTGACATAGACATACCATGCACTGTCTTGTGTACCTGGAGACGGTCTCACTGGGCTGAGCCCATCGGACTGTGAATGCCCTGAATCCAGACTCAGGTTGGCTCCCTGTTGTTTCCCTGTGCCCAGAGGAGTGGCAGGTGTATATTAGGTCTCAACAAATTATTATTGGTGACCGAATCAGAGATTTTGTTGTTACTGTTGTCAAGATTAAACCAGAAGTAGGAGCCTTATTTCATGTGGGTGTTAAATTGATTGTCAGAAAATGAGCTAAAATGAAGGGTGATATTGAGAGGTGGAAAAAACAGTTTCTCCTCCTATACACATAGGACTCTCAATGTCTCACTTGTGACCCCAGATGTTCAAGGAAGAACAAGCTGCTCTCTCTTTTGTGCTGTCACAACCCTTCAGGTCACCAACACTTATAGGAGTTCCCTCACCCCAAGGAGTTCTTCAGTTCTCTGGGGACACCAATCAGGTGTCCTAGTATTCATCTCAATTCTGACGCTAACTAGAGTTAGCACAGACACCACAGGCTGATGGCTCAGTCTCACAAGACTGCCCCCACTTCAGAAGCCAATTGCAAATACAAGGTCTCCAGGTGACCCGCAACTCCTGTCCAACTTGGCTACTAATCAGAGGTTTCTATGATCCCCTTCCTAGGTTCTATAATTTGCTAGAGTGGCTTATAGGTGCCACAAAAATAGTTTATTTACTATTGGCAATTAATTACAAAGGAGAGTTTAAAGGAGTGAGGTTTTGTAGGGTCCCCAGCACAGGAGCTTCTATCTTGGTTGAGAGGGAGTGGGCCACCCTCCTGGAACATGGTACTTGTTCACCAACTCAGAAGCTCTCCAAACTCTGCAGAGATTTTTATGGAGGTTTCATCATAGGCATGATCAATATTAGCTCAATCTCCAGCTCCTCTCCCTTTCCTGGGGGATGGGGCTTGGGGATGAAAGTTTCAAGCTTCTAATCATGGCCTGGTCTTTCTGGTAACTGCTCACACAGGAGCCCACCAAGAGTCAGCTCATTAGAACAAGGTACTCTTAGCACTCAGAAAATCCCAGGGAATTAGGAGCACTGTGTAAGGAACTGGGAACAAAGCCCAAAATACATATTTCTTCTTCTTCTTCTTCTTCTTCTTCTTCTTCTTCTTCTTCTTCTTCTTCTTCTTCTTCTTCTTCTTCTTCTTCTTCTTCCTCTTCCTCTTCCTCTTCCTCTCCTTCTCCTTCTCCTTCTCCTTCTCCTTCTTCTCCTCCTCCTTCTCCTTCTCCTCCTCCTCCTCCTCCTCCTCCTCCTCCTCCTCCTTCTCCTTCTTCTTCTTTTTTTTTTTTTTGAGACAGAGACTCTCTCTGTCACCCAGGATGGAGTACAGTGGTGCAATCTCAGCTCCCTGCAAGCTCTGCCGCCCACGTTCAAACAATTCTGGTGCCTCAGCCTCCCAAGTAGCTGGAATTACAGGCATGTGCCACCACGCCTGGCTAATTTTTGTATTTTGAGTAGAGATGGGGTTTCACTGTATTAGCCAGGCTGGTCTCGATCTCCTGGCCTCAAGTGATCCACCCGCCTCGGACTCCCAAAGTGCTGTGATTATAGGCCTGAGCCACCACGCCTGGCCCTAAAATATATACTTCCTGTTATAAACCATAATAACAGATCTATCTGATTTATCCTCATTCTTCTTGTTATAATATACCTGATGTTGGTTGTGACTGGGCTGCTCTTGTTGTAAGTTTGCTTTCTCTTTTAGTGGTTTTTGGTAATATTTATTATCAATGATGTGTGTGTGTGTGTGTGTGTGTGTGTGTGTGTGTGTGTGTGTGTTATGTCTGAAGAGAAAGTCTGAAGTAGAAGAGAACCCTGTTCTTTCCCAGGAGGCAGGAGTTAATTACCAGAATGAGTAATTGTCACTATTTGACCCCCAGACTCACAGAGATAGCGGGATTATGGCTCCTCCATGCTGCTCACACTCCGCAGGAGATCTCTTGTTCAGGATTTGTGGCTGAACTGTTTTAGCAAACACAGTTGTATGAAACAGCAGGCTCTTCTAGGTGTAGCCCCTTGTTATTGTCCTATTGGCTTGAAATCAGCATTAATTGCTTGGAAAATGAGGGCTCGATTTGAGAGACACCTGCAGTGTTTGTAATGCTCATTTTGGTACTAGTTCAAGCTGCTTTTATCCATGGTATCCAGAGAATAGTTAGGCTTCTGTGCACGGCCAGGTTTCCCCATCATTCATACTGTCAGGAAAGAGACATGGTATCTATTTTTGCGAGCACTTTTCACCCTGGTGGAAAGTCATCTATCTTCTAAGCACTGCAACACAAAGCTGAAATGAAAATTTTTGTATGATGAACACCTAGTCTCTTGTGATTATCTCAATTTTGCTTTTCTGTTAAGATAGCTTTGTATCAGAAGCATAGATCTTTCATGTCTATGGAATAAAATAGGTTTTGCTTTTAGTCTTTTACTGAGGTCGGATTACTTAATTTTCACTTCTGTGCGAACACAAGAGTGAATTTATATTGGGTTGTAGGTAGTCTGTCTGCTTATTAATATTTGCAATCCCTTTGACTCCAATTCCAAATTTTAATTACCATTTTCTAGTGTATCATCTTTGAGTTAGCTAGACTGAGATCGGAGCATAAAAGATTGGAAGTGCACTATAATTGATTGTGCTTTTAAAAAGAGAGTCTGCTCCTGCTGTGGGTGGGTACAGGCCAGATGTCGGGAGCACACAGTTATGGAAGAGAATGTAAGGAAAGTGCTGCATAAATAAAGTGTTTAAAAGTGTTTTTTCCTTTTTAAAGATCATCAGTTTTATTGCAGAATTTTCTTTATGTTTTGTATATATATTTTTTCTATTTTATGGATACATAATATTTTACATATTTATGGGGTACATGTGAGTGTTTGTTACATGCATAGTAAAAAGTCTATGCATAGACTGTGACACAGTGCAGTCACAGTGGTGTCCTGTTGCTATCACCACTGTGACTGCCTGTGTCAGACCTGAAGGCAGCACGGCACTGGGTCTTGTCCAAGGCCTGCTGTAACCCCTACCTGGCTACAACTTATGTTCTCTTATGGCCCTAGGGCTCTGCAGTCAGCAGGTGGTGAAGCCAGTCAGGTTTGTCTTCTTTCTTTCAGGGCAACTGGTTATCCCAGACCCTGAGTGAGTTCAGAGACACTGTCTGTGAGCCAGAAATTAGAGTCCGGAAACCTTAGAAATTTGCCTGATATTCAATTCTACTGCAGCTAAGCTGGCACCCAAAAGCATGCTATAATGTTCTCACTCTTCCTTTCCCTTTTTATAGGCAGAGGAGCCTCTCCCTGTGGGTACCACCGCCACTGGCCCATGTGGCATTCTGCCTGGCCACTGGAATGATCATGTAAAGCCCAACAGTAAGCTAGTGGTAAATACTGCCCAGGCTGGGACTCACTCTTTAGGGCAGGGGACTCCCCTCTGCCCCAGAGCAAGAACAGAAATGCTGTGCCAGAGCCTAGGCCTGGACTTAGGGACCCCAGGAGCCGGATTGTTGCTCTTCCCCACTCTGGCTGAGCTGGTACCTCAGCTTCTCTGTGTTATCTTGAATTGCTTCCATTCAAGAGGTTGTTGCTTCACTCTGTTGATTGCTTCTTTTT
Source organism: Homo sapiens (assembly GCF_000001405.40). Classification (NCBI taxonomy): domain Eukaryota; kingdom Metazoa; phylum Chordata; class Mammalia; order Primates; family Hominidae; genus Homo; species Homo sapiens. The sequence continues at coordinate 228,762,157 of NC_000002.12, read as the reverse complement.
CTGTGTAGAAGCTTTTTCATCTATTTTTGTTTTGGTGGCCTTTGCTCTTGAGTCTTAGCCATAAAATATTTGCATAGATTAATGTCCTGAAAAGTTTTCTCTACTTTTTTTTTCCTAGTAATTTTATAGTTTTGGGTCTTATGTTTAAGTATGTAACCCATTTTGAATTGACTTTGTATGTGGTGAGAGATCTCTATCTCAGGGATATCTGAGGGGTACAACTTCATTCTTCTGTGTATGGTTATCCAGTTTTTCCCACACCATTTATTGAAGAGGGTGTCCCTTCCTCAATATACGTTTTTGGAAGCTTTGTTGAAGATCAGTTGTCTGAAAATATGTGAATTTATTTCTGGGTTCTAGGTTCTGTTCCATTGGCCTATGTGTCTTTATTTTTTAATACCAATATCATCCTATTTTGGTTATTATAGCCTTGTAATGTATTTTTTTTATTATACTTTAAGTTTTAGGGTACATGTGCACATTGTGCAGGTTAGTTACATATGTATACATGTGCCATGCTGGTGCGCTGCACCCACTAACTCGTCATCCAGCATTAGGTATATCTCCCAATGCTATCCCTCCCCCCTCCCCCCACCCCACCACAGTCCCCAGAGTGTGATATTCCCCTTCCTGTGTCCATGTGATCTCATTGTTCAGTTCCCACCTATGAGTGAGAATATGCGGTGTTTGGTTTTTTGTTCTTGCGATAGTTTACTGAGAATGATGATTTCCAATTTCATCCATGTCCCTACAAAGGACATGAACTCATCATGTTTTATGGCTGCATAGTATTCCATGGTGTATATGTGCCACATTTTCTTAATCCAGTCTATCATTGTTGGACATTTGGGTTGGTTCCAAGTCTGCTATTGTGAATAGAGCCGCAATAAACATACGTGTGCATGTGTCTTTATAGCAGCATGATTTATAGTCCTTTGGGTATATACCCAGTAATGGGATGGCTGGGTCAAATGGTATTTCCAGTTCTAGATCCCTGAGGAATCGCCACATTGACTTCCACAATGGTTGAACTAGTTTACAGTCCCACCAACAGTGTCAAAGTGTTCCTATTTCTCCACATCCTCTCCAGCACCTGTTGTTTCCTGACTTTTTAATGACTGCCATTCTAACTGGTGTGAGATGGTATCTCATTGTGGTTTTGATTTGCATTTCTCTGATGGCCAGTGATGAGGAGCATTTTTTCATGTGTTTTTTGGCTGCATAAATGTCTTCTTTTGAGAAGTGTCTGTTCATGTCCTTTGCCCACTTTTTGATGGGGTTGTTTGTTTTTTTCTTGTAAATTTGTTTGAATTCATTGTAGATTCTGGATATTAGCCTTTTGTCAGATGAGTAGGTTGCGAAAATTTTCTCCCATTTTGTAGGTTGCCTGTTCACTCTGATGGTAGTTTCTTTTGCTGTGCAGAAGCTCTTTAGTTTAATTAGATCTCATTTGTCAATTTTGTCTTTTGTTTCCATTGCTTTTGGTGTTTTGGACATGAAGCCCTTGCCCATGCCTATGTCCTGAATGGTAATGCCTAGGTTTTCTTCTAGGGTTTTTATGGTTTTAGGTCTAACATTTAAGTCTTTAATCCATCTTGAATTGATTTTTGTATAAGGTGTAAGGAAGGAATCCAGTTTCAGCTTTCTACATATGGCTAGCCAGTTTTCCCAGCACCATTTATTAAATAGGGAATCCTTTCCCCATTGCTTGTTTTTCTCAGGTTTGTCAAAGATCAGATAGTTGTAGATATGCGGCGTTATTTCTGAGGGCTCTGTTCTGTTCCATTGATCTATATCTCTGTTTTGGTACCAGTACCATGCTGTTTTGGTTACTGTAGCCTTGTAGTATAGTTTGAAGTCAGGTAGTGTGATGCCTCCAGCTTTGTTCTTTTGGCTTAGGATTGCCTTGGCGATGCGGGCTCTTTTTTGGTTCCATATGAACTTTAAAGTAGTTTTTTCCAATTCTGTGAAGAAAGTCATTGGTAGCTTGATGGGGATGGCATTGAATCTGTAAATTACCTTGGGCAGTATGGTCATTTTCACGATATTGATTCTTCCTACCCATGAGCATGGAATGTTCTTCCATTTGTTTGTATCCTCTTTTATTTCCTTGAGCAGTGGTTTGTAGTTCTCCTTGAAGAGGTCCTTCACATCCCTTGTAAGTTGGATTCCTAGGTATTTTATTCTCTTTGAAGCAATTGTGAATGGGAGATCACTCATGATTTGGCTCTCTGTTTGTCTGTTGTTGGTGTATAAGAATGCTTGTGATTTTTGTAATTGATTTTGTATCCTGAAACTTTGCTGAAGTTGCTTGTCAGCTTAAGGAGATTTTGGCCTGAGACAATGGGGTTTTCTAGATATACAATCATGTCATCTGCAAACAGGGACAATTTGACTTCCTCTTTTCCTAATTGAATACCCTTTATTTCCTTCTCCTGCCTAATTGCCCTGGCCAGAACTTGCAACACTATGTTGAATAGGAGTGGTGAGAGAGGGCATCCCTGTCTTGTGCCAGTTTTCAAAGGGAATGCTTCCAGTTTTTGCCCATTCAGTATGATATTGGCTGTGGGTTTGTCATAGATAGCTCTTATTATTTTGACATACGTCCCATCAATACCTAATTTATTGAGAGTTTTTAGCATGAAGAGTTGTTGAATTTTGTCAAAGGCTTTTTCTGCATCTATTGAGATAATCATGTGGTTTTTGTCTTTGGCTCTGTTTATATGCTGGATTACATTTATTGATTTGCGTATATTGAACCAGCCTTGCATCCCAGGGATGAAGCCCACTTGATCATGGTGGATAAGCTTTTTGATGTGCTGCTGGATTCGTTTTGCCAGTATTTTATGGAGGATTTTTGCATCAATGTTCATCAAGGATATTGGTCTAAAATTCTCTTTTTTGGTTGTGTCTCTGCCTGGCTTTGGTATCAGAATGATGCTGGCCTCATAAAATGAGTTAGGGAGGATTCCCTCTTTTTCTATTGATTGGAATAGTTTCAGAAGGAATGGTACCAGTTCCTCCTTGTACCTCTGGTAGAATTCGGCTGTGAATCCATCTGGTCCTGGACTCTTTTTGGTTGGTAAGCTATTGATTATTGCCACAATTTCAGCTCCTGTTATTGGCCTATTCAGAGATTCAACTTCTTCCTGGTTTAGTCTTGGGAGGGTGTATGTGTCGAGGAATGTATCCATTTCTTCTAGATTTTCTAGTTTATTTGCGTAGAGGTGTTTGTAGTATTCTCTGATGGTAGTTTGTATTTCTGTGGGATTGGTGGTGATATCCCCTTTATCATTTTTTATTGTGTCTATTTGATTCTTCTCTCTTTTTTTCTTTATTAGTCTTGCTAGCGGTCTATCAATTTTGTTGATCCTTTCAAAAAACCAGCTCCTGGATTCATTAATTTTTTGAAGGGTTTTTTTGTCTCTATTTCCTTCAGTTCTGCTCTGATTTTAGTTATTTCTTGCCTTCTGCTAGCTTTTGAATGTGTTTGCTCTTGCTTTTCTAGTTCTTTTAATTGTGATGTTAGGGTGTCAATTTTGGATCTTTCCTGCTTTCTCTTGTAGGCATTTAGTGCTATAAATTTCCCTCTACACACTGCTTTGAATGTGTCCCAGAGATTCTGGTATGTTGTGTCTTTGTTCTCGTTGGTTTCAAAGAACATCTTTATTTCTGCCTTCATTTCGTTATGTACCCAGTAGTCATTCAGGAGCAGGTTGTTCAGTTTCCATGTAGTTGAGCGGCTTTGAGTGAGATTCTTAATCCTGACTTCTAGTTTGATTGCACTGTGGTCTGAGAGATAGTTTGTTATAATTTCTGTTCTTTTACATTTGCTGAGGAGAGCTTTACTTCCAACTATGTGGTCAATTTTGGAATAGGTGTGGTGTGGTGCTGAAAAAAATGTATATTCTGTTGATTTGGGGTGGAGAGTTCTGTAGATGTCTATTAGGTCTGCTTGGTGCAGAGCTGAGTTCAATTCCTGGGTATCCTTGTTGACTTTCTGTCTCGTTGATCTGTCTAATGTTGACAGTGGGGTGTTAAAGTCTCCCATTATTAATGTGTGGGAGTCTAAGTCTCTTTGTAGGTCACTGAGGACTTGCTTTATGAATCTGGGTGCTCCTGTATTGGGTGCATAAATATTTAGGATAGTTAGCTCCTCTTGTTGAATTGATCCCTTTACCATTATGTAATGGCCTTCTTTGTCTCTTTTGATCTTTGTTGGTTTAAAGTCTGTTTTATCAGAGACTAGGATTGCAACCCCTGCCTTTTTTTGTTTTCCATTGGCTTGGTAGATCTTCCTCCATCCTTTTATTTTGAGCCTATGTGTGTCTCTGCACGTGAGATGGGTTTCCTGAATACAGCACACTGATGGGTCTTGACTCTTTATCCAACTTGCCAGTCTGTGTCTTTTAATTGCAGAATTTAGTCCATTTATATTTAAAGTTAATATTGTTATGTGTGAATTTGATCCTGTCATTATGATGTTAGCTGGTGATTTTGCTCATTAGTTGATGCAGTTTCTTCCTAGTCTCGATGGTCTTTACATTTTGGCATGATTTTGCAGCGGCTGGTACCGGTTGTTCCTTTCCATGTTTAGCGCTTCCTTCAGGAGCTCTTTTAGGGCAGGCCTGGTGGTGACAAAATCTCTCAGCATTTGCTTGTCTATAAAGTGTTTTATTTCTCCTTCACTTATGAAGCTTAGTTTGGCTGGATATGAAATTCTGGGTTGAAAATTCTTTTCTTTAAGAATGTTGAATATTGGCCCCCACTCTCTTCTGGCTTGTAGGGTTTCTGCCGAGAGATCCACTGTTAGTCTGATGGGCTTTCCTTTGAGGGTAACCCGACGTTTCTCTCTGGCTGCCCTTAACATTTTTTCCTTCATTTCAACTTTGGTGAATCTGACAATTATGTGTCTTGGAGTTGCTCTTCTCGAGGAGTATCTTTGTGGCGTTCTCTGTATTTCCTGAATCTGAACATTGGCCTGCCTTGCTAGATTGGGGAAGTTCTCCTGGATAATATCCTGCAGAGTGTTTTCCAACTTGGTTCCATTCTCCACATCACTTTCAGGTACACCAATCAGACATAGATTTGGTCTTTTCACATAGTCCCATATTTCTTGGAGGCTTTGCTCATTTCTTTTTATTCTTTTTTCTCTAAACTTCCCTTCTCGCTTCATTTCATTCATTTCATCTTCCATTGCTGATACCCTTTCTTCCAGTTGATCGCATCGGCTCCTGAGGCTTCTGCATTCTTCACGTAGTTCTCGAGCCTTGGTTTTCAGCTCCATCAGCTCCTTTAAGCACTTCTCTGTATTGGTTATTCTAGTTATACATTCTTCTTAATTTTTTTCAAAGTTTTCAACTTCTTTGCCTTTGGTTTGAATGTCCTCCCGTAGCTCAGAGTAATTTGATCGTCTGAAGCTTTCTTCTCTCAGCTCGTCAAAATCATTCTCCATCCAGCTTTGTTCTGTTGCTGGTGAGGAACTGCGTTCCTTTGGAGGAGGAGAGGCGCTATGCGTTTTAGAGTTTCCAGTTTTTCTGTTCTGTTTTTTCCCCATCTTTGTGGTTTTATCTACTTTTGGTCTTTGATGATGGTGATGTACAGATGGGTTTTCGGTGTAGATGTCCTTTCTGGTTGTTAGTTTTCCTTCTAACAGAGAGGACCCTCAGCTGCAGGTCTGTTGGAATACCCTGCCGTGTGAGGTGTCAGTGTGCCCCTGCTGGGGGGTGCCTCCCAGTTAGGCTGCTCGGGGGTCAGGGGTCAGGGACCCACTTGAGGAGACAGTCTGCCCGTTCTCAGATCTCCAGCTGCGTGCTGGGAGAACCACTGCTCTCTTCAAAGCTGTCAGACAGGGACACTTAAGTCTGCAGAGGTTACTGCTGTCTTTTTGTTTGTCTGTGCCCTGCCCCCAGAGGTGGAGCCTACAGAGGCAGGCAGGCCTCCTTGAGCTGTGGTGGGCTCCATCCAGTTCGAGCTTCCTGGCTGCTTTGTTTACCTAAGCAAGCCTGGGCAATGGCGGGCGCCCCTCCCCCAGCCTCGCTGCCACCTTGCAGTTTGATCTCAGACTGCTGTGCTAGCAATCAGCGAGACTCCGTGGGCGTAGGACCCTCCGAGCCAGGTGTGGGATATAATCTGGTGGTGCGCCGTTTCTTAAGCCCATCGGAAAAGCGCAATATTCGGGTGGGAGTGACCCAATTTTCCAGGTGCGGTCCGTCACCCCTTTCTTTGACTCGGAAAGGGAACTCCCTGACCCCTTGCACTTCCCGAGTGAGGCAATGCCTCGCCCTGCTTCGGCTCGCGCACGGTGCGCCCACCCACTGACCTGCGCCCACTGTCTGGTACTCCCTAGTGAGATGAACCCCGTACCTCAGATGGAAATGCAGAGATCACCCGTCTTCTGCGTCGCTCACGCTGGGAGCTGCAGACCGGAGCTGTTCCTATTCGGCCATCTTGGCTCCTCCCCCCAATTAGATTGTTTATTTTACATCTTTCTATTTTTCAGTGTAGGTATTTATTGCTAAAAAGTTCTCTCTTAACACTACTATTGCTGAATCCCGCAAGTTTTAGTATATTGTGTTTCCAGTTTAATTTGTTTCAATAAATTCTCGATATCCATGTTTGATTTTTGTTTTTGTTTGTGTTTTTTGAGGTGGAGTCTTGCTCTGTCATTCAGGATGGAGTACAGTGGTGCAATCTCAGCCCATTGAAACCTCCACCTCCGGAGTTCAAGTGATTCTCTTGCCTCAGCCTTCTGAGTAGCTGGGATTATAGGCACGTGCCACCATGCGCAGCTAATTTTTGTGTTTTTAGTAGAGACAGGGTTTCACCATGTTGGCCAGGGTGGTCTCGAACTCCTGACCTCAGGTGATCCACCTGCCTCTGCCTCCCAAAGTGCTGGGATTACAAGCACGAGCCACCGCACTCAGCCTCAATATCTATCTTAATTCCTTCACTGACTCAATGGTTATTCAGAATCATATTGTTTAATTTCCATGTATTTGTATAGTTTCCAAAGTTTCTGTTGGTATTGATTTCTAGTTTTATTCCATTGCAGCCTGAGAAGACACTTGCCATGATTTCAATTTTTAAAAGACTTTTTCTTTGGGAGGCCGAGGCGGGCAGATCACGAGGTCAGGAGATTGAGATCATCCTGGCTAACATGGTGAAACCCTGTCTCTACTGAAAAAAAAGAATACGAAAAATTAGCAGGGCATGGTGGCGGGTGCCTGTAGTCCCAGCTACTCAGGAGGCTGAGGCAGGAGAATGGCGTGAACCCGGGAGGCGGAGCTTGCAGTGAGCGGAGAGCGTGCCACTGCACTCCAGCCTAGGCGACAGAGTGAGACTCCCTCTCAAAAAAAAAAAAAAAAAAAACAAAACTTTTTAAAGTCTTTGTGGCCTAATGTGCTCAATCATGGACAATGTCCCATGTGCTTACAAGAAGAATGTGTATTCTGTAGTTGTTGAATAAAATACTATTTAAATGTCTATTAGGTCCATTTGGTCTAAAGGCCAGTTTAATTCCACTGTTTCTTTGTTGATTTTCCATTTTGATGATTTGGCTAATGCTAAGAGTGCGGTGTAGAAGACATTCAATATTACTGTGTTGGAGTCTCTTTATTAGATTTAGTAATATTTGCTTTATGAATCTGGGTGCTCTAGTATTGGGTGCATATACATTTAGAATTATATGCTCTTGCTGAATTGACCCTTTATTATTATATAATGACTTTCTTTGTCTTCTTATTTTTTCACTGTTTCTTACTTAAAGTTTGTTTTATCTAATATGATTATAGCTACTCCTGCTCACTTTTGATTTCCATTTGCATGGAAGATTATTTTGGAGCTTTAAGATTTAATGACAATACCGCTGGATTTTGGACTTGCATGGGGCCTTTAGCCCCTTTCTTTTGGCTAATTTCTTCCATTTGGAATGGGAGCTGCCCACTGCCTGTACTCCCACTGTATCTAGGAAGTAACTAACTTGCTTTTGATTTTAAAGGCTCTTAGGCCAAAGCGACTTGGACTGGGATGAGACTTTGATCTGTGGACTTTTGAGTTAATGCTGAAATGAGTTAAGACTTTGGGAGACTGTTTGGAAGGTATGATTGGTTTTGAAATTTGAAAAGACATGAGATTTGGGAGAGGCCAAGGCCAGAATGATATGGTTTGACTCTGTGTCCCCACCCAAATCTCATCTCTAATTGTAATCCCCATGTGTCCAGGGAGGGAAGTGGTTGTATCATGGGGGCAATTTCCCCCATGCTGTTCTCATGATAGTGAGTTCTCACAAGATCTGATGGTTTTATCAGTGGCTGAGAGTTTCTCCTTCACACTCTCTTCTCTCTTACCTGCCGCCATGTATGATGTGCTTGCTTTCGCTTCACCTTCCTTCACGATTACAAATTCCCTGAGCTTGTGGAATTGTGAGTCAATTAAACCTCTTTCCTTATAAATTTCCAGTCTCAGGGAAGTTCTTTATAGCAGTGTGAAAACGGACTAATACATCTTGTAATGGTTCTCTGCACCAGTAGATTCATGCCACTAATCCTTTGGATGCATACAACAAAGGCCAAGGAATGTTTATTCCTTTCAACTCCAGGGCATGAGGTTTCACTTGTGCTTGTCTGAGAGGAACCTTGTTGTGTTTCTGCCACCAGGAATCATGTAGGAACAATTCCAGTCACTTAAAACTGAGCGCTTTTCCTTTCCTCTGCTCCTTCTTTGCCAAAAGTACCTGATTTGTCTGGGTGACTTTGAGGGTTGGATAAGCCTCCCTCTTTTTCAGGAGATTTTCTGGAATGAAAGGGATTTTTCTTTATTCTTGATCTGCCATCTTTCTAGTGTTGCAGCTACTGATTTTAAATTAATTTTATTTTATTTTATTTGGAGACAGAGTTTTGCTCTTGTTGCCCAGGCTGGAGTGCAATGGCACAATCTCAGCTCACTGTAACTTCTGCCTCCCGGCTTCAAGCAATTCTCCTGTCTCAGCCTCCTGAGTAGCTGAGATTACACATGCCTGCCATCATGTCCGGCTAATTTTTGTATTTTTAGTAGAGATAGGGTTTCACTATGTTGGTCAGTCTGGTCTCAAACTCTTGATCTCAGGTGATCCACCCACTTCAGCCTCCCAAAGTGCTGGGATTACAGGTGTGAGCCACCATGCCCAGCCTGGTCTTAAGTTTATTACACTTCAGTTTTCATGGTTTCTCATAAGTTGCCAATTAACTTTTCCCAGGTTTTGTGTCTATTATTTGGGTGATTTCCTCAACGGCATAATTGGATAATGTTGACATTTATAAGTCTTTGATCAAGAAGCAATAGCCGTATTTACGTCAGGCATACTATTTTCTGTAAAAGTACAACTGTAAAACTTTAAAAATTACCTTGATAGTAAATGTTTGTTTTGGAAAATCAAAAAATACAGACGAGTAGAAAAAAACTCACCCATAATTCCATCCCATAAAGGTAATCATTTTTAATAATTTGCTTTGTACCTTTTAGTTTGTATACATGTTCATATTATTTTTCAATCAATGCAACAGAATAGATTTACTATTTACTATAAAATGCTTTAAAATGGCCCTCAAGTTAGAGTGTGATTTAAAGAAATACCTAGGCACAAATTGCTATCGCATCACTAAACACTAAAGCCATCTATTATCAATCAAGACTTCATTAAGCCTTTCTACTTTAAACATTTTAAATGTCAGAGTTCTTGAATGCAAATACTTAAGCATAAAGGTATTATATTGGAAAACTATTAGAAACCAGAACCAGATTTGAAAAATGATCAAGAACCGAAGGAAGTTTGTGGGCAGGTTGCTGCAAAGTCATGCCATAGGAACACACTGGTATGGATGCCCAGCCACTGACACTGCATACAAGATACCATCAGGTGACCATCACACCTGCTGCCACAACATAAGGTCTCCATCATCACTGTTTCTGCTGTCAGTGAACATCAGATGCCACCAGACTGGCTCAAGAAAAGGTCCCATCACATTCAAAGTGGATACTTCAGAATATTCCAGAATTACTTCAGGATGTGAAGAATCTACTAGAATGATCTCAATATATCTTGATATAATAATCTCAATAATCTCAAGTAATCTCAAATATTCTCAATAATCTCAAATAATCTCAAATAATCTCAATATATCTTTAGAACTAGGCAGAAAGTTATTAAATTATAAAATCCAAAGAAATGCAACACCATTTAACAAAGTTAGCTATGGTCTTAGTGGAGTTTTCAGATTTTCACTAGTAGATGGAAGAATTAGGTAATTCTAAGTTTTAAATTTGGGGACATGGATAATGTGGGCTAGGAGAGCTCACATAATTAAATATTTATGTTTTCTTCGTTAGATTGTAAGAGTTACCATAGTATTTGAGACTTTTCAGTTACTCCGAAAATAGTAGTTTAAATAGAAAATCAAGAATACTAAATTTATCAATTCAATTAAAATTATTTCAAGGAACATGATGGATCATGTAGATAAGACCAAATAGTTACCAAAGCCTCCCCTAAACATGATTGTCTTAAAGATTTGGACATAGTAACTCCAAAAAAGACCTTAGCAACGTTTGGAAGAAAAAATATCCTGTGCATTTAAAGCCCCAGGCCTCAAACTCAGCTGAAATCTCTAGTTAGTAAATAAGCCCAGTTAGCAGCATTAGTGCTCCTTTAGTGCACAAGTATCTTTTAACCCTGGAAAGATTTAATGTGTTATGAAAACATTTGAAGAAGTCAAAATTATAATATTACCATTTTTGTGTTAAGGAGGATTCTGTGTGATTTAGCATGCTAAGTATTTTAAACATCATAGATAATTTGCTAGAATAGAATAAGTTAACATTGTTCAATTGGGTAATTTATTTGGTTGAAATTTTAAGTGGAAATTTACTATTGATATTGGATGTTAATTTAAGATTCATCATCTTAAGAAAAAGAATGGTTCCAAACTTGATCTGAGGCAGAACTTTGTGGTATAATGTGATTGTGAGCCTCTTCTAGGAGATCATTATTAACATACATAATAAAATGCTTGAACAATTTTCTTAGACATTAATTAGCTTAAGAGCATCTCCTAATACCCTAGCTGACATTATGCCCTGTGAAATGCCTCAGGACCTTCAATCAGTCCTGCAATGTCATCCCAACAAGAATTTTAGAAATACAGTGTAAAATGTTTATTTAATCACTTTTCTCCCATAAAATGCCTCTATCAAGGCAAACTCTTTGAATTACTTAAAAAGCCTATTCCCTTTCAGCAAAACTTTGACCTGGGCTCTAAATCAATTCATCTGAGAAGTTATTTTAATAATGTTTATGTTTAATTCATTAGATGGTAAAAGTGACCATAGTATTTCAGACTTTTCAGTTACTCAGAAAATAGTATTTAAATAGAAAATCAAGAACACTAAATGTATCAATTTAATTTAAATTGTTTCAAGGAACATGGTGAATTGTGTAGATCAGACCAAATAGTTACCACAGCTCCCCTAGAGATTATTGCCAAAACTTTAATTTATAAATAATAAAACTTAAAATTTAAATCTGAAGTTTAAAGATGAATAGGTTTTTGGAGTTGGAGTTTTAATAATTAAATATTCTTTTCTAAAAGGTTGTCTTCTGAATAACTTTTCTGCGCACAAAAGCCTTCTTCAAGGGAATCGAAAATGCTCACATTGATCCCACCAAAATTTGCATAATGAGAGATTCCACAAATATAGGGAGGGAACTTAGATACTGAGAGGGCAAAAACAATAACCAATGACTATAATGAGAGTTTTTTTTTTTTCTTCAAGAATGCCACTGTGGCTTTTTTAAAATGCTACAGAAAGCTTATTCATTTCTTCAATATTTTTCAACCATTACCCAGAATAGAATTATGAAGCAAATCCTTCCTTAAAATTTGTTCTTAAATCTCTCTGCTATAACCTAGGTCCTCCAAGGAGAAATTAATGTAATCAGCTTTGTGTCTCTGCCCTGTAGTTTTTATTTTTGTTTTTGTTTTTTAGAGATGGATTCTTTCTAGTCACCCAGGCTAGAGTGCAGTAGTGCGATCACAGCTCACTGTAGCCTCAAACCCCTGGGCTTAAACGCTTCTCCCACCTCAGCCTTCAGAATCAGAAAGTACAGGCTTGCACCACCATGCCCAGCTAATTTTTAATTTTTTGTAGAGACCCGGTCTTGCCATGTTGCCCAAGCCAGTTTCAAACTCCTAGCCTCAAGTGATCCTCTCTCCTCAGCTCCCGAATTTTTCTGTTTAATTTTTTTTTAATGTTTGCTCTTTTCCTCCTGTATGGAAGTACAAATAAAAGTTTTAAAAACGAAGGCACGTGCCGTACTTGTGTCTTCAGTTTAAGTGTCTCAGAGTGTTAAACTGCAATTCCCGCAAATATAAGGAACACATTTTTGTTTATTTTTTCTTCTCATCATGATCCCAGAAATTATGACATTAAAGCCACTCAATAAATACTTGCTGAATAATTGAATTACACTAAGAATAGCTTATTAAAAGTTTCACTTAGTAGCTTCATTCCTCTGATTTGCACTACTCTTATTTATTTATTTTTTTTTTTGAGACGGAGTCTTGCTGTGTCGCCCAAGCCGGACTGCAGTGGCACGATCTCGGCTCACTGCAAGCTCCCACCCCCGGGCTCACACCATTCTCCTGCCTCAGTCTCCCAAGTAGCTGGGACTACAGGTGCCCGCCATCACTCCCGGCTAATTTTTTGTATTTTTAGTAGAGACGGGGTTTCACCGTGTTAGCCGGGATGGTCTCGATCTCCTGACCTCGTGATCCACCCGCCTCCGCTTCCCAAAATGCTGGGATTACAGGCGTGAGCCACCGCGCCCGGCCGCACTAATCTATTTTTCACTCTCACCTGGTTTAGTACCTTATTTCTGTCTGTGGTTCACCTTAGAGACAGGCAATACCTAAATTCACCACTGGGCTGTAGACTGACCTGTAGAATTGGATTATTTATTAGAGTCCAAGGGACAAAACTGACCTCAGCTTGGCATCAGGACAAAACTGGAGAGGTTTCAAGCGAGATTCAGCACCTGAGTCAATGGCCAGGTTTGGTATTTAGAAGGATTCAGATGAGGAATGGGCAGAGGTTGGGACAGAGTTCTGGGCTGGAAGCAAGAATCTGCAGATTCAAGATTTCAGGGAGCAATGGTTTGGGGTTCCCTCAGGCCAGAAGAATTCACAGAGGATGGTTATAAAGATGGGATTGGATGAGATCAGCATCTGGGGCAAATAAATTGCACGTTCACACAAATGCATCATTGGTGCATAATAGTTGATGCTAGGCGTGAACTGTGTACTTTCCACTCTGGTGTTAAATAAGATTTCTGCCTGTTAAGGGCATTTTCTAGAGAGCAGGTGTAAATAAGCTCAAGGAAGAAGGCAGCCCTCTGTGTTTCAGCTCACTCCCAGGATCCCACAGTGCTTCTTGCTGGAGAACAAGAAGAAAGATGATAAGATGGAGCATACCTTGATGCCTATTGTAATGCGCTTTGAAACACACTACAGGGTGTGGCACAGGGAAGGATATCAAACGAATACACCCCAGTGGTTAAAAAAGACCAAGTAAATAAAATGAAAACTACCAACTTTCAGTCTTTTAAATGAATTACTCTCTTGACTTTTTATTACTTAGTTAACATGGAATCAAAGCTATATTCACAACTCTTACATTATTAATTTTCTGGAAAGAAATGAAAGTGAGTTACTGACTCTAATTGTGTTTGGCACACACATTGACATATGAGGCTGGCTACATAACTTGTAGGGTATAGAGCAAAGTAAAAATATGGGAGCCCTTTGTTCCAACACCTAATGTCAAAGGAGTCATGAATGCACTACCATAGAAAGCTTTTTCCTTTCTTCCATGGTTTCTCTCTTGACTTGTCCTGATGTTTTCATTTGCTATTTAATATCATTCAAAGTAAAACAAAAATTAAATTAAAGTATGAATTTTTAAGTTTATAATGTGCAAAGCCATTTTTAAATGCATATTTAACTCATATGTGGAATCATCAAAGTTACATAATCTGCATTTTCAGCTTGTACATGCATGCATATTTTATTCTTACCAGAACGGTGGAAATGCTGCTCAGAACTAACTCAACTATTTTTATATTATTTCTTGGTATGCTTACATCCTACCAATAGTCTCTACCTTTGGTTTACGATGAACAAATGACAGAAAAAAAAAAAAACTGCGGGGTGCCTTACCTTTCACTTTTCTTCTATTTCATTATTTTCAATATACGCAGTTAGGAAATAACATGGATATGATGGGATTCCTTGCTCCTCTGTGTATCTTAGAATGCTACCGCCTTCTTTATGGAAACAAAAGAAGTTTATGTTTGGACTTGAACAGAAAGTGTGGCTTTAGAACGATCAGTGCTTCTGTGTCCTCAGTCCTAGACGGAGCCACTTGCTTTGTACTCTGAGTCACACTGAACTCCCACACACTTGAGTTCACTGGAAGGAACTCTGTGCTCAGGGGGTGTCACAAATGCTATATGTCAACGGGGTATCAAGGTTTCACGGGCATGCACATTGAGTGTGTCTCTTCTGACCACCTGTGTGCTCTATTACCCACCAGACTTAGCTTATAAAACACAGGTTCAAAGAGAAAATTATTAAGAATTTCAAGATCATAACAACAGTGTATTAAACAAAGCACAGAGTCCTTCTGTGCAACTGCACGGCTTGCACAACCGTGAAGCCAACTGTGACATGAGATTTGGAAGATAAGTGAGAATTTTACATGAAAGAAGCAGTAGCAGTAAAGGGTTAGGACTTAGGAAGATAGTTTTTTAATATTTTGCAAACCTCAGAAGGTTTGCAAAATATAACACTTTTATGCATGGAGAAATGTACTGTCATCTTCAATAAGTAGAGGTGAGAAGGAAAAATAGCTTTCTTCAGTAAACACTAGCATCTCTCTCTTTACTTATCATCTTAGAGGAAAATTAATAGTGATTCTTCATGGTGTTATTGAATTTTTAGATGAGAGTTCCAAAAAAAAACTTTGACTTCAGAATAGCACAGATGTAGATACTTTGAAATATCTGAATTTAAAATATGTAATTGAAGCAGAATAAAAGTAGACTGCAGTGTAAACACTTACATTTAAAAAGTAAATTTTTTCAGTGGCTCACGCTTGTAATCCCAGCACTTTCGAAGGCCGAGGCAGGTGGATCACCTGAGGTCAGGAGTTCAAAACCAGCCTGGCCAACATGGCAAAACCCCATCTCTACTAAAAATAAAAAAATTAGCTGGGCATGGTGGTGGGCGTCTATAATCCCAGCTACTCGGGAGGCTGAGGCAGAAGAATTGCTTAAACCTGGGAGGTGGAGGTTGCAGTAAGCCGAGATCGTGCCACTGCACTCCAGCCTGGGTGACAGAAGTGAGACTCCATCTCAAAAAACAAAAGAAAAAAAAGTGAATTTTTAAAATTTTATGGCAGAGAGAACTCGCTTTTTCTTTGAAATAATGTGATAAATAATTGGCTCCATAGGTTAGTCTAAAATAACAATACCTGGTTTTGTGCTTAGAGTATAATGTAGAAAGTGCCATTTAGTAACCAGAACCTGACATGTTATTTTTTTAAATGAGAAATGCATTTTCAGATTTTAGGAACACATTTCTGTCCAAAGGAGGGAAAATGGCCTTACCTAAGTTCTATGATAGTGGAAGTGGCAGGTAGGAGCTTCTGATTCTAAAATGTGTGTTGGCAACTGTGGGAGGCATAAACCCAGGGAGATGGTGGAAAACCTGGGTGGTACCGGTACTGTTAAGTTTCTACCTTTATAGAAGCGAGGTGTCTGTGGGAGAAAGACGCTGCTTGTCTGTAAATACTTAGGAGAAGATAGCTTTAGAACTGCTTTGCAGAATGCTGAATGGACATTTCTTTAATGTATATCCAAAGATGAGTTTCCTCTCCACATGTACGCCTCTCTGAGTAGAAAGATTTAACTTTCTCATGCTGTTATAGCCATATAATTTAGAAAATCAGTTGCCCTGTGATTGTTGGAGGAGCTGAAACATTCTGACTTGGTGAGAAAACTATAAATTTTTTTTAAAAAGAAACAGAGTCATCAACAACTACATTTCCGATAAAACAAGACAATAAAAATAAGAAATGAGAAAATGGCAATTAAATGTATCAGATGCTTGACCTATCAATACTCAGAACATTAATTAATATTAATAATAATGGCTAATATATATTTAGCGTTTACTCACCACACATAGGGTCTGCACTTTATATTAATTAATATAATCTTCTCATCAATCTTTTGATGTGCATATTATTGTATAAAACATTTTAAAAATGAATTAACAGAGTCACAAAGATGAAAAGTAACAAGACTAAGAAGCTTCTAAGTGGTGAAGGTAAAATCCAAACTTATGTCTGACTGTAGGGCACCATGTCCCAACAAATTTTTATATTCTTATTTTTGACATGGTTTCTACATAGTGGATGTTTAAAATTGTTCTGCTTTGCTGATATTTAATAAGGAAGTTATTATCTTAATTCTAAATTGAAATATTACTCAGAAGTGTTGGATGAGGATGTGTGTTCACTTAAAAATGAAATTTACTGACATGTCATCAATAACTACAAAACACTTCATATCCACACAATAGAATTAGAAATATATGAAAAAGGTAAAAGTTTTGACTTGATAGGAAATAACAGATTAAAATGCTATTTATATCAAATTAAAATAATTTAATCTTCCCCCTTTCACTTTAAAGCTTTTGTAAAAACAAAAACATTACATTATTTGAAATTTTAACTGCATATCTTATATCATCCAAAGGGCAATGTGAATAAATTTATAAAGTATCATACATAAATAAATATTTTTCATAGGTTTCCAAATAGCTTACAAACTCCATGCCTTAAAAAAGTAGGGCCGGGCGCGGTGGCTCACACCTGTAATCCCAGCGCTTTGGGAGGCTGAGGCGGGTGGATCACGAGGTCAGGAGATCAAGACCATCCTGGCTAACACGGTGAAACCCTGTCTCTACTAAAAATACAAAAAATTAGCCGGGCGTGGTGGCGGGCGCCTGTAGTCCCAGCTACTCGGGAGGCTGAGGCAGGAGAATGGTGTGAACCCGGGAGGCGGAGCTTGCAGTGAGCCGAGCTCATGCCACTGCACTCCAGCCTGGGTGACAGAGCGAGACTCCGTCTCAAAAAAAAAAAAAAAAAAAAGTATACCCAGTACCAAGCAAAATGTTTGATATGTAGTATATGTCTAAAAAAACTGTTTATGCATTAAATTAATTAATCATTAGATACTAATTATAATGCATACTAATTGATAGAAAGAAATGTAATGAAGCTTACATTGAAATACTTTTATTACTCTTTTATTACTGCTTGTGGCCAGCTAGAAGAGAAAATAAATAAAAATATCAAATTTATTTCAGTAAGAATTTGAAATGAAGAAAGAACAATACAAGCTGCAGACCACATAAAAGTGAGTACTTGAAAGAATTAAGATTTTAAAATATAGAAATACAAGAATATTTAATGAAATGTAAATGAGTTTCTTTTGGTTGTGATAAACACTGCGGGAATATGTATTGAGATTTAGAGCAGCTTATTCCAAAGTAAATACAGTCATGCAGTTGTTTTACTAAGGGAAAATGGCTTTCTCACAGTAAAAGTCATCCTTTATAATTATGGTTTGGAGAATAAGGGTGGTATACTGATGTTTTTAAAACATCACAGGGTATTTTCCCTGTCTGTGCCAAGGACAATTACACTCTCTTCTACTAAATGAAAGAGATTCACTGGCAGAGAAAGATAACTTGATGTTATCTGAATATCATAGATAATGAATTAACTATCGTCTCTGGTGTTTCAAAGTGGATATAATGACAGTTTGTTACTTTTGATGGTAAAATATATAATATTCTGGAGTACAAATAATGTTCAAATTATAAAAAGGCTATTTAAAACTTGCTGTAATATTTAAAATTAAATTATGTTTCACTGGTGTTATTTTTAAGTTTTTCACTACATATAAGGGATATACTTGCATATATATCAGTATCATGTTTCAATATACAAAAAAAACTTTTCATTAAAAAACATTAATATGTTTTATGTATATCAAATGCCATATATATGCCACTTCTCCTTTTTTGTGTTCTTTTATGGTTCATATTTATGTTCACAAAAGTAACATTTTATTTATTGCCATTTATAGAATTTTATGTCTAACATATTAGAAAAAATTCTAGTTTCTAGTTAGAAAACTACTACAAGCTTTTACTTTTATATTTCAGGTCTTTCTAGTTTTTTACCACCATACCTCACTCTCTCTCACCTGTCTCTACCATAACTAATGGCCTGAAAGCTTTTAATTAGAAACAAATCTCCCACTTCCCTCTCCCTATGGCCTTCCTCAGTTGTATGGAGAAACATTCTCCTTTTCAAAAACCTACAACGGTGTAAGTGCATCCTAGATTCTGAAAGAGATTAGCTTTGAATTCTAGAATTTTTGTTTCACTTTAGTTAGCTTGGGGTCTTACAGAGTGGGAAAGGTTATTTGCAAATCTTACTCAAAGTGGCCCCTGAAATCAAAACAAGCTTAATATTTAGAAGAAAAAAAAAATGACTTAAAACTAGGAATGTGAAATGAGAATGAAAACTTACTGGAGTGTCCTATGGAAGTACCCAGAATTACACCAATTCAAAATGCTTTCAAAGTTCATTAAGAATGTGTGCATTCGAAATCTCGCAGGACATGTACTATAACATATTTGCAAGTTTCAATGATATTTTTATAAAAAAATTTGTTGGGGTGGGGTTCTCAAATTGTATAAGCAATAGAGTAAGAATTTCTCACATCTCCGATGGTAGTTTCTTTTGCTGTGCAGAAGCTCTTTAGTTTAATTAGATCCCATTTGTCAATTTTGGCTTTTGTTGCCATTGCTTTTGGTATTTTAGACGTGAAGTCCTTGCCCATGCCTATGTCCTGAATGGTAGTGCCTAGGTTTTCTTCTAGGGTTTTTATGGTTTTAGGTCTAACATTTAAGTCTTTAATCCATCTTGAATTAATTTTTGTATAAGGTGTAAGGAAAGGATCCAGTTTCAGCTTTCTCCATATGGCTAGCCAGTTTTCCCAGCACCATTTATTAAATAGGGAATCCTTTCCCCATTGCTTATTTTTGTCAGGTTTGTCAAAGATCAGATATTTATAGATACACAGCATTATTTCTGAGGGCTCTGTTCTGTTCCATTGGTCTATATCTCTGTTTTGGTACCAGTACCATGCTGTTTTGGTTACTGTAGCCTTGTAGTATAATTTGAAGTCAGGTAGCGTGATGCCTCCAGCTTTGTTCTTTTGGCTTAGGATTGACTTGGTGATGTGGGCTCTTTTTTGGTTCCATATGAACTTTAAAGTAGTTTTTTCCAATTCTGTGAAGAAAGTCATTGGTAGCTTGATGTGGATGGCTTTGAATCTATAAATTACCTTGGGCAGTATGGCCATTTTCACGATATTGATTCTTCCTATCCATGAGCATGGAATGTTCTTCCATTTGCTTGTATCCTCTTTTATTTCATTGAGCAGTGGTTTGTAGTTCTCCTTGAAGAGGTCCTTCACATCCCTTGTAAGTTGGATTCCTAGATATTTCATTCTCTTTGAAGCAATTGTGAATGGGAGTTCACTCATGATTTGGCTCTCTGTTTGTCTGTTATTCGTGTATAAGGATGCTTGTGATTTTTGCATCAGAGTGAACAGGCAACCTACAGAATGGGAGAAAATTTTTGCAATCTACTCATCTGACAAAAGGCTAATATCCAGAATCTACAATGAACTCAAACAAATTTACAAGAAAAAAACAAACAACCCCATCAAAAAGTGGGCAAAGAATATGAACAGACACTTCTCCAAAGAAGACATTTATGCAGCCAAAAGACACATGAAAAAATGCTCACCATCACTGGCCATCAGAGAAATGCAAATCAAAACCACAATGAGATACCATCTCACACCAGTTAGAATGGCAGTCATTAAAAAGTCAGGAAACAACAGGTGCTGGAGAGGATGTGGAGAAATGGGAACACTTTTACACTGTTGGTGGGACTGTAAACTAGTTCAACCATTGTGGAAGTCAGTGTGGAGATTCCTCAGGGATCTAGAACTAGAAATACCAATTGACCCAGCCATCCCATTACTGGGTATATACCCAAAGGACTATAAATCAGGCTGATATAAAGACACATACACATGTATGTTTATTGCGGCACTATTCACAATAGCAAAGACTTGGAACCAATCCAAATGTCCAACAATGATAGATTGGATTAAGAAAATGTGGCACATATACACCATGGAATACTATGCAGCCATAAAAATGATGAGTTCATGTCCTTTGTAGGGACATGGATGAAGCTGGAAACCATCATTCTCAGCAAACTATCGCAAGGACAAAAAACCAAACACCGCATGTTCTCACTCATAGGTGGGAATTGAACAATGAGAACACATGGACACAGGAAGGCAAACATCGCACACCAGGGCCTGTGGTGGGGTTGGGGGGAGGGGGGAGGGATGGCATTAGGAGATATACCTAATGTTAAATGATGAGTTAATGGGTGCAGCACACCAACATGGCACATGTATACATATGTAACTAACCTGCACGTTGTGCACATGTACCCTAAAACTTTAAGTATAATAAAAAAAAAAAGAATTTCTCACATCTCCAATATGTAATCTCTCCAGTCCAAGAGTTATCCAAAATATTTAGGTAAGTAAAATTTCTTCGAGAAATACATAGTAAACCTGTACTACAATCAAGCAAAAGTCCTAAGAAAGATGAAATCATGGGACCATCATTTTTTCATGAGAACCAAACTGCAGAATTAATCCTATACTCCAAGTAGGAACCAGGGAGTATCTAGAGCAGAGATCTCTGCTCACGGGTTGCTTTCAAGAAAATAAACATTTAGACTTCTGGCTCCAAAATCGTGGCATAGAAACAAACTGGCTTCACTACCCACACCCTGCCACAGAAAAGCTAAAACAAATATACAGCTCCAAGATTGTCACCAGAAATGTCCCAGAACTCAATACAAAGAGGAGACAGTACCCAGGGCCAAAGAGAAATGAAAAAACTGAGCAGAGAGTAAGAGAGTAGGACTTCCACATCCATGACATCGCCCCTGGTATCCTGCCTGATACCAAGCACATGGAAAATTTTTCCCCAAGTAGACGGTTTCTACACCAGAAAAAGTGAAATCAAGGTGGACAACCAGCTTTCCCACCACCTTTAATTGCATGGTAAGAGCCCTGTTTCTGCCTTAACCCACGGGAAACATCACAAATGCCCAAAGGGAGAAACATCCCTGAGGACAGGCAGAGAAAAAAGAGGGAACCAAGACTACTATCTTACCTCTGGAAACTCTTCTTTGTAACTTGGCCATAAGAGATGCTTAATCAGAGTGGCTGTACAGCAGCACCATGCTCTAGGAGGTTCATCCCACAGGTCCTCTGGGCACAAACCCCTATCCAACCATTGGACACTGCAGAAATAACCCCTTTGGGGAAAGGAAGGAAGGAAGGAAGAAAGAAGAAGGAAAGAAGGAAAGAAGGAAGGAAGGAAGGAAGGAAGGAAAGAAAGAGAGAAAGAAAGGGAAAGAAAGAAAGAAGGAAGGAAGGAAGGAAAGAAAGAAGAAAGGAAGGAAGGAAGGGAAAGAAAAAGAAAGAAAGAAAGAAAGAAAGAAAGAAAGAAAGAAAGAAAAAAGGAAGGAAGGAAGGGAAAGAAAAAGAAAGAAAAAGAAAGAAAGAGAAGAAAGAAAGGAGGGAGGGAGGGAAGAAGGAAGGAAGGAAGGGAAAGAAAAGAAAAGAGAAAAGAAGGAGAGAGGAAGGAAGGAAGGAAGGAAGGGAGAGAGAAATAAAGGTCATTCAAGTTGGAATGCAAGAAGTCAAACTAGCTTCGTTTGCAGATGACATAATCTTATACTTAGAAAAACCTACAGATTCCACCAAAAAACTGTTAGAATTAATAAGAGAATTCAGCTAAGTTGCAGGATACAAAATCAACACACAAAAATTAGTAGCATTTTATACACCAATAGTAAATAATCTGAAAAAAGAAATTGAGAAAGCAATCCCACTTACAATAGCTACAAATAATATAAAATACCTAGGAATCAATTTAACCAAAGAAGTGAAATATTTATATAAAGAAAACTATAAAATAATGATGATAAAAAATTGAAAAGGACACAAATGGAAAGATATTTTATACTCATGGATTAAAAGAAGTAATATTGTCAAAATGACAATAGTGCCCAAAATAATTTACAGATTCAATGCAATCCTTATAAAAAATACCAATGACATTTTTCACAGAAATAGAATTTTAAAATCCTAAAATTTATGTGGAACCACAGAAGACACTGAATAGCCAAAGTAATCCTGAGCAAAATTAACAAAGCTGAAGGCACCACACTACCTGACTTCAACATTTACTACAAAGCTACAGTAACCAGATCAGCCTGGTATTGGCATAAAAACAGACACATAAACCAATGGAACAGAATAGAGAGCCCAGATATAAGTCCACACATTTAGGGCCAACTTATCTTCAAGAAAGATGCCATGAGCATGCAAAGAGGAAGGGACAGCCTTCAATAAATAGTGCCGGGAAAACTAAATCACTATATACCGAAGAATGAAATTAGGCCTCTCTCTCTTGCCATACACAAAAATCAAATCATAGACTTAAGTTTATGACCTAAACCTATGAAAACTACTGGAAGAAAACATTGGGGAAATGCTCCAGGACTTTGCTTTGGGCAAAGATTTTTTTGTGTAAGATTTCAAAGGCACAGCCAACCAAAGCAAACAACAGACAAGTGGGATTACATCAAGTGGAAAGCTTCTGCACAGTAAAGAAAATAATCAACAAAGTGAAGAGAAATCCACGGAATGGGAGAAAATTTTTGGGAACTATCCATCTGACAAGAGATGAATAACCAGAATATATAAGGAGCTCAAACAACTCAACAGCAAAAATCTCAAGGAATCCAATTAAAAATTGGCAAAATATCTGAATAGATATTTCTCAAAAGAAGAAATACAGATAACCAACAAGTATATAAAAATAATCAGAGAAATGTAAATTAAAACTACAATAAGATATCATCTCACATCAGTTACAATGGCTCTTATCAAAAACACAGTCAATAACAGATGCTGGCAAGGATGCAGAGAAAGGGGAATCCTCATACACAGTTGGTGGGAATGTAAATTAGTAAAGCCACTATGGAGAACAGTATGGAAGTTCTGAAAAAAAAACTAAAAATAGAACTACCATATGATCTAGCAATTCCACTACTGAGGATATATTCCAAAGAAAGGACATCAACATATCGAAAAGACATTTGCACTTACATGTTTATTGTAGC
This sequence comes from Homo sapiens, assembly GCF_000001405.40. Lineage (NCBI taxonomy): Eukaryota > Metazoa > Chordata > Mammalia > Primates > Hominidae > Homo > Homo sapiens. Next base: position 228,738,691 of record NC_000002.12, on the reverse strand, counting down.
ACTATTCACAGTAGCCAAAATATGAATCAACTTAAGTGCCCATCAACAGATTAACGGATAAAGAAAATGTGGTATAATATACAATGGGATATTATTTAGCCATAAAAAGTAATGAAATTTTGTCATTTTTAGCAACATGAATAGAACTGGAGGTCATTTTGATAACTGAAATAAACCAAGTACAGAGAGTCAAATGTCACATGTTCTCACTCTTATACGGGAGTTAAAAAAAAAAGTGAATCTCATGAAGGTAGAGATTAGATTGCTGGTTACCAGAACCTGGGAAGGATGGGGATAAGAGGGATAAAGAGAAGTTGATTAATGGGTATAAATATATGGTTTGATAGATCAGTAGGATGACAATTGTTTACAATAATCTATTCTATATTTCAAAATAGCTAAAAGAGAAAATTCAAATGATGCTAGCATTAAAAAGATAAATATTTCAGGTGATATAGCAAGTACATTGATTTGATCTTTACAAATTCTATAAATGTATCAAATTACAACATATACTCTAAAAAACTTCAAAATAAAATCCGGAAAGATATTTATTCATAATTTTATAATTTTTAGGATAAATTTAAGTTTAATTTCTGGTTTCTATAACAAAAATAACAGCAAAAGGGGTTCAATGGGAACTGTAAATAGCTTAGTTCAATGGGAACTACGTTAATTAGGAGTCTAAAAGTTGTGGAAGTAGAGACGGGCAAGGTCTTTGATGCCAGAGGCAGCACATTTAACCCTGTCCTGTTCTCAAGTCATGTGAAACCACCTTCCTTTCACATCCACAGTGATTAATTGTAAATAAATTTGGTTTCCTAGACAATATAAGATTTCTATTTTTACTAATTATTTTATTTCTTCTATTTTCTTGGTAAAGAAATTTTTTAAAAAGTACTATCTCATAGTGGAATATGCAATATACTGCACAATTATATGAGATTAGGGTCTCTAATTTATGTTTGACATAAATCCTGACATTTTATAGTGAAAGGGAGGGATATATTATATTTTTCCAGTTAATTCTGGTCTAAATATGGGTAGGAAATTAAAATACATCACCCCAAAGTACGTTTCTTTGGTATATTTTGAGATGGTTATTCACAGAAACTGCAGACACAGAATTAGCTCTGAAAAGCTGTCCTTTTATAAAATAAATTTACACCTATAAGGAAAACCTGTTAGTGAACAGCTAACGCAAACTGGCTTTCTGTTAGGCTCTCCTTATCTGCAATTTATTTTTCTTTATAACACACACAATTTCCATCTTGCTAAATTTTGTAGCATAGAACTTACCTTCTCATTCACTATCCTAACCCCATCGTCCAGAAGAGAAGGCAGCACAGAATGGAAACCATGCAACAAGTATCTGTTGAATGAATGAAATACAGAAACAAGAAAAGTATGGAAAAGCTCTACATAGTATTCACTGGATAGTTCCTTATTGCTATGAGACCACTTTAGCTACCACTCTCTGAAGTCACTAAAAGATCCATAGTATTTCAGAAAGACAACAACATATATAGGAGCAAAGATAATTTTTCTTTCTCTCCTTCTGAAGGTTTGATAATTTGGGTCTATAAAACACATTGACAAGGGACAGATTAACAGAAGGAAAGCCATGCAAATTTAGTATGTGCATATGAGCACAAGAGCCATAGAGAACACGGGATTCAAAGAAGGGCCTAAAGTTGTTACACTGTAGAGAAAGAGACAGGCTTTGGGGGTTCCTGGGGGAAGGTGGGAACAAGCTTGGGAGGCTGAGGGGAGAAAATACAATGAGAACAAAGGTTATTTTCTGTTATGCAGACAAAGACTCTCAAGCAATAGCTTTTAGAAGAATATATGACATTCTGTGGCAATCTCTGGGTTGGGGAGGAGGGTCTTGACATGATCTTTCCTAGATCCAGACAAGGCAGATAACCTACTTAAAATACAAGATTAATGTTTTAAATTTAATTGGAATAGAGTTCATTTTTAGTTATGGCTAAGTAGCTTGAATTAAACCAAGATTCCTAATGATACCTTTACAAAATGTGGACATAATAGAGAAAAACAACTTTTGAAGGCTCTCGTGAATAATCATAGTAAATAAGAACTGGATGAATGGTAGACTGTAAAAGTAGGAGAGCATAAGATATGAGTTCCACATTTTCCCATCTTTTCCCTGAGAGTATTTTCTAGTTCACGACAGCAAGGGGAAATGGAATCCAAGCTGAAAATAGTCTGACTGGACTGAGGAGACATAAGACATAGGTTGGACTGTCAGAGTATCCAAATTTTAAGGAACGAAGTCATGGATAGGAGGGTCTGGAGGGATGGGATAGTGAAGACCAACTATATCAGACAAAAAATTATTTGAAGCTAAAGATGGACTCCTAAGATATGCATATTAACAGGGTAAGACTCCAAGAAACGCAATAGAAAGCAAAACTTGGAAAGCCACAGAGCTAAGCAGAAATTTTACTAACTGTCTGATGATAGGGAATGAGAATTTAAGTCCATTTAACATGATGGTATCTTAGTCAGCTTTGGCTGCCATGCAAAATACCGTAGAGTAGGTGGCTTGAACAACATAAATTTACTTTCTCACAGTTTCAGAGCCTGGAAGTCTAAGATCAGGGTGCCAACATGGTCAGGTTTCAGCGAGCTCTCTTTCTGACTTGAAGATTTCCGCCTTCTCTTGGTGTTCCTACATGACAAAGAGAAAGAGAGAGAGAGAGAGAGAGTAAGCTCTCTGGCATCTCTTCTTATCAAGGCATTAATCCCATCATGAGGTTCTTATCTTCATGGCCTCATGTAAACATCATTACTTCCCAAAGGCTCCATCTCCAAGTACCACCACATTGCGGGTGACACTTCCAACAGGAATTTGGGCAGAGGGGCTGCACAATGTACTCCATAGCAATGGATCTTAGTTTCTCACTGCTACTGTAAAAAATTACCACAAATGTAGAGATATAACAGATTAAAAATCATCTTTTAGTTCTGGAGGTCAGAGGTCTAAAATGGGTTTCACTGAACTAAACTCAAGTTATCAGAAGGGCAGCATTTCCTACTGGAGGCTCTAGGGAAAAATCTATCTTCCTGCATTTTCCAGTTTCTAAAGGCTGTCTGTATTATTCAAAACAATCAATATCCAGTTGAATCTTTCTCATGCTTCTCTCCATCTCTGTGGTTCCCTGTTTACTGCTTCTCTCTTCCACTTGGAACCCCTGTGGTTTCACATAGCTCACCCAGATAATTTAAGATAATCTTTCCATCTTGAGGTCCGCCTATTAACAGACTTAATTTCATCTACAAACTTAATTGTCTCTTGCAGTGCAACCTAAAGTATTCATAGCTCCTTAGGGCATGGGTATATTTGGGGGGCCATTATTCTGCCCCCCAGATATATCCAATATTCTGTTTGGTAAACAACTCAAGTTTTCTCTTGAGCCCTCAGAAGGGCCATACCCTAAGAAAAAGTAAAAACTGAAACAGCCTATTCCTACCCACACCTAAAACTAAACTTTCACAAGCTCAAGTTGATTTACTAGCCTTATATTTACCATTCAACAGAAAATGAAGCATTTTTGAAGGAATCGCTATAGTTTTTACTTGTTAATTCCAGCATCTAAAAAATATGAAATATGCTAAAATACAGAACAACGAACTGGAGACAAAACAGAAGTAAATAGAAACAGATGCATATATGGTTTAGATATTGAAGTTTTCAGATAGTATATTTAAAATAATTTGGATTAACCTGTCAAGAAAATGGAATAAAAGATGAAGAACTGCAAGAGAGACTCAGAATCCATCAAAAATTTCAAATGGAAACTTGAGAACTGATAAAAACAAGACTAAAACTAAGAATGTGTTAGATGGTTAGATGAATGTGTTAGATAATGCAGAATCATAAAGAGTAGGGAAAGGACTAGTGAACTTGAGGACATGGCTGCAGAAAGCATGCATGGTGGATTAGATCAAGGAAACATGAAACATATACACCATGGAATATTACATAGCCATATAAAATAATGAAAAAAGTGTCCTCTGAAGCAACATGGATGGAGCTGGAGGCTATAATTCTAAGCAAACTAACACAGGAACAGAAAACCAAATACTATACATGTTCTCACCTATAAGTGGGAGCTTAATATTGAGCACACATGGACATAAACATGGAAACAATAGACACTGTGGACTACTAGAAGTAGGGGGAATGGAGGGGAAATGGGTTGAAAAACTCTGTTGGGTACTATGCTCACTACCTCAGTGTAATATACCCATGTAACAAACCAGAACATGTATGCCTAGTATATATAAAAAGTTGAAATGTTAAGAAAAAAGCATATAGACACATCTGGGACAAAATGAAAATGTCTAATAGATGTGTAATAAGGATTCTATGAGAGAAGGAATAGAATTGATATTTGAATTAGGAAAAGTGGCAAATCAAATACATAGAAAGTAAATGGAAAGTGATAATAAATATAAGCAAAAATTAAAGACAACGCAAGCACACAATAGCAAAAAGAAATATTTTTTAAAGATTAATAAATTTGTTAAATCTCTAGCAAGACTTATCAAGAAAAGAGGAGAAGTCACAAATTAGCCATATTACGTATATTGCAAACTAATTAAAATTTTTTTGGTTCATTGATTAACTATTATAAAACCATCTCAAAACTCAGTGGCTTAAACTAATATTTCTTTATTTTCTTTCATATGTCTGTGGGTCTGCTGGATCTCAACTAATTAGGCTGTGCTCAGTTAGGTGGCCAAGACAAGCATATGTATTGAAAGAACTGGAAACACAATGCAATCTACCATAATTATCTGCAACTTTATGACAATAAATTTTGTGATGTAGAAGAAATGGACAAATCACTTGAAAAACACAGCTCAAAACTGAAAAAAGAAGAAATAACAAATCAATGTTCCCATGCTATTAAAGAAAATGAATGTGAAATTCACAATTTTTTGACAAATTCCTGAAACAAGTGGCTTCACTGGCTATTTTTTTCCAAATATTTAAAGAAAAAATCACACAAATGTTATAAAAACTCTTCCAGAAAATGAGATAAGATATAAGATGGCCCCATTCATTTTTGAGGTTTGCGTGACCTTGATAGTAAAATCCGAAAAGGACATTAAAAGAAAAATTGCAAGCTACTATTTCTTATGTACACAGGCAAAAATCCTACACAACATTATAATAAATCAGATTCAATACTATATATAATGGATAATACATCATGCTCAATTTGATTTATATGAGGAAACTTTGAAAGATTAGTTTAACATTCAAAAATCAATAAATGTGGAACCTTACATTAACAGAATGAAGAAAAACACCATATTGCTATCTCAATAGAGATTCATATTAAAAATGAGCAAACTAGAAATAGAAGGGAGCTTCTTCAATCTAATAAAGCATATATACCCAAAACCTTTAGCGAATATCACATTCATTGTGGAAATGCTAAACTATTTCTCCTTAACTTTGCAATCAAGTTGAAGATGTTCATGAGTAGTTCTATTCAGCATTGTCCTAAAAGGTTTTGCAGTGAAATAAAAAAAAAAATAACAATATGTCCCAAACTTAGACCAGAAAAAATAAAATAGCACTCACCAATGACATTAGAAGCACCAATATTATTTTAAATGTAAATTAAATGCAATTCAAATTCACATATTTTTGTGATATATATACACATATCTATATATCACACAGTATAGAAATATTACATGCAGACACATATACCTATTTTGAGTGTGAGAGAAATACAGATTTGACAAAATAATACCAAAATCTTATCTTGAAAAATAAATGTGGGAATTGGCAGGAGATTTCTAGGAGAAAGAAAAAGAACGAGAAAACAAATTATTGGTGACTAGATCTAATATACATGTTTTCAAGGTAAAATAATTAAAATGGTTTATGAATGGAAAGATTTCCCAGATACATTATTAAATTTTAAAAGGTGCTCTTTGCTTTTTTTAAAAAAAAAAGATATATTTTTGTCCCTATAAGCACATTCATACATGAATTAACTGTATTTGTATAGTGTTGCTTTTTTCAAGTGTACAATTCAGTATTGATAACTGTAATTCCCATGCTGTATATTCATCAAAATTGCTTACAGTGTTACTGTTGGAAAACAAGGAGGGAAATGGTTTGGAAGTTTTTCTGCTTTGTACTTTACTGTGAAATGTTTGCATTTTCTAACCATGTACATATTTTACTAATTTCATTGTTACTTTTAAGATAGGTTCTTATTCTTATATAGTGAAATTATGAAGTATTATTTTATTTGCTTCCTTATACAACTCTAAAAAAATTACACATTTTATAATAAAAAGAGGGGGCTAGAGAGCTGATCTGGAATGATCTTTAACTGGCATGGCTGCTTAGTCTATAATTCCAGGGCTCCAGTAGCAGGTGTTAAAGACATATAAAAAACACTGAGTGAAATCAACGGCTTTTTGTGTTTGTTTTGACTTGACTTTTAGTTTTCATAAAAGGAATTTTATTCAAGGAGTCTTTTACTGTTCCCCTAACCCAAGTCCTTTGAAAGCTTTTTTTTTTTTTTTTTTTTTTAGAAATTCTGCATTTTGCTTAAGTACTGTCAGCAGGAGCTGAGAGTTATTTGCACCCAATGTGAATGTTCTTTTTTTGACTAGTGTGTAACTGGGAAACTTTTTGAGGTTTTTATTTTTTAAACAAAAAATGTTAAATTACTTCATCATTGGAAGGCCCCTGTGTACTTCCATATTTCAACAAATAGCCTGGTAACCTCACAGAAGCAGGAAATGAATTAAAATCATAAAATGTAATAAACATTTTAAATGAGCTCACATCTCTGTGCTCAGCTTAAGGCAGTGTGGAACCCTGACAGCTCATGCCAGAAGTTACATGACTCAACCAACCTGGCTACTAGGTAGGAAAGTTGCTGGCATGAGAGACTTCATGGAGTTCAAAACAAGAACTTTTGCAAATGGTTAGCAGAGAACTCTGGAAAGTATGCAAAGAATGCAGTTCTTTGGCTAAATTAACTAAAGGAAATTACTCACCAAGTAGCACCATCCTTCTAGAAATTCTTGGTCATTCCACTCTGTCAATTGTTTCCTTTATTGTGGGAAAAAATTATAAATTGTGATGTTTCAATCATGTTGATTTGTTGATTCCTACTGCCCTGAAGGCTTGTCAGGGTTCATGGTGCATTTAAATATTGTGTCTAATTTTGGTATTCATACTTTTTAAAGGATACAGAGTAATAGAGATACCTTAGGAAATATTCCACTGTACAATAATTAAAAGAATACAAAAATGTGTACCCTATCTTAAAAAGATGAAAGATACTTGTTGATGAGAATGTGGTAAAAGGAAATTTCTGCACATTGTTGATGGAAATGTAAAGTAGTTCCGCCATTATGGAAAACTGTATGAGGTTCCTTAAAAACTAAAAATGAAATTATCCTGCAATCCAGCAATCTCACCTCTGGATATTTAAACAAAAGACTTGAAATCAGTACGTAGAAGAGATGTCTGCTCTCTCATGGACATTGCAAGCACTACTTGTAACCGCCCAATGGGTTCTTCGTGACTGCTGCCCAGATACAGTCAATTTATCAAGACAGGGGAATTGCAATAGAAAAAGAGCTTAATGCACACAGAGTTGGCTAAACAGGAGGCTGGAGTTTTATTACTTGAATCAATCTTCCTGAAAATTCGGAGAGTGGAGATTTTTAAGAATAATTTGGTGGGTAGTGGGCTAGGGAGTATGAAGTACTGATTGGTTGGGTTGGAAATGAAATCACAGGGAGTCGAAGAGGATTATTTTTGCTGTCTTCTGTACCTGGGTGGAAGCACATAACTGTTGAGTCAGATTAGTGGTCTACATGGTGCTAGCTGGTCCTTCAGAATGCAGGTTCTGAAAAATATCTTGAACACCAATCTTAGGTTTTATAATAGCAATGGGAGGTAAGGAATCTTGTGGTCTCTGGCTGCATGATGCCTAAACCATAATTTTAATCTTGTGGCTAATTTGTTAGTTTTACAAAGGTGATCTAGTCACCAGGCAAGAAGGGGGTTTGTTTCAGGAAAGGGTGGTTATTATCCTTGTTTCATAGTTAAACTATAAACTAAATTCCTCCTATAGTTAGTTTGACCTACACCTAGTAATGAACAAGGGCAGTTTGGAGGTTAAAGGCAAGATGGGATCAGTTAGGTCAGATCTTATTCAATATCATAATTTTCTCATTGTCACAATATGTATAAGGTGGTTTCATACTGACAATAGCCAAGTTATGGAGTTAACCCAAGCATCCGTCAACAAATAAATGGATAAAGAAAATGTGGTATATATGCAAAATAGAGTACTATTAGCCTGAAGAGGAAAGAAATTTTTTCATTTGTGACAATACGGATGGAAGGAATAAGGGAACATTATGCTAAGTGAAATAAGCCAGGCACAGAAATACAAATACTGCATGTTCTTACTTACAGAAGAATATTACAAAATAATCAAACTCAAAGAAGCAGGGAGTAGAGTGGTGGTTACAAAGGCTGGGGTTTGAAGAAGTGGGGAGATTGTGGTCAAAAGGTACAAAATCTTTAATATATTTTTTGTTCTTTTAGATATATTAGCCAACATGGTTGTTATAGTAAATAATATTGTATTGCACATTTGAAAATTGCTAACAGAATGAACTTCAAATGGTGTCACTAAAATAATAAGTGTTTGAGTTGATGGATTTATTAATTACTTTGATTTAATTATTTTACCTTGTAGTACATTTACCCCCATACATACAACTATAATTTATTAATTCACAATAAAAAATTAAAAAAATAAAATGATAAATTCTTGTTCAATCTGTAAAGAAATTAGCAATTACAAAAAACAAAAACAAAACTCCAGGCTGAACACTTTTTATTTTGAAAATGTTATTTTCATGAAACTAGAGGAAAAGAGTGGAACAATCCTTCAAGAATTATAATAAATTTTTCTTTGCTTTTTTGTTTCCCTTTTAAAAACATTTTAACCAACATTTTAATGAGTTTTAGAAAAATATCAGTTGAGTCAGCCCAACGTGGGCTTCCAGAGTAGGGATGGAAGCATTAGCTTTGCCTCTGATGCCGTTTATAAAGTAAAATAAAAAGTATTTGTGCTTGTTTAAAAGGGAAGCAGAAATAACAGTAAAAACAGAACAGGTAGTCTTCATATTTCAAAGGCAAGTTCTGCAAAAATACATACGAGTCATTGAAACTTAAATCAGTTTTTCTTATAAAAGAATGTGAAACTATGTGAAGATTCACAGAAAAAGCAGTGTTTTACTATTACCATTACCTATCTCGTATTTTAACATTTAGGAAAATATATCTTGGGAATCATAGTCAAGATTCTTTATGTGCAAGTAACAGAAACCAGCTAGCTAGCTGACTATGAAATGGGAATTTGTTGAAAGGAAACAGGGTTTTCTCTCAGAACTCAGGAATGCAGACTGGCTGCCTAGGAGCTAGGACTGGGGACTAACTATAAAACTGTCATGGTGACACCTCCGTCTATTGTTTCTGCCTCCCTGACCCCACAGACAGGCTTCTGCTGCTCCCTCCATCCCGTAGAGCAGGCATCATTTGTTAGTCTTACCTAATAGCTTCTGAGGCTCGTCTACTCGTTTTGAAGAATCCATATCAGCCTGACCAGACTGACTCTCAGTTCTAATCCCAAAAACCCATTTAATTGGCCTACTTTGGATCATGTATCCATCCAAAGTCCAGTTGGCTGTGAGGATATTTGTCCCGTGGAGGATGCTGTTCTTAGAGAAGTAAAGAGTTAGGCAGTCCAGAAATCCAAACTAGCACAGCATCCGAAGACGACACCACAGTCCAAGATGACTCCAGGTGGTGCTGGTGCTGTCGGCATGGAAGGGAAAAGTCAGGATGGCTTGGGATAGCACTGTGTAACTACAGCAATACCTTGTTAACTTTTCCTATTTACATCAGAGACAATCTAATACCTCTCTACACTGGTAGCCCTGCAGGTCAGCCTAACTGTGCTGAAGAATAAGGGACAGTTGTCCCACAGTCATGAGAAAATTGAAATGGTTTCTAATATCATCTCATTTGCTTGTGCGTATGTAGACATGCTCTTTAGTAGCTGGATTCCGCTAGGTCTTTCATAAAAATCCTTTATATGTTTTCAGACTTTATTGAGCTAAACGAGTTCATTGGAAGCCCATATCCATCTTACAATGCCAGCGATTTTTCTCCTGTCTTTACAGGATAGAACACGGAGAGTCTGAGTTAAACGTGCTGAGGTTCAGAAACCCTGATGATAGAATCATGAGACTTTGTGTAACTTCTGGAAAATCTCATATATTCTGAACTAGTATTTTCTGCTTTAATGTGACAACTGTTTTTGGGAACAGCAAAGTGATATCAGAATGGCAGTTATTAACAATTTTTACATAAAGCATACACCCAATAGAATGAGAAAGCAGCCATGTGAAAGATGGCATTAGATAGTAAAAATCTAATGTTAAGCAAAGTTGGCTGTTAGTGTTTTCCCATGTTTTCTTTGTGTGATCGTTACCTGACTCTATATTTTGTGTGCTTAATATTTTGTGTGCTTAGTCCTTTAGATGCCCAGAGCAAACCATGATATTAGATTGTCAAGGCCAGCTCTTCCAGAATCATTTCTGGTTGAAGCCCCTGCCCAATATATATATATATATATTTTGAGATAGCATCTCACTCTGTCACCCAGGCTGGAGTGCAGTGGCACAATCTTGGCTCACCACAACCTCTGCCTCCCAGGTTCAAGCGATTCTCCTGCCTCAGCCTCCTGAGTAGGTGGGATTACAGGCGCGCACCAACATGCCTGGCTATTTTTTGTATTTTTAGTAGAGACAGGGTTTCACCGTGTTGGCCAGGCTTGTCTGGAACTCCTGACCTCAAGTGATCCACTTGCCTCGGCCTCCCAAAGTGCTGGGATTACAGGCGTAAGACATCACACCCAGCCAGTGCTCCTTTTTTTTTTTTAATCTGCCTAGAATACACATGACCATTTAAAACTTTCTGACCCATCCTAACATATTTCACATTCCAGTCCACAATTGAAAGCCTCAACTATCATCCCATGTATAGAGTGATCACTCCAGAATCCTTTGGACCGATGATTGCATGTGCTTTCCTTCTGATTTAATTTACCCTTTTAGTTCCAGAAATCCCTTATATTTTAACTTTTCCTTCAGCCACTATGGATTCCTATTATAAGTAAATTTCATGTCTTTTGACAGACATCTGCATTTATTTTTCTTGCATATATACTTAGGAGTGGAATCACAGGGTCATGGATTAGGCATATGTTTGGCTTTAATAGACTCTGCTAGTTTTTTCAATTTATACCCCCACCTATATATGACTTCTGGATGTTCCACATCCTTGCCAAAACTAGGTATGAAGAGTTATCTCATTGTGATTTTAATTTGCATATCTCTAATAACAAATAATGTTGAGCACCTATACTTTTTGGCCAGTTAGATATCCTCTTTTGTGAAGTGCCCATTCAAGTGTTTTGCTCATGTTTTTTAATTGAGTTGTCTTTTTCTCATGCATTTGTAATAGTCATTTATATGTAGTGGATATGAGCACTTTGTCAGATATATGTATGACAAATATCATCTACTAGAAAGTGGCTTAACTTTTAATATCTTAATGATGTTTCTAATTAAGTTCTTAAAATTGCTAGAGTCTAATCTATCCATATTTTCTTTCGTGGTTGTCTGCTAACTACACCTCTCAGAGCAAGTTGTTTCTTGAAAGGTGATCTAAGCATTCCATTTCCTTGGCTGCCACAGTGCTGAAAATTCTCAATCTTTTTTTCTCTATAATCTTGAATATATTAATTATAGCTTGTGTTTTTCTTTTGAGAGTTTCTGCCTGGCAACTCTAACAATTCAATCAATTGTAGGTTTGTTTCTAGTGTCTATTGTTTCTCTTGGTTCCGATCAAGTGCCTTTTTAATCAAGATTCCTATTTCTTTTAATATAACAAAGAGTATTATATAAAAAAAGTCTTCCTTTAAAGAGGTGAGCACACACAGTACAATAGATCATTGTGTTGTCGCATGGATTTTAGCTGGACAGTAATTAGGGCTGGTTTGTTTCAAAGTTGTTCTTCCTCCCAGGCCATACCCCTTATTCCTAAACGCTTGTTCTTAATCCTTAGGTGTAGAACTTCTGTGGCAAGAGTTCTGGGGTGTGAAAGAAAAGTTCATAGAGTTTATAAGGGCTTCTCTAACTTGAAAACTCTCAGTACTCCAGACTCAGCCTCCCCAGCATAGGTGACTAGTAAACGCTCTGATCTCCATTGTAGCCTACTATCTGCTATTTCCTTCTATATATTTTTGACTCTCACCTTATATATCCATAGCTTAGAAAGCAGCCAACAATTTGAGTGGAGTATGTACATAGATTTTACAGCAACTTTCTCTGTGATTCTCTTCTCTAAGAATGTTGGCTCTCAATTCCCAGCTTTAGGCTTGAGCTCCATTCTCTTACCCCAAAGCAAACCAAAATTTAATTTCTGAAAATGTATGTTTAAAAAGCCTTCTGGATGATTTGTAGGTGAAGTAAAATTTTAGAACTACAGGCCTAGAGTCTACACCTAGATATACTTTGTCCCCAGTCTCACGGGAACCCACCCTGCCTGTATATTAAAACCCCGTATTTCCCAGTGAGTAAAGCAAGACTAGAGTACCTTGGTGAGTGCTGGGACGTATACATTAAACAAGTTGTTTTATTCCACCCTTCATGGAATACACAGGAGCTTACTTCATGTGATTAAGCTTCCACGCTTTTCTCCTGGTTCCTATAAAACTTTGTTCTGAATTTATGCCCCTATGGGAGCCTGGGGCTCTACCAAACTGCTTATCCTATATCAACTCCATTTACTTGAAAATATGAATTAGATTGCTTCAATAAGGACAACTCAACATTCCAGAAGCAAAATCCTCTACTTTACTGACTGCAAGAGTTTCAACAGCCTAGAAACTCCTCCAGTTTTCCTTCAGATACCAACAGAATCTTGGACTAGACTTGAGTATATCCGACCAGATTGAAAATGGATGTGATTATTGACCATCCCTGCTTGGGTGATGCTCTGTAGCCAGGTCATTCTTCCCAACCAAGGCTCTCAAACTTTCTGTCTTGTCTTCTCTATTGTGATCTCAGAATACCCTGCTGCAAATTCATACATTTTTTTTTCAGAAAGAAGCATAAAAGGAATATTGAATTTGAAGAAATGTGATCTAATCTCCTCATTTTATATATAAGAAATCTACATGCTTAGCAACTGACAGATTCAGAGGTAGAACTAAAGTCCTCATTTAGGGAAAAGGGAGTCTTTTCCACAGTCACTGTATTCTATTACCTAGAAGGCCGCCTCTGCTTCTATGGGGGTGTCTGCTCACACAATATGCCATCTGAGGGCTGAGGAACAATGAGAGTGCAGTGGAAAGATAACCAAGATTCCTGCAGCTTATGCCTTTAAAAAAAAATTAAGACAGTGAGGACACAGGATGCTAAAGTAGAATAAAAATGTAAATATGCTCTAGTTAAGTGTTTGTAAAATCTACATCTCAGGGCTACAGTGGGTGGGTTGGGTTAAATGAGGACCCCAAGGCAGTGCTCCATTTCCTGCCACCCTGCTTCAATTGCAGTGGCTCCCCATTTTCTGTTACTATTTATGTTATTATGGAATTATTTATATCTACAGATGGTACAAAATAATAATATTAAGTTTGTGTATTGAATGCTTACCTTAAAAGTAGAATGGAATTCCCCTAATGTACGTTTCCCTTATCTTATTTCTCATCCTCTATCCTGATAAAACTCCATCCTTAATTTGGTGGTTACCATTCTCATTCATTGGCTCTACTTTTTACATACATATATAACTATATACACACACACTTAAAGACCTAAATATATACATCTATATATGTATATATCCACATATAAGGTTATCCCTCGGTATGCATGGGAATTGGTTCCAGAAACTTCCAAGGATGTCAGAATTCAAGGATGCTCAAATCCCTGATGAAAAGTGGCATAGTATTTGCATATTGCCTATGCACATCCTCCCATATTCTAAGATTTACAATGTCCTCCATCTCCTTGAGCTTCTGCCTATGTTCCATCTCTCTGACATAAACATTCTTCTCCATTTTCTTCTGCCACATTTATTCTTACTCCACTTTCAAGATCCAACATTTTTCCTGCATAACGGGTGGCAAAAAAATTTTTATAAAGATTCAATGTAATCATTTTCTTATCTGTAAAGGTTTCCCTTAACTGCCTTAGGGACTGTTAGACATTTCCTCCAAAGGAATGAACTTATTTATTCTCAGGTCTGTCCTCCTCTAAATACTACAATACTGGAAAGCAGAGTTTGTCTGGTTTGTTTTCCCAAGGACCAGACATATGACAAGTTTGTAATAACTGTTTGTTGAATGACTAAATGATGGGTAAAATGATAGAAAAGTGGGGGGTTAGATTCTATTCAAATAGCTATATATTCCAACATGATAAATGTGGTGCATATGCTTTAGATTACGAAGCATGATACCCTATGCAAGTATAGATAAAGTTATTAATGGAATGGTTTATTCTAATTTCAGAGCCTTATAACTGTCCCCTTCCCAGCCCCTATCATGAACCTGTCACCTTTTAATATGTTTTGGACAGATTTATAATGACTAGATCTGTGACCATTTGTCCTATTGCCACAAATATAATATGGGAGACACTTAGCTCTGAAAGATAAGCAATTACTTAAAACTTGCTTTCAATGTTAGCACTTAGCCTAATTTGACCAGAGGACCTTTCAAAATGCCTTCTCAGCAAAAATGTTAAACACAACCCTACTCCAGCTGAAGCCACTTTCTACTGAAACTACATCTTCCAGATGTCTGGAATGGTAAGGAAAAAGTGAAATTCATTACCCACCTTTCACAGCTGTGCTAGGTGACAAAGTGACAAATAGACCCCCAAAAAGATTGTGACACTCTTGATACATATACGCCTTTTTAGATTGCTTTTCTGGTTGAGAGTCATCCAGAGCATTCTGCTATCATTTATTGTAAAATCAGGAGTCACTCAATAACTTCAAGGCCAAATTTGCTTCATTTATTGCTTTCATTATATCTAGTTGAATGCTGCTGAGCATTTTAAGTAGTCTGGGAATTATAAGTGTTTCTACCAGAATATATTAACTGGCGATAATTTTCCCTCACTCCCTTCCTTGTCAAATTGCAGACATCACATAAACAATTCACTAAAAAGCAATTGATTTAAATACATTGTGCATCTAAGTGTGAGTCGGAGCATCCTAATGTATGAAGCTATGACTTGCTTGCAAATTAAGCTCCTTAGCTTTTTCCCTGAGTAAAACTTGAACTCCAGAAGGAGTGGCATGGTATATATTGTCTGCTGGATCCTTGGTACCTGAAACAAGGCTGAAAATTACGTGCAATATTTCAAGAGGCGAGAATATTATAAAACACGCATTTGAGTGAAGAAAACAAAAGTCAGAGAATTTAAGTAATGTGTACAGGGTCAAGCCCTGAGATTTGTTTTATTAAGCCAAAACCTGCACACCTGCCAATCCTGAAATCCTTTGAGTTCCCTTTCATGGCTCCTTGAGGACATAGATTCTATTCTAGAGTAATCATCTAGGAGTGGTTTTTTTTTTCCCTTGGAGATGGGATCTGGCTCTGTTGCCCAGGCTGGAGTGAAGTGGCATATTCACGGCTCACTGCAGGCTCAACCTCCCTGGCTCAAGCTGTATCTCTCACCTCAGTCTCCTAAGTAGCTGGTACCACAGGAATATGCCATCATACCTGGAAAATTAAAAAAAAAAAATTTATAGAGATAGGGTATCACTATGTTGCCCAGGCTGGTCTGGAACTTCTGGGCTCAAGTGATCTCCTGCCTCAGCCTCCCAAAGTGGTGGGATTACAGACATGAGCCACTGCACCCAGCCTGGGAGTTGTATTTTAAAGGAACATCTTTTTGTACTTCCAGGTTATTTCTCATTGCTAAGACAGTGAGCAGTTACAAGCATTTACCTAATGTAAAGTGCCAACAAGTTGGCATTAGTGTTCTAGTTATTCAAAATAGCCACCAGACAGCTATGACTCCCAGAAAAGACAAGAATCAACTCGTTCATATTATATCACTCCTGTTTACTATAACATAATGCTGGGCTTTCCTCCTAGGTATGTCCCATCTTCACTAATTCTTATAAATGCCTGTTTTTTTGTCCTTCTCTAATAATTCTTATCACACTCATGCATTCTGCTTTGTCTCAACTGAAAACCATACACTGTTAAATCTTTGGGGCTTAATAGGCAAAATTCAAATTATAGAATCACAGAATTTTCTATTTGGAAAGGAAGGGAAAACTATACATCTATATCTAGTCCAACCCTTTACTTTCTTAGAACTGAGGCTTGAGGAGGCAAAGAGAGCTATGCAGGGCTAACAGTTGTATTTTAGAGTGTATTTAACTGCGTATTACAAGTTAACAAGTGCTATGGTAGGAGGTGGTAGTATTTAATAGAAGAGAAAGGACTCATTGAGAAGACAGGATGAGAAAGACTTTAAAATGAGGAAGTTATATTAGAGGTGATCGGGGTAAAGCAATGCAGGCAGAGTTAACAGAGCAAAGACCCTCAGCACCAGCATGCCTGGTACGTTTTAGGAACAGCAAGGAGAATTGCAGGTCTAAGCAGAGTCAGCAGGACTAAAAGCAGTTGCAGGGGAGGTCAGAGAGATGAGCATGGGGTCGTGAGGAAGATCATCTAGAGCATAAGTACTAAAGTAGTTAGAAAAGGAACACAAAATATATTCTAAGAAACTGCAAGGTGAAGAAGGACTAGGCAGATCAATAAAACCAAAAAGTTATTTCTTTTAATAGATTAGTAGTAACCAAACCTCTGATAAAACTTATTGAGGAAAAAAGAAAAAAGTTACAAATATATAATATTATAAATGAAACATGGGAGAGAACTATGGATAAAGTGGACATATAAACTAAAATATGAGAATATTATGAACAATTTTTAACTAATAAATATCAAACCACAGGCAAAATAGATGAATTCTCAGAAAACATGTCCCTCCAAAGTTGGCACAATAAGAAATAGAAAATCTAAATAATTTTATAAATATTAAAGTAATTGAAATAATAGTATGGTTGTTCAAAATAAATACCATGCCCCAATGGTTTTATAAGTGTTTTCAACTGACAGTTATAGGTTTAGATCATTCCCTTCTGGAAACAGAAAAGAGGAAATTATTTCTATCACTTTTGTCATTTTGTCATAACCTTAAATCCAAGCCAGAGAATGTAGTTTGAGAAAAGGAAATTATCAGCCCATGTAACTCTTGGATGTAGAGATAAAAATTCCTAAAAATATAGCAAATCAAATCAAACAATGTGTACAAAATGTAATAGCCAACCCCAAATTAGCTATGACTCAGCATGCAAGACCAGGTTCAGTACTTTTCATTCATCTGTGACTTTTCCTTCCGCTTTCAATCATGAAAATCTCTAAAGTCAGTCTACACATGACCATTCACCAAATGACCCAATCTAATTCCCCAGCCCTCTTTTCTACTACTTAAAGGTAAAAACTAACATTTATCTGGAGTCTTATGATATCAAAGTGCATGTATTACTTGACTTGTTACTCTTAAAACCATGAGGCTGAAATTTCCCATTATTCCCAACTGCCAAATGTGAAAGGTAGTAATTTGCCAAGTGCCACGACTCTCGGTAAGTGACATGGCCAGGAGGGAATCTCAGGCCATCTCACGCCAAATGCTCTGCTATTTCCATTATCACATGGTGTTTTCTAGCAGCCTGCAGAGCTGCAGTCATGCTCCTCCATATCTCCTTACAAATATTCTTATAGATGCACTCCCTAGTAAAGCAAATGCTATCTTAAGCCTCTTTTGAAATCTTTCTCACAATCAATTATTTCCATGAAAAATAAGTTCTCATCCCCAGATCTCAGATGGATTGATGACTTCTTTATATAGGTGCTTCCTCACTGGAGGAACCACTTCCGATTGAATATCGACAGCTCTGTGTTCACATTGCGTCCCAGGAATATAGGACACATTATGTAAGGTTACTTGGGACTTGACTCCATTTCTCTTGGAGTATTCAAGTTCAAATTTTGTAGTTCTTTATTTTCCACCGAAAATAAATGTACTGTATAGCTTTGACCATTGCAGGTGCATAATAAATTTTTGTGGAAGAAACCATTACTTCATAAGCTTTTGGTTTCTCATTAAAATAGTTTGGAAGTTTTCATTTCTTATGAAATAATTTAGACATGCAAAATGTATAAAAGGATATAGTGCATATCCTTCACCATGCTATTCAGCTTACAAAATAAACATTACTGGCTGTGCGCAGTGGCTCATGCCTGTAATCTCAGCACTTTGGGAGGCCGAGGCGGGTGGATCACCTGAGGTTAGGAGTTTGTGACCAGCCTGGCCAGCATGGTGAAACGCCGTCTCTACCTAAAATACATAAAAATTAGCTGGGCATGGTGGTGGGTGCCTGTAATCCCAGTTAATCTGGAGGCTGAAGCAGGAGAATCACTTGAATCCGGGAGGACGAGGTTGCAGTGAGCCAAGATAGCGTCACCGCACTGCAGGCTGGGTGACAGAGCAAGACTCCACCTCAAATAAATAAATAAATAAATAAAATAAACATTATCAACCAAAGTTATTGTACACCCCTACCCATGCACTCACTCATCATTCTGAATTTGATGTCTCTCATTTTCATCCATTTTATTTTTATTTTTTCTGTTTATGAATGAATCCCTACATATTCATACAAATACACTCCCTAGTTAAAAGCAATTTCACAAGGAAGCGGAAAAGCAGGTGATACATTTTACTGACTCTTTTAGATCTGCAGTTAGATTTCCCTCAGGGCTTGCTGGACTAATATTCAGTTGAAGCGTCGGGCTAATATTTATTTTTAGTCTAGAAAAACATATATGGTCAGTATCTCGGTTCCCAAGAGGAAAAACAGGAAAATGTCTAGGGCACCAGCTGTTTCATTGAGCCTGAGAAGATATACTTAGACTTCATTGCTTCTGTTTCTCACTAATATATTTTTATCCAGAAATGAAATATTCTATTGTAATTTCTTCCTCTCTGAGAAATTAGATATGCTATATATAATAAAACTTAAAAACCTTTTTTTCTTTTTCAATTTCAGGATAATTTTTAAAGACATGGGGATTTATTTCATGGAATTTAAAACACTATTTACAAAATTAATTATAGTAATATTAAGAATTTCTGATATATAGAATATAATGGAATTTGAGACATAATTTATCTAATCTAATATATATTATTTTATTATATATTTTATTGTAATGTATAAGAGAATACATATGAATTTATATGTTATATAACAATGAGAATTTTAGATTTTGTTGTTTTATTTATATAATTACTTTTATGTGTTCCTTTTTAATTTAAAATATTTAAGTTCATTTTAAGGAAATATTTTAAAAATAATAACAAAATGAGTATTCATGAACTAACTGCTGAGCTTAAGAAATAATTGTTACTAATATAATACATGAATCTGTGAGTTTCTATATACTATGTCTTTCTCCCCATATTTCTTGAATTTTTTATTAATATGTTTTTATTTTTATAGTTTAATAACATTTGTATAAACTTCAAAATACTATACTGTGAAGTTGTGTTAGTTTGGGTTTTTACAGAAATGTTATACTGGCTAATTACAGTGTCTCATACTTGTAATCCCAACACTTCGGGAGGCCAAGGTAGGAGGATCACTTGATGCCAGGAGTGGGAAAGCATCCTGGGTAAAAAAGCAAGACCCTGTCTCTACAAAAATAAAAAATAAAAAATAATAATTGGGCATGGTGGTATGGGCTTTTAGTCTCAGCTACTCAGAAGCCGAAGGCTGGAGGACGACTTGAGCCCAGAAATTCTAGGATACCATCAGCTATGCTGGTACCACTGTACTCCAGCCTAGGCAACAGAGCAAGACCCAATCTGAAAAAATAAATAAATAAAAGTTATACTATAGGATGTCATCTATAAATTCCTTTTGTCACTAAATGTTAAGTACCATAATTCAATTTTTATTGCCCTATAATATTTTATTTTGTTTATATAATAACTCATTGCTGTATTATTTTGCATACTTTTTGATACAATCTTAATTTTTACACTACAATTAATATTTCTATGAAAATTTGTATAGATGTCTTCAGGTCCACATGTGGAAAAGTTTCCCATGAGTATATAATAGAGACAGGTTACTGGCCTATAAAGTATGAAACTATTTAAATTTACCATATAATGTATTCAAAAATAGTTATACTGTTTCATAACCTCAGTAGAAATGTGTAAGGGTGTTTATCCACACCCTCAGTGACACTTGCTATTATTAAACTTTTTCTTGGCGCTCTAATGAGTGTACACTAGTGGGATAGTATGGTCTAAATTTATAGTTTCTTCATTGTTAAAGAGGCATAACTTCATTTATTTACGGGCAATTCACATTTCCTTTTCAGTGAAATATATGTTCACATTATTTGACTCTTTTTCTACTGGGTTGCTTGTTGTCTTTTCTTAATGATGTTTAGGTGTTCATTACACATTTTTGGTTCAATGTGTTAGTTGGTTTTAGGTGTTACAGTGACTTCTCCCAATTTGTGAACTGCCTCTTTATAGTGTCCTTTGATGAATGGAAGTTCTTAATTTTAATATAATCCCATTTATCAAATTTTGACTTAATGCCCCCAAGTCACAAATATTCTCCTGTATTTTCTTCTAAGAGCTTTGAAGTTTCTCTTTATTTCTAAATGTTTATTACATCCATACATGCGTACATTCATTACTGTCTATGATGTAAGAATGTTACTACATATTTTCTATATAATTAACCAATGTTCCTAGCAGAATTTATTAAATTTATATTTTTTTCTCATTACTCTCTAGTGCTACCTCAGTCATTCATCAACTTTACATATTTACTGGCCCTGTAGCCCCTCTCCTACTATGCTGACCTCTCCTAATAGATCTCCCAGTAGGTTCCTATTAGGTAATTTGTTTCTTAAATAAGATTGGTGTTTCCTATGTTTCTGCTTTGGGATTTCTGTTTATTTGGTTGAACCATATAAAATTGCCAGTGTGTGACTGTTTCTGATTCACAGAAATAACAATTTCATCTGGTTCAAACTGTAATAGAATCCCTGCAACAGTCTATTCTAATATATTTAGATCTAATATCAGTATTGATCCACAAATATACAATTCTTCCCTAATATTGCTTCTTGGCTTTAAACTTAAATTTTCATTTTATTGCTGTAGGGTACACACAGGTGCCATGCTGGCACATCATATACAATATGTTCAGGCTTTAACCCATTTTTTTAACTCCTTCAGGGTTAGCCAATATACTTATTTTCTTTTGAATACCCTCAGACTGCTCTGTACCAAGAAATTACTAGCTCTTTTAAGTTGAAAATCAACTAGCTTTAGAATTATTCCTTAGCCTTTTGAAAATAAATTTTTGCCAAATCCAATTGATTCTTTTTATATTTCCAATTCACCCATTATTTTGTTCTTCTTGATAATGTTTCAGCTCAATCCCATTCTCTCTTATAATTATTACTATATCTTAATATCTTATTTTAATGGACTACTCAAAAAGGATTGGAGAGATAGAGAAGCCAAGTAAGTGGAGATCAAAATATCAGTCACTACAAAGAGTTTTCTCTTAATTTGGCCGAATAAATTCTTACCAGACTGATCCTACCACAGAGAAGAACCACAAACTCTAGAAGCAAAATATTTTTTAAAAGCTTTCTCATTGTTCAATTCCCACCTGTGAGTGAGAACATGCGGTGTCTGTTTTTTTGTCCTTGCGATAGTTTGCTGAGAATGATGGTTTCCAGCTTCATCCATGTCCCTACAAAGGACACAGGAAGGGGAACATCACACACTGGGGACTGTTGTGGGGTGGGGGGAGGGGGGAGGGATAGCATTAGGAGATATACCTAATGTTAAATGACGAGTTAATGGGTGCAGCACACCAACATGGTACACGTATACATATGTAACTAACCTGCACATTGTGCACATGTACCCTAAAACTTAAAGCATAATAAAAAAAAGAACAAAAAGAAAAAAAAGCTTTCTGAATGCACGAGGGAGTGCACAAAAGTAGGTAAATCCCAGAAGAGAGCCAATATGTGAAAGACATGAGATGCATTTCCTACTGTATGGCTTTATTATTAACCTGAAGGCAGGCTACAATCAATTACATGTGGAGTAAAAAAATGTTTCTAAAAGAGCAATAATCTTTCTGGCCTGAAAAACCAGAGGATAAAGCTCAGATCCAACAACAGCGACTAATAAGTGAGTTACGGATATCAGTACGGAGCATGCTGGAGAGAGGGAGCCTCAAACTTGGTGTATCAACTCCAGAAGAATTTGTGGGAGAATTTCACATACATGGAGCTCTTTCTTTATGTGTGTGGGAACCGACATGGAGAAAACTCAAAGCAGCTCAGCTCAGGATGAAAGAACTGAACCGACACTGGAACTGTTGCTTAACTAAATGGCACATAATTTGCATTTGAATTCAACAAAGTGAGTTTCCTGATAAAACAAAACAAAACACTCTTGAAGATTATCACAGAATTCAATGTCTGGATACAATCCAAAATTATCTGAAATAATAAGTCCTATGAAAATGCTAGCCATTCTCAAGGGGAAAGAGAATTAACAGAAACAACTACAAGTGATTCAGATGCTGGAATTAGCATTTAAGCATTTTATGGCAGCTATTAAAATTATATTAAATGAGCTAATATGAAATACACTGTCTGGGTGTGGTGGCTCACGCCTGTAATTCTAGCACTTTGGGAGGCCGAGGCAAGCAGATCACCTGAGGTCAGGAGTTCTAGACCAGCCTGGCCAATATGGCAAAACCGTGTCTCTACTAAAAATAGAAAAATTAGCCAGGTGTGGTGGCACATGTCTCTAATCCCAGCTACTCAGGAGGCTGAGGCAAAAGAATGGCTTAAACCTGGGAGGCAGAGGTTGCAGTGAGCCGAGATCATGCCACTACATTCCAGTGTAGGGAGATTCCCTGAAACTATTGCTATGGAATAGAAGATGAAATGCTTTTGATTATTGTAAATACAAAATTGCATGCAGGATTGTATAAAGACAATGCCAGGTTGGACTGCCAGAATGAGCCAACAGCATGTGATGTGCTTCCCCCTGCAGAGAGCTTATGAATGGACACACAGTCAGGGAGGTTTCACATCACCAAGATTCCTATCCCAGAAAAGCAGATGTTCATAGCTCTGGGAATGGAATGCAACCCTTGTGGAGAGCCTATAAACGGACGCATTGGGGGGCACCTGTCCATATGGATAAGATAGGGCTATAAACGCTCTCATGTTGCCACGGTTCTTGTAGGCCTCTTTAGGGTTAAGGCATACTCCCTTCTGAGAATTTCTGGTCTAACCAGGTGTCTAGCTTCACGTCCTATTTCTATGGATTGTTTGTAACCAGCTTTTGCTGCAACTGTTACTGCTGATTAATATCTTGCTAATCATAGGTTATGGAAAGACTGTGTTCCTGGTGTTTCTGTTTTAAGGCTCTGTTAGAAATTACTGATGCACACACTATATTGTAAATTCTTACCTCTGTATACTGTACTTCTGCATAGAGATGTTATGTTAAAGAATTACTTCATCCCCATGTGACCGTCTCACCTCATAATCAAATGACCCTAAATCCCTCACTAACCTACCCCTACCCTCACTAAACTTAATAATAAATGCTGGTATATCCAGTGCATTGGCGGCACCATAGGACCAGAAGGTGGTGACCCCCCTGGACCCAGCTTTCACTATCTTGTGTGTGTCTATTATTTCTTAACCTGCTGATCTACCTGAGAGCAAAGAGAGAGCCACGTTGCACTGTGGGCTGCTGACCAGATTCCACAATACTCCAGCCTGGGTGACAGAGAAAGACTCCATCTCAAAAAAAAAAGAAAGAGAGAAAAAATGGTTATACTGAATAAAGAGACAAATTTTAGTGCAGAAACAAAACTATAAAAATAATCAAATGGAAATCCTAGAACAGAAGAATAATACGGTAGTCATTAAAACTTAGAATAGTCTTATTAGTAGAATGAAGTCAAAAGAAGAAAGATATAAGTGAACCTGAAGTTGAGGTAATAGAAATGATCAAATCTAAAGATGACAGAGATAAAATATTGCAAAAAAAAGTTGACATATTCTCTCAGATCTGTGGGGCAATATCAAGGCTAACATACATATACAATTGCAGTTATTGAAGGAGAGAAGAGAGAATGATGAGGAATTATTTTAAAATATTAAGGCCAAAGAGTCCCATATATGGTGAAAGTAATAAATCTACAGATTCAAGAAGTTCAGTAAACACGAAGCAAGCAAATGTTAAAAAAAAAAACATACTTAGTTATGTCATATTTAAATTGCTAAAAACTAAAAATAAAGAGGGACCTTGGAAAGAGCCAGAGAAAAGTGACACAGATACAGAAAACAACTTTTTAAATGAGTTCTGATTTTACAAAAAACTACAATATTGAAATATTGTGGAATATATCTTTAAGTGTCAAAGGAACAAGTCTGTCAACTCAAAATTCTACATCAAGCAAAAATATTTTTCATTATAAAGTTAAAATGAAAACATTTTTAGCTGAAAGAAAGCTAAATAAAATTTTCTTCAGCAGACATGCACTACAAATATACCTAAGCAAGTTATTTGCACTGAAGGAAAATGATACAAAATGGATACTTAGGTATTCAGAAAGAGTAAATACCACCAAAAATTGTAAAATTATGAATAAGTATAAAAGACTGTATTTTATTTTCAATTTATTTAAAGGGCATGACTTTCTAAAAGGCAAAAATTAGAATATTGTCATGTGGGATTATACGGTATGCATCTTAATACATGTGACAAAGATAGCATAAAGTATATGGTGCTACATGGGCTTATGATCTTGTAAGATTTCCACATTTATTGTAGCATAATATAATATTAAGTCCAAATGGTCTCTGTAAAGCAAAGAATTAAACATCAAAAAGTAATCTAAACGAACGTGACTAAAGAGCAAATTGGTTAAAGTAGAATTCTAAAAATGCTCAAATAATTTAAGAGGGAAAATCAAAAAAGAGAGAATCAAGAAATAGAGGGAGAAGCAGAACACAATAAAATAGCAGTAGATCTATATCCAATCATGTCAGAAATGGCAATCATTGTTTTAGTCAAACACTTCAATTAGAAGACAGGAATTGTCATAACTATGTGCTGCCTATAAAAATACCCTTTAAAGATAAACACATATAAGTTAAAAGTAAATGGATGGCAAAATATGTAGCATGCAAACAGCTTAAGAAAGCTGAAATGGCCATATAAATTTCAGAGAAAACAGGCCTACAGGACAAAAAGTATTTTCAAATATAAAGAGGGACACTTCATAATTACAAAAAAATTAAATTTTAATTTTTTAAATTTTTTTGAGATGGAGTCTTGCTCTGTCACCCAGGCTGGAGTGCAGTGGCGCAGTCTCGGCTCACTCAACCTCCGCCTCCCGGGTTCAAGCAATTCTCCTTCCTCAGTCTCCCGAGTAGCTGGGATTACAGGTGCTCACCACCACATCTGGTTAATTTTTGTATTTTTAGTAGAGATGGGGTTTCATCATGTTGGCCAGGCTGGTCTCAAACTCCTGACCTCAGGTGGTCCACCCACTTCAGCCTCCCAAAGTGCTGGGATTACAGGCATGAGCCACTGCACTCTGCCTAAAAAAATCAATTTTTTAGGAATATATAATAACCATAAATATGTATGAACCTATGTATCAGGTTTTCTTTTTTTATTACCTTATGTCAGTTTGACAAGTGGCATTCTTCAAGGAATGTGTTAATTTTTTGTAGATTTTCAAAATAATTTGAATGAACCTATATATTAGGTTCATACATATTTATGCTCCAAAATTATGAAGCAAAAATTGACAGAATTCTATGGAGAAATAAATGATATCACAAGAGACTTTAATTTCCCTATCTTGGCAATGGATAGAACAAATAGAAAAAAATCAGATAAAATATTAGTAATCTGGATAATTCTATCAACTACTGTATCCTTGGTATTTATAGAACATTAAACAACAATTACAAAATATATCTATAAACTGAGCATGATATGTTTACCAACATAGACCATATGCTGAACCATAAAACGTGCCTTATCAATTTAGAATAACTGACATCACCCCATCTCACGTAATCTCTTAGCAAGATGGAATTATATTAGAAATATATATTAAGATATTCAGGAGAAACAATATTTTTAAGTTGAATGATAAATGATATGTATCTAACTTAAAAAATAAGTCATAGAAAGAAATCAGAAAGGAAATAAGAAAATATTTCCAACTGGATAATAGTGAAAATACATTTTATTATTTGTGGGATGCAGCTAGCTAGCTACAAGGAAATGTATAGCTTTATTTACCTTTAAGGTAATATTATAAAGAACTTCATGCCAATAATTTTAAAAATCTAGAAAAAATTAACACATTCCTTGAAGAATACCACTTGTCAAACTGACACAAGTTAAAAAAAAAGAAAACCTAAAATATCTCTGTATGTGTTAAAAAATTGAACTCATCAAAACCTTTATATAAATAAAATTCTAGACTGAGAAGTTTTCAAAAGTGAATTCTATCTAAGATTTCAGAGAGAACTTAATTTCATTTAAAACACATAGGCAGAGGGAATGCCTTCCAAATCATTTTATGAAATTAGCATAATACCGACACCAAAATCTGACAGACATTACAGATACCCACTAAAATATCTCTCCTAAACATAGATGCGTGTAGTTTAGCATGTAAATATTATATTTCATGACCAAGTAGAGTTTCTCAACACTGCAACAAT
The DNA here is from genome assembly GCF_000001405.40 of Homo sapiens. NCBI lineage: Eukaryota > Metazoa > Chordata > Mammalia > Primates > Hominidae > Homo > Homo sapiens. Next base: position 228,711,605 of record NC_000002.12, on the reverse strand, counting down.
GACATCAGTTTAAGCTACCATATCGAAAGCACAAAAAATAAAAACCATATGATTATGTCAATCAGTGCAGAAAAACCATATGACAAAATTCAACACTCAATTTTGATAAAAACTCTCAGCAGACGAGAAATACAAGGAGACCTCCTCCATCTGCAATAATAGCTATTAAAAAGCTACAGCCAGCATAATGATTAATGATGAAATAGTGAATGTTCCTCCTAAATTTGGGAACAAAGCAAAGATCCACACTCCCACTATCTCTATTTAGCATTGCAGTGGAAATCTAGCCAGTAATAAAACCCAAATAAATAAATAAATAAATAAATAACGTAAATATCAGAAAGGAAGGACGATATTTGTCTTTAGGTGCAGATGACTTTTGTATGTGTATAAAATCCTAAGGTATCTATAAACTACTTCAGAAACTAATAAATGAATTTACTATAGATAATGTACAAAAATCATTTATATATTTGTATACTAGCAACAAATGAATAATACAATTAATTACTATATAATAGCATCAAAATATTAAAATTCTTAAGATTACGTCTCGCTGAGAACACACAAAATTTCTAACCTGAGAACTGAAACAAACTTGTAGGAGAAATTCAAAAAGACCCAAATAAATGCAGAGAAAAACCATTAGAAGACTTGATATTGTTAAGATGTCACTTCTTTCCAAACTGATTTACAAGGTAAACACAATCACAATCATTTTTCAGCAGGTTTTTTTTTTTTTTTTTTTTTTTGGTAGAAGCAGACGTGGAAATTCTAAAACTTACATAGAAAGGCAGAGAACATCGATATTCAAAACAATACCTTGAAAAAGAACAAACATTAACATTTACACTGCCTGATTGTAATACTTTACGTTATAATAATCAAGGGAGTGAGATACAGACAGAAGTATTGACAAATTTATCAATGAAACAGAGAGACCAGAAAAAGACACACACTTACATAGTTATCTGATTTTTCAATAAAGTTGCCAGTGGAATCCAAAGACGAAAGGAAAGTATTTTTAGCAAGTGATGCTGAAATAATTGGATATCTGCGTGGGGAAAAAAATGAACATTAACCTATTACTTTCACTGCATGTAAAAGTAAGTAGAGATAGAACATTGACCTGAATGTAAAATCTAAAACTATAACGATTTTAGAAGTAAACAGAGAAGGATATCTTTATGACTTGAGGGTAGACAAACATTTCTCAGATCACAATTAGAAATAATCATAAAAGAAACATCAAAAAACTAGATTTTATCCAATGAAAAATAATCTTATCAAAAACACCATTAAGAAAATTAATAGGCAAGGCATAAACATGGAGAAAATAGTCACAGGATATATCTGACGATGTATTGGTGTCCAGGATATATAAAGAACACCTAAAACTCAGTCATAAACTTGCAAGTAACCCCATAAAATATGGGACAAAGATTTCACAGGCATTCACAAAATGACGTACAAATGGCTAAGAAACTCATTAAAAAGTTCTTACCATCATAGTCATCAAATACATTCAAATTAAAACCACAGGGAAATTTTACTACATAGTCAACAGAATGGCTAAAAGTACAAAGACTGACAATATTGATTGTTTTTGAGGGTGTAGACTGACTGAAATTCTCATGATACTACATAGTCAACAGAATGGCTAAAAGTACAAAGATTGACAATATTGATTGTTTTTGAGGGTGTAGACTGACTGAAATTCTCATTTTTTTGGTGGGAATATAACATGGTGTAACTTGTTTATATAGTGATCTGGTAATTTCTCATATAACTAAACATATACCTACTCTATCTACTCATCACTTGCTATCCTATGTTGTTGCCCAAAAGAAATGAATATGTAGGTTCACCAAAAGACTTGCACAAGATTGTTCATAGTTTATTCATAATGGCCCTGATTTGGAAGTGTGCACCAACAGGAGAATGAATAAACTCTGGTGTATTCATACAATGATATACACTTCATCTGTAACAATACAATGAACTACTAACATACGGTCAAATAGGTGAGTCTCAAAACTATTAGGCTTAGTGAAAGAAACTTTACACACAAGAGTCCATCCTGCGGGTATGGTACCATTTACATAAAGTTCTAGAACAGGCAAAAGGAATCTCTAATGGGAAAAATCAAGAAAGAAGTTGCTTCTGGGATATGGGGTAAGGATTTTTGGGAAGTGGAATTATATAACTTTCTGGGGTGATGGTAATGTTCTACAACCTGACAAGAGTTTGAGTTACTTTAGTGTATGCGTTTGTCAAAATTCTACTATAAAGACACATGCACATGTATGTTTATCGCGGCACTGCTCACAATAGCAAAGACTTGAAACCAACCCAAATGTCCATCAGTCATAGACTGGATAAAAAAAATGTGGCACATATACACCATGGAATACTATCCAGCCATAAAAAAGGATGAGTTCATATCCTTTGCAGGCACATGGATGAAGCTGGAAACCATCATTCTCAGCAAACTAACACAAGAACAGAAAACCAAACACTGCATGTTCTCACTCCTAAGTGGGAACTGAATAATGAGAACACCTGGACACAGGGAGAGGAACATCACACACCGGGGCTTGTCAGGGGGTGGGGGGCAAGGGGAGGGATAGCATTAGAAGAAATATCTAATGTAGATGATGGGTTGATGGGTGTATCAAACCACCATGGCACATGTATACCTATGTAACAAACCTGCACGTTCTGCACATGTACCCCAAAACTTAAAGTATAATAATAATAATAATAAAAGAATTCCTTATTATTTGGTCAGAAACTTAACTTTCCTCAGTCTATCTAAAATTAATTATTTGCCTAATGAATAAATACAAAATTTTTAGGGGTCATCCTCAATTCACTTAGAAGAACAAAGTATTTTTAAGCATTCATGACTTGTAATTTTAATTACTTGGTAAATGTTCTTAGCCAAGATCGAATACTCTGCTCTGTGTTGTTGATGTCAAATTTTATTTTTTTCTGAAATGATTCTGACTTTAAATAAATTTAGACTGATTTTCTTTTAAAAAAAACCACAACATATATATACTTAACATTTGTGAATTTCATGGAATATTTAATCTCAAAATGAAAATTAACTCCAATGATATACATGCTGAATTATAGGGGAAAGTGAAGCATTATTTTCTTTTTTGAGGCATTACATTAAAATGCCTCAAACAAAAATGGCTCAAGGGATGGATAGAGATGGATAAATGGACAGATACGTGTTAAGACATGTGTAGTAAAACGTTAATGGTATATGGGTATTCATTACAAAAAATTCAACTTTGATATATATTTGGAATTCCTCATAAGAGGATGATGGGAAAAAATGAAATACAAATAAAATTAGAAATGAGATACCTAAAATAGAAAATTAAAAGTTAAATCAGCTGATACAAATGTTGAAGAACAAGACTTCAGCATGTTAGCCAAATGGTATTGCTAATAGTAAATCTATATGTAGACACTATTCAATCCATCAAACTTCTCAGGACTTCTCAGTAGCGTCTTCTTATGACAGAGTTTAGTATTGGGCTGAAAAGAGGAAGTGGGTGCTAATTTACATATTTTCTATTTTTTAATCTAAATTCATATACTTCTCATCCTCTGGAGAGGATGCTGTGAGGCGGCAGAAAAGGGCCAAGAGATTGTTCAAACTAACTTTCATCAAAGAAAATAGCAGGAGTGATGAATACGTTTCCACAGAAATACTGAAGGCTTCAGGTTATTATAGGAGAGTTTTGTTTTAAGGAAACCAAAGCCATCACTGCCATTTTTTCTCTGTTGTAGAGACTAATGGGTTCTATCTGGGCTCACCCACAATATATCCACTCTGAATAATGTCCATTTTCTCTACTATGTGTACACTTCTTCAGTTTGTGTGCTTCGTTCATACAGCTGAATATATGTACACACACACCGTTGGGCACACAATCTTAAGGAACCTATAATAATGGCCATCATAAGGTTTTGTGGATCTCAGGTTTAAAAACTATGCTTTGAATAAAGAGCTTCACGCTGCATTCCTGAGAGGCTTATGTCCATTTGAAATTAACCACTGATTTTGAATAGAGATTAGGAAATATTGATTCATAATTCATAGACAATTAGGCAAAATGGGATTTCAATTCAGATATTCAGTGAATGTTGTATAGATTTGAAAGTCGTAAGAGTAAATTCCTGGCTGGGCACAGTGGCTCACGCCTGTAATCTCAGCACTTTGGGAGGCCGAGGCAGGTGGATCATGAAGTCAGGAGATCAAGACCATGCTGGCTAACACAGTGAAACCCCGTCTCTACTAAAAATACAAAAAATTAGCCAGGCATGGTGGCAGGCACTGGTAGTCCCAGCTACTCAGGAGGCTGAGGCAGGAGAATGGCGTGAACCCAGGAGGCAGAGCTTGCAGTGAGCCGAGATCGCGCCACTGCACTACAGCCTGGGTGACAGAGCGAGACTCTGTCTCAACAACAACAACAAAAAAAGAGTAAATTTCTGATAAGGAGTAATTTTACCAAAACTGAGCCCAAGGAAGCTTATCATTAGGTGGTAGAAGGTGTAAAAGGATTCAAGAGCAAGAAGAACCAAAGAGGAGAATGTCAAACTGGAAAAGACAGGAGAGATTTAGAATTGAAAGTCAAGAGAGATCACCTAAAAAGGGTAAAACAACATTGCTGGATCAGGTGATCAGAGGGTCCTTGGTTTCTTCCAGTTTGTGCTGCTGGCATGGAAAATACCAAAGGACAGAGAGTACAAAAGATGACTGGTAGACAGGAAATGAAGAGCCAGATGTTGATTTCCTGGAGATTTTGCTCAAGAAGTAAATTAAGCTAATTCCCCAAATGCCCAAATCTATCTCCCAACAGTCCTTTATGAATGGTGAAGGAACACAACTTGTGAAGGAACACAACTTTTACAAGGAATATAACCTCCTGGCACCATGAAGAAACTTTCTATTTAATAATGTTGCAGAAAAGGCACCTTATTATGTGCTGCCTACCCAAAGCAATCTTTTTGTGAATGGAAGTTTCAGGGGTTCCATGTGATCCTTTTGTGAATGGAAATTTCAGGGGTTCCATGTGACTTATTAGATGGCATATCCTCCCGGAATGTGGGAGATGCGTCCCCTACTGTTTCAGCAAGTTGTGTTCAAAGGCAAAGCAGCCCACACCTAATCTCTATTTGCCATAGCTGCCAAAACATTTTACAATAAATAAAGGAGGCATTCATCTGAATAAGTGGACCCCTTCTTGGAAAATGACATCCCAGCACAGCCTGCCAAAAGAGCTGCAGAGACACTAAGTCACACCAAGGAAGGAAGAATGAAGAACAGAAGGGGCATCCTTCCTGTGTGAAGGCAGGAGATTGCAGCAGTCAAGGGGTTAACCTGAATTTGTGAGGTGGTTTTTAATCAGTACAATCATGCCTAAGCAAAGAAAGTGTAGACTTTCTGCCCAACACATACATATGTATGCTTTAGGGGAAGTGGAGGATGGCTATGTTAATAAAAAGCAAAAATGTTGTATCCAAAGATGAATTCTGAAGCACAAGATATTTGAAAATGGAATTCAGCAAACCTTTATTGAAAGGTTATTATGCACAATCCTTGTGGGCCATGAGGGAGACTTGGTCTCTACCTTCTAGTCATCATTTAATCATGATGTTGGAGTCCCAGCATGGGTCTCACCCTCTTCAGTTAAGGACTGGTTTAGTTCATTGTGTAGGTAATACCTGACACAGGAAATAGATGCCGAGACCAAGTTAGGAAGGCAAAAGTTTTGTGGAGGAGACACACCAAAGAAAGAAAAGGAACAGCAACAGGGAAGCCACCGGGCTGTGATGCAGGCTGACAAAGTCTCTGTCAGCCCAAGGGGCTGCTCTGCAGGAAAGCTGGCCTGTTAGAGCTGAGTTGTTTTGGGCTGCAATGAGGCCCTTGCTCATTTTCTGGAGGCAGCTCTGAGCATGAGTCGGGTGGATCCTGAAGGAGCAAAAAACTTGGGGTTGTCAGCCAACCAGTCTTATGAGCACAGCAGTCCTGAGGGGATCTGAAAGGCACTCCTCTGTGTGTCTGCATAACGCCAGGACACAAAGAAGTGTCATCTGTCTCAGCTCCCACAGAGCCTGATGAGAGAGAGACGAGGCTGCAGTAGGGCTGTTTACCTCAGAGACAAAAGGAGACTAGGGCTGGTCTCCGGGAATCATAAATAAACATGAACTAGAAGGCTCTGGAAGACTCTCAGATAAAACACTGGTTCACCAGCACTGAGAAGGTGGGCGTGCCTAAGGATGATCTGAGGGTGCCCCAGGAGTTTGAGGAGGAAGGGACAGACTAACTCTTCACCCTGAGTGTCCCTTGGCTTTGTAGATTCAGGGAAAGGAATTCTAGGAACTAGAGACTTAGGGTTCAAAATGTGTAGGTGTCAGTCTTGTCCACTTGTGTGAGCAATGTGGTTGGTGCATCTTCTCTGGAGAGGGTATAACTCTGATGATACCCCTGGGATATGCAGAGTTCAGATAACTCTTGAGGGGTCAAGGACGCCAGCCCACAGATGCCTAAAAGAGTTTCCCTTCTCCTCAAGTAAGATTTCCAAGGATCCTTACTGCTAGGAAAACTTACGGGCTGCCTAGATTAAATCAGTTGTGTTAGCTCAAAGAAGAAACTTTCCTTGTAAAACGCATTATCTAGGTGTATAGAACCCCTAACAATTATTTGCCTTTTCATGTTTCTTAGGTTGAAACAAATTCTTATGTAGTTTCATAGTTATTAGCAAAGTGACATCTTGATCTTTAACATTCAGCCATATTTAAGAAGACTGTAATAGTTACTTTGATATGTAATATTTAGAGATAAGACTGATGGAAAACCAGGAAAAAGGAGTATTTTGGGTTGAAATAGCTAAAATATGATAGTTATATTGTATTACCATTTTTCTTCCACTATCGTTAGTCTAATTCTTTTTCTTTATATATATTTTCAAAATCATTAAGGAAGAGAAATGGGCATTAGCTGTTGTGCTGTTATTTTGATTTCAGAAAATGATTCTTGAAACATCACCTAGGTTCCCATGGCCAGGAGACCCTCTAAAAGGTAAATATTTTTCTACATCACACCTATCAAGACAGTCTCATATCCTGATGTGATGAAACCCTGTTCTCAGAAACAACTTTTACTTTAGGTTACAGCAAAGTCTCCTCCTTCCTCCTACTTCTGTATCTTCCCTCCTCTTCTAGCATTTTCATCCTTCTCATCCTCTTTCTTGTGACTTTTCTTCTCTGCTTCTTCTCTGTTTCCTTCATTGCCATTGAGTGCCTTCAATATACATCACATAAGATGTCTAACCGTGAAGAACTTGGAATGTCATAATAGTATCCCCATTTCAGAGATGAAGAAACTGAGGCTCAAAAATTCAAAGAGATATGCCTATATCTCTTTCTATCACACATCATCACCCTGTTTTATTTTCCTTTCTTATTTATCTCCATTTATAAAGTGAGCTATTTAGTATTGAGTACATTTTTTAATCTTATTCTGGCAACTTGTTTAAATGTTTTCCTGACAAATTTTTTTAACTTGGTAATGGACATTAGTGATGTGACTGGTGAGTAATTTTTTAAAAATCGAAATTAAAGACAATTAAAAAACTAGTACAATACATATTGCTACATGAAAAAAGTCTGAAAAGACAATATATTGTAAGATTCCAATGTTATAATATTTATAAAATGAACAACTATAGAGGCAGTAAAACCTCTCAGTGAACCCCAGGGATTGCGGCAGGAACATGCATAGGTAAAAGACAGGGGATCTGGGGGCACAGTTAAACTACAATATTTGTTTGTGAATTGTAACAAATGTACCACACCAATTCAAGATGTTAATAGGGGAAAGTGAGGTTGGGGGAAGGGAGTACACTGGAGCTATGTACTTTCTGCTCAATTTTTCTATAAACCTAAAACTGCTCTAAAAAATAAAGTCTATTTTTTAAAGCTTTCTTAAAAAAAAAAAAGCTGGTTCAGGGAAAAGATTGGCCAACGTCCAGATGTCAAAATAGACCCCAATTTTAGAATACATTTTAAAGTTGTTAGATAGGTTGCCTGTTAAATGTCTGAATCCCAGTGAATAGATGTCGAGTGGCTTTCAATCATGAACAAAGAACAAAAAGGAACGATTCTAATATAAATTTCCATTTTTCTCATTCACTGCAGACAGCGTTTTCATGCCTTTAAGTTGTGGACAGATGGCTCAGTGACAGGCGATGGGTATTCATACGTGCAGGACTGCATCTCATTACACTCTAACAAGAAGATCGTAATGGAAACAATCAAAACCAAGCCTGGCTAATCACATGCAACAGACACTGATTTTTTTTTTTTTTTTAACTAAGGGCAAGGACATTTTCATGCAGTCTGAGAAATCTGATGATGGATGTTATTTTCATTATCTTTTATTTCTTTTGTTTTTTGAAAAGCTAAGTAAACCAATATAATTTAAAAACTAATTTCCAATTACATTACAGTTATTTTTATTATTGTTTTCCCACCATATTATTTTGGAGCAACCATCTCTTTTTCTTGATTACTATTTTATTATCTTTCTAGAAGTCCTTTAAAATGTCTTTTGTAAACCACTTTCTTCCCTTTAAGATGTGTGCAATCAATAAAGAAGAATCTTTCAGCACAACCTCCCAGTATCCTCATCAACAAAGTAAATTTGAATATGTAGCAAATACACAAGTCTCTACTTTAGTTTATAATGTAAAGTACATGATACCAGCCAGACTTTACCTATAAGTACATTAAAGAAAACCAGCAATCTCATATATTTTGTAGAACTCATTTAATTAAAAATATACATCCTGCCGGGCACGGTGGCTTATGCCACCCAGCACTTTGGAAAGCAGAGGCAGGCAGATTGCTTGAAGTCAGGAATTCCAGACCAGCCTGGCCAACATGGTAAAACCCCGTCTCTACTAAAAATACAAAAATTAGTGGGGCCTGGTAGCATGTCCCTGTAGTCCCAGCTACTCTGGAGGCTGATACAAAAGAATTGCTTGAACCCAGGGGATGGAAGTTGCAGTGAGCCAAGATTGTGCCACTGCACTACAGCCTAGTCAACAGCATGGTGAGACCCTGTCTCAAATACACACACACACACACACACAAAACAAACAAAAAATGCATTCATGCAAGACCCTTTGGTGAAAAAAGTTAGGTTTTTTTTTTTTTTTTTTCAAAATCATTAAAAACTTTAGAAATCCATGACTATTTTAAAGTGATCATTCTGTGGCCTGCAACCATCCTGGGACAGGTGAGCTATTAAGAAACGCTTTCATCCATAACAGGGAGCAAGTTTGGTAGCACTCTAAGTGTCATGAACACATGTGAAAGAAATTGAGTCAATAAGCCATGAGGGAGGTAAAAGGATGATAAATATTTCTCTTTGTAACTGAGGGCTCCAGCAAGACAGCAGGGGCTGATGGAGTAGTGAGGCTGAGTAGACACTGAGATCAAAGAGCATTCTGGAGCATCTGTTATGCACAATGTGTTAAGATGGGATAAGAATGGGACGAGGGTGAGGTGATCAAGAAGATAGACTCATCTGCAAAGTCCCTTGAGATAAACCCATAGAAATGCCAGATAAAGTAATCAGAGCATTATTTTCAACACATAGTTGAGGTACCAACAAAGAAGTGAAATCTTATAGCAGAAATAAACCACAGGGCAAATAACATGAACTGAGATACAGCTTTCCTGGAGGGGTGTCAGGGAAGGGCAATGATCAAACCAGGGGATTGGGCTCCCAGCTTTTTGTGGAACTAGGGAAAGAAACTTTCAGCCTGGGAGAAGCA